>NW_021160016.1:0-369264 GCF_000001405.40 Homo sapiens
AACCAGTTATCAGATGGAAGGCCAAGGAAGCTTGGGGAGGGCTACTGAGGGGATACGGTAGGCTTGTCTGTGGAGAGCAAAATTCTTCAGTCTACAAAGTTCTTTTCTGGGCTCCTTCATCTTTCGGTTTCTCTTCCAGCTCCCTCGTTTTGGGCCTCTTTTGTTTCCCCATTCCCCTCCCCTGGGCCTTCCCGTTTGGAAAAGGGGTCACATATCCTCACCCTGGAGGCGTCTGCCCCTTCCACACAGTTGGTGTTGGAACAGTGGAGCTCAGAGAGGCCGATGCTGACCGCGTAGATGTCCAGCACCAACAGTGGGATTTTGGGCCCTGTGGGGGACACAGAGAGAACTCTCCGGGAGTGCGGCCCCTTGGCCTCCCCTCTGGGTGCCCAGTGGGCAGTGGGCCTGGGTGGCTCAGAATCCCAGCCAGGAGCACTGAAGGTCAACAGGCTCCCGCCCTGAGTTTTCTGAGCCAGGCCTCCCTGTTTCCTCCCCAGCCAGTGGGGAGCGCAGTGAGGGGCGGGGCCTGGAGTCTTGGGAGCTCCCTGGACAACAACATGCATTTAGCGCAGCTCAGTCTCAGAGCCAGCAGGATATGTTTTCTTAAAAAAAAAAAAAATGCCTAACATCTTGGCTTTCACCGAAGGGTTGGTATCTGCTTTGTACACTTTGGCCTTCTTGGCTTTTCACTGAAACACACACACATGGATGCACACTCACTTCCACACACAAACCCACACCAAGACAGACACACACACACACTCACACACAAACTCATGTACATGGTTTCATACCCACATCCATGCAAACACACATACAAATCCAGAAATACGCACCCTCACACCCACAAACTTGTACACACACACACACGTATACACACCAACACACATACAACCCTGGCTTGGACAAAAGCTTCCCGTTTTTTCTTGTTTGAAGTGGAAATCTCCCACCTTCCATGAGATTCAATTTCTCGCCCTTCCCCCGCTAAAATCCTCCTGGCCCCATCATTTCTTGGGTCCTTTCCAGACAGTGCTGTGTCTTTAAGGAAGTTGAAGCTGCTAAAAGTGAGTGAGAGAGAGAGAAAAAACACAACCCAAAAAAATTTGGCATCTCTTCCCCCCTCAAGTTTCTGGTGTCACTTATGAAACACAGGTCCTTGTTGCTGCAGAGAAGCAGTTGTTTTGCTGGAAGGAGGGAGTGCGCGGGCTGCCCCGGGCTCCTCCCTGCCGCCTCCTCTCAGTGGATGGTTCCAGGCACCCTGTCTGGGGCAGGGAGGGCACAGGCCTGCACATCGAAGGTGGGGTGGGACCAGGCTGCCCCTCGCCCCAGCATCCAAGTCCTCCCTTGGGCGCCCGTGGCCCTGCAGACTCTCAGGGCTAAGGTCCTCTGTTGCTTTTTGGTTCCACCTTAGAAGAGGCTCCGCTTGACTAAGAGTAGCTTGAAGGTAAGCCAGTGGGGAGGAGGGCTCCAGGGCCAGCGGCGGGAGCGGGAGGCCTGTTGGACATAGGGGCTGGTTCCCTCTTGGTCCATCCCTGCTGGTCTGAGGTGCGTGGGACAATCCCTAGCTTGGAGCCGTCCAGGGGGCATCTGCTTCTTCCACAACCCACAACTGAGGCCCCAGAAATCCCAGCTGCGTTTGGGCTGAGCCTCTGGCCTCACCCAAGTCAGCTGAGAGGTCCTGGCGGGGGTTTATTTAGGCAGCTGCCTGGCTAAGTTTGAACAGAACAGGCCACGGGTGTGATTCCACAGAAAAGGCCTGGTGTCTGCTGCGGTCATGGCCGGAGGAGCGGGAGAGGGCGGGTGGAGTGGATGGGGGTGGTGTGCACTGCACAAGGGGCCTCGTCTGGGCCAAGGCAAAGCATACCTATGGGGGGCTCCGGTGGGAGGGACTGCGGCCAGGATGTGGGAGGGCAGGGGGAGGTTCTGCAAAGTGCTGGGGGAGGGGGGTGGCTGGAAAACAGATTTCAAGTCATAAAGTCAGCTAGGAACAGGCCGAGGCAGGGAGAACTCTCCACTCGGAGGAGGAGCTGGGGTCCTCTTCCATCCCGTCTTCATCCTGCCTGGCTGCGTGACCTCGGGCAAGTCTCCGCCCTTCTCTTGGCCTCAGTTTCTCCTTCCGTAGGATGGGGGCGGTGGGCTAGGTGGTGTTGGGATTTAGCTGGGTTATGTGGGACAGGGCCTCCTGATGGGAAAGAGCTCTGGCTGGGCTTGTGGGAGGAATGAGTCCCTTTGGCAGGTTCTCGGGATCCCCTGGGTGACATGCCTTTCTCTGCAGGAGGCACCATGCAGGAGCTGCATCTGCTCTGGTGGGCGCTTCTCCTGGGCCTGGCTCAGGCCTGCCCTGAGCCCTGCGACTGTGGGGAAAAGTATGGCTTCCAGATCGCCGACTGTGCCTACCGCGACCTAGAATCCGTGCCGCCTGGCTTCCCGGCCAATGTGACTACACTGAGCCTGTCAGCCAACCGGCTGCCAGGCTTGCCGGAGGGTGCCTTCAGGGAGGTGCCCCTGCTGCAGTCGCTGTGGCTGGCACACAATGAGATCCGCACGGTGGCCGCCGGAGCCCTGGCCTCTCTGAGCCATCTCAAGAGCCTGGACCTCAGCCACAATCTCATCTCTGACTTTGCCTGGAGCGACCTGCACAACCTCAGTGCCCTCCAATTGCTCAAGATGGACAGCAACGAGCTGACCTTCATCCCCCGCGACGCCTTCCGCAGCCTCCGTGCTCTGCGCTCGCTGCAACTCAACCACAACCGCTTGCACACATTGGCCGAGGGCACCTTCACCCCGCTCACCGCGCTGTCCCACCTGCAGATCAACGAGAACCCCTTCGACTGCACCTGCGGCATCGTGTGGCTCAAGACATGGGCCCTGACCACGGCCGTGTCCATCCCGGAGCAGGACAACATCGCCTGCACCTCACCCCATGTGCTCAAGGGTACGCCGCTGAGCCGCCTGCCGCCACTGCCATGCTCGGCGCCCTCAGTGCAGCTCAGCTACCAACCCAGCCAGGATGGTGCCGAGCTGCGGCCTGGTTTTGTGCTGGCACTGCACTGTGATGTGGACGGGCAGCCGGCCCCTCAGCTTCACTGGCACATCCAGATACCCAGTGGCATTGTGGAGATCACCAGCCCCAACGTGGGCACTGATGGGCGTGCCCTGCCTGGCACCCCTGTGGCCAGCTCCCAGCCGCGCTTCCAGGCCTTTGCCAATGGCAGCCTGCTTATCCCCGACTTTGGCAAGCTGGAGGAAGGCACCTACAGCTGCCTGGCCACCAATGAGCTGGGCAGTGCTGAGAGCTCAGTGGACGTGGCACTGGCCACGCCCGGTGAGGGTGGTGAGGACACACTGGGGCGCAGGTTCCATGGCAAAGCGGTTGAGGGAAAGGGCTGCTATACGGTTGACAACGAGGTGCAGCCATCAGGGCCGGAGGACAATGTGGTCATCATCTACCTCAGCCGTGCTGGGAACCCTGAGGCTGCAGTCGCAGAAGGGGTCCCTGGGCAGCTGCCCCCAGGCCTGCTCCTGCTGGGCCAAAGCCTCCTCCTCTTCTTCTTCCTCACCTCCTTCTAGCCCCACCCAGGGCTTCCCTAACTCCTCCCCTTGCCCCTACCAATGCCCCTTTAAGTGCTGCAGGGGTCTGGGGTTGGCAACTCCTGAGGCCTGCATGGGTGACTTCACATTTTCCTACCTCTCCTTCTAATCTCTTCTAGAGCACCTGCTATCCCCAACTTCTAGACCTGCTCCAAACTAGTGACTAGGATAGAATTTGATCCCCTAACTCACTGTCTGCGGTGCTCATTGCTGCTAACAGCATTGCCTGTGCTCTCCTCTCAGGGGCAGCATGCTAACGGGGCGACGTCCTAATCCAACTGGGAGAAGCCTCAGTGGTGGAATTCCAGGCACTGTGACTGTCAAGCTGGCAAGGGCCAGGATTGGGGGAATGGAGCTGGGGCTTAGCTGGGAGGTGGTCTGAAGCAGACAGGGAATGGGAGAGGAGGATGGGAAGTAGACAGTGGCTGGTATGGCTCTGAGGCTCCCTGGGGCCTGCTCAAGCTCCTCCTGCTCCTTGCTGTTTTCTGATGATTTGGGGGCTTGGGAGTCCCTTTGTCCTCATCTGAGACTGAAATGTGGGGATCCAGGATGGCCTTCCTTCCTCTTACCCTTCCTCCCTCAGCCTGCAACCTCTATCCTGGAACCTGTCCTCCCTTTCTCCCCAACTATGCATCTGTTGTCTGCTCCTCTGCAAAGGCCAGCCAGCTTGGGAGCAGCAGAGAAATAAACAGCATTTCTGATGCCCCTCCGTGTCTGCCTGGAATTTTGTCTGGATCTAGGAGCCTCTGCTGGGAGATAGGATCAGGAGCTGAAGAGTCAGGGCAGCCAGCCTGCCTGCCCACAGTGGCAGGGGCCTCTGAGACTCCAACAGACTGTGGAGGCACAGGAGTGCTGGCCCGATGCTGTGTCAGGGGCTGGGCCTTGCGGTGAGCTGAGCTGCAGATGTTCCCTTCCTCCAAACCATCCCACAGGACAGCTGGGGGCAGGAGCCTGGGGTGGCTGGCGACCCTGAGCAGCGCCTGATGTCAGCAGTGGCTTCAAGAGAGGCATTTTGGAAAGGCGCAAGGAAATGGAAGTGCCTGGGTGGTAGCTCCTCTTCCCTGTCCTGCTCCTGGAAGAGATGTTAGGAATGAAGAGGAAAGAGGGGACAGGTGGGGCAAGATGGAGGAGACAGATGAGGAGAAGGGGACACAGGACAGAGGAGGAGAAAGCCCCAGAGAGACTGGGAATAAGAGAACATATTTACATATTTGAGGGAGAAACCAGGGGGGAAACAAATCGTACTTATCTTTCTCCCAAAGAAGAAATGGTATTCCAAGAGGAAAGTCCAAATGAGGACTGCAGATTCCCTGTAGGAATCTTTCCCCACAGAGCAAGTGGATCAGTAACTGGCCTGGGCCGTGTGTGTGTGTGTGTGTGTGTGTGTGTGTGTGTGTGTACAGCAACCTGAGCGGTGCGTGTGTGTGTGTGTACAGCAACCTTCAGCCTCTCCAGTGCATGTGTGTGTGTGTGTGTACAGCAACCTTCAGCCTCTCCAGATGAGGAGCATAAGGATGAGGTCCTAACCTGGAGACTCTGCACAACCTCCTATCTGTGCCAGGTAGGATATATGTCTTCCTACTGCCTCTATCCCATCCCTTTCAAGATCGAGGATGCTGCATGCAGAGACAATGGCCTGGGGGAGAGGCTCTGTGGCCTTTCTCCAGAGCTCCCAGAACTGCTGAGCTCAGCAAAGTGGAGGCAGGATGCTAAGGAGTCTGGGGTAGCAGCTGTGAGCCTTGGCTGCTGGCCAGCCCCATTCCCTCCCTCCAGGTCCACATACAGCACCTCCCCCTGCCCACTCTCCCCTCATCAACTTGCAGCTCCTGCTGAGCTGATGTCACCAGCAGCATGTATCAAGAATGACTCCTAATCTAAAATAAAAGTTGAAAAAAATGACTCACGTCTGGTGGAAAACAGCAGGATGGAGCCAAATTCCATGCGCTAGGCCACCTTGGGTAAGTCATTGCCCACGTCTGGGCTTCAGTTGCCTCAAAAACCAAATGACATGGTAGGACTAGGTGCTACTTCATGGTCCAATAGACTCTGATTGCCTAAGGCTTGATATTCCCAGCCTGACTTGGACATCCCTGGCTCCATTCCTAGCTGAGTGGCTTGGCTTCTTGGAGTAGGACATGGACCTAAGACCTAACACAGGGAATGGCTGTGCCTTGAGTGGACTAGCTGCTCCCCTGCTTTAAGGTCTTCCGTGGTCCCCACTGCCCTCCAGGTAAAGCCTGAATTCCCCACTTAGAGCCTCTCTGACCTGCTCCTCCAACAAGCGCACCCTTCCTTCCTCTTCTTGGAACAGCTATTTAATTGTTCCCTTAATGTTCCATGGTGTGCCATCCTCTGCACCTTTGCTTATACTGTTCCCTCCGCCCAGGCACCCTTTCCCTGTTCTTCATTTGGCTAAGTCAGTCTTTGAGAGTGGGCTCTGGCATCACCACCTCCAGAAAGCCTTCCTGGATGTTCCCCCATCCCCAATGTGAACAGGCCCCCTTTCTCTGGGAACCTGGATTCTCCTCCCCTGAGACCCTGTTAGTTGCTGAAACAAGGTCAGGAAGCCTTTTTCAACGGGCTGCAGTGGGATCACAGTGTGCCCTCTTTGGCCTCCTCGGGGCAGCCTTGAAAGTGGGTTTCAGGTCCCTGACCCCACCCCTGGCTTTACAGGTATTTGAGGCTGTAGCAGGAACCTGAGCTTGGGGCAGGGGACTGTTGATCTCCACTAACTGTGCAGGCATTTCTCAAGGCCCTGCTGACCTAGATCTGTAGGGTGGCCACATCTTCCTACCCTCTGTAGCCCCCAGCCCCTCAGTGGACCCAGGGCATGTTCTTTATTCATATACCCCGCCCTCCACCTCCACCAAGCCCCCAGTAGGGAAAAGACCCCAGTCTGTCTCCACCCTCCTTTCCCCTCCGTATTCTCATTCTCCTCCCATCAGGACAGCCTACGCTATGTCCCCCCATGTGACACGCCCCTTCCTACCTCCACACCTGGAGTCACACTGCTTCCCCAGCATTCCTGAAGTCGCTTCTCCTCCCCAGATCCTGCCCCTTCTTCAAGACCCAGAATAAGTCCCACTTCCAAAGCCAGCATTCACATGGCTCAGGGGTGGCATCATAGGGTCCCCAGTCTCTTTGCCACCCAAAAGGATGCAGCTATGGGTTCTGCCTTCCACCCAGTGTCTGGCCCAGCATGTGACCAGAACACCCCAAGCCCCATCCCCATCAATGCACAGTGTTCCTGACAGTGTAGGCGGGGTTTTCCCTGCATACCCCTCCCGCTATGAGGACAGTTTCTCAGGAACAAGTTTATTGCAGGGAACACACTAACCTCTTTCATAATAGCCAAAGGCATAAAAACTACAAAAATATCTGGCTCTCGAGTGTGGGCAGCTCAGTGTGGGACCTGGTCTGAGTCATGACTTGGGCTGCCCTGCAGGCCAGAGGCCCGGGAGCTTTCCGGCCACTCCCCAGAGAGGTCCGTGGCGCTGAGGGGGTGAGGAAGTGCCTTGGCTGCTTCCACAGCGTGAAGGCCAAGGCTGAGGTGGAGCTGGGCTGGAGTGGTTCCAGAGAAGGCTTCATCGAGGCCCTTCAAGGCTGATGGCAGAGCCAGGGTAGGGAGACGCCTGGATGTGGCTGCCCTGGCTCAACTGGCTCCTGGACCAAGGCCCTAACCCACCAGTTTCTTTCTCCAGAACCCCTGCTGGCTCTCCCATAGCCAAGTGGGTGGAGCAGAGCCCTCCTGAGGCTCCCAGTGCAGACAGACCTCCACCCAACCACAGTGATCCGGAGGACCTGCTGGCTGCATGGCTGGTGTGATGCTGGGAGGAGAGCCGGGGAGGGAGGAGGATGGTAGGCAGGAACATGCCTCAGCACAGATGGGCAGGTGGGTTGACCTTCCCTGCCCTCAGGGCTGGGCACCATTGGCACCCAACAGGGCCGTCTTGCGGAAGACCTGCAGGGTTGGGTTGTGCAGCAGCGTGTAGGCCAGACCCCAGCGAGCCCTGCCGCGGCTGGCCCCGGGCCTAGCTCCCTTGGCCATGGAGTCCTTTGTCTGTAGCAGCTGCATCCCTGAGAGAGACGGACTTTCTGTGAGTCACTCAGCAAACACCCAGCCAACCCTCCCTGGCCCTCAGACCTGATCAGAGAGCCTGAAAATCCCAGGCGTGTGCAGGTCGTGAGGCTTAGGATGTCCCCTGCAGGCAGCACATGGAAGTGGGGGGTGAGGTCTGTGGATGGACTGGAAGCTGGGTGGGACAAGGGTCTGGAGCTGGCTTAGTGTCCCCTCCCTACACACACTTCTGGGCAGAAGGAAAGGAGGAGTCATACTCCCTGCCCCAAGGGAGAAGCGGGGGCAGTGACGGAGCCCCTTAGGAAGGCAGCTGTTTCATTCTCTCTGTGTGCACACATATGGTGTGTGTATGTGTGTGTTCATATCATGGAAAAAATCACCCTGAGATCAGACCAGGAGGGGTGACCAAAGGCAGCCAAGGAAGAGAGGAAGTGAGAATTTTCCTGGCGCTCACTCTGTGTGCTGGGGAGGGGCACACATCCTTCCTAGAAGAAGCTGGGTAGGCTCTATTCCCCCATTCCCAGTGGGAGGGCGCACCTTCGTCTTCCTCCCCTGGTCTGAGGCTGTCCTGGGGGGCTGCCATGGTCCTGGGTAGGAGGCTCTGCGCTTGCAGGAGCAGGGAGCAGAAGGCTGTCATGGCTGGATGCGACTGGCTGACTTCAATCTTCAAGAAGTTTCGGTACGTGTAGTAGCCTGGGGTGGGGTGGCGGATGGCAATGCTGGGGGAGCAGGGGCCACACTGGAGGCATCCAGACATCCCCTAACACACACACAGGGAGTGCACGTGCACTCCCTGCATCCAAGCATGTCGACACACCAAGCACGTGGCACATTGGCTGCATGGGCACGTGTGGACCTGCTAGAACACCCCACATCCACTGCACGTGCTGCAGGGCCACAGGAGGCACAGCGCAGGGGCACACAGGTGGCACATGCAGCTACAGGCATCGGTGTGAACTGATCAGCTGGCACGGCCCTGGGGCAGGGCAGATGCCTTCCTCACTGCTTGGGTAGCCTGAGCAATCCTCCAGCCCCGCCCAGTGACCTTACCGGGGTCGAGAGTGGCGGCTCTCGGTGGCAGCAGGCTGAGGTCCATCTGGCCAAGGTGGATGGCGTTGTAGAGGGCAGAGAGGAGCACTCGCCAGGTGGCCACCATGGCACCCACCAGCACATTGAGGGGGAAGAGAAGAAAGGTGGCTGCATAGAGCACTCGCCTAGGATGGGAGAAGAAAGCTGAGGCAGGCCGTTCCCCAGAGCTCCCTCCCCAGGGTCAGTGTCAGACCTGGATGCCCAGAACTGCTGTGTATTTACTGAGTGCCTACCATTTATTGCTATGTCTTCTGTGCACCCCACCCTGGGCAAGGCCTTCTCTCTTTCAACCCACCATGCTGGGAGATGGGAAACTGAGGCCCAGAGAGATTGGGAGACTTAGCCAAGGCTGTCAGCTATTCAGTGGCAGAGCTGGGCTTTAACTCTAGGTCCATCTGAGTCTTTCTATGACCCTGATGCCTCCCACCTCCCTTTTCTGGGTCCCCTGTCTGCTAATTCCAAGTTCCCCTGGGAGCCAAGGTTCTCCCACAGACTTGTCATCTGACAGGGAACTCCCTTGCTACAAAGTGGGGAGGGGCATGGTTTTAAGGAAACAGAGGATCCAGGGGAGAGCAGTACCGATTCCCAAAGCAAGAAAGGTTCACGGGGGTACTTCCAGCCCCATGCCGGGTATGTAGAGAGGTACTTTGGAGTGGGCTGAGCCATTGTCCCTTTTCTCTATGGGTAAGGCAAGCTCTTTCTACTATCATCTGGGTTCCTTGATAGAGAGAAGGGATAGATGGCAGTGGAGGGAGGACACAAAAAGAGAGAGACACCGAAGAAGAGGCGAGGGCCTGAGGGAGCCACAAGCCCAGATGCCACCTCACCGGTTGGTCAGCTGTGGGTGTCCATCATGAGTCTCCAGGAAGACCCAATGGGCTGCCATGTTCTGCAGGATCACAGCCAGGGCCAAAGTCAGCCAGAAGGGCCTGCCAGTGGGGTGGGGAGGTGGTCGCTGTTAGCGGACCTCTAAGGAGTCCCTGAGCCCTCCATGTCTTGTTTCACTCACCACGAGGACTCCAGGGAACGGAAGAGCAGGAGGTTCCTGCCATGGAGCACAGGCATGAGCACCAGGAAGGCCAGGGCCGTGGTTCCCAGGAAGAAGATGATCTGCTGCACCAGGAGCCCTGCCAGGGGCGGGAGTGGCAGGGGGACAGAAAACAGGTTCCATGAAAACTGGCCATCCCCGCTGCCCCCAGAACCAAGGGCTTTGGGATTGGGCAGGCCTGGTTTTAGATCTCTGCTCTGCCACTGCCTAGCTATGCTGCCTTGAACAAATCACTTTACTTCATTGAGCCTCAGTTTCTTCCTCTGTAAAATGGGGATAATAGTCCCTACCTCAGAGGCTGTTGTAAGGATCCAATGAGATAATGTCTGTGGAAACTCTTAAAATCACAAAATACTTTGCAAATGTTATTTCCCTCCAGTTTCTCCTGAGTTTGAGTTACTGGGGGATAAGGCTACATATTAAACTGATGTTTGCATTCCTTCAAGCCAGAGCCTGGCATACGGTAGGTGCCCAAGGACTGTCTATTGAAATAATCTGGCCAACTGATTAGAGAATGATGTCTACAAAAGGGCCTGGAGGCATAAGGGCTACCAAGAAGAGACGCTATGACTTTTGTCCTAGTAATTCATCTACTCCTTTACCATCCTTCTCCTCCCGCAAGGAGGTGAGAATGGAAGGAACTGGAGGGAGAGATACAAGGCCCTTGGATGTGCAACCCAGGCCACAGCCCCTCACCATTCAGAGTGCTTTTC
Source organism: Homo sapiens (assembly GCF_000001405.40). Taxonomy (NCBI): domain Eukaryota; kingdom Metazoa; phylum Chordata; class Mammalia; order Primates; family Hominidae; genus Homo; species Homo sapiens. The sequence goes on from NW_021160016.1 coordinate 10,520, forward strand.
TCACTGCAGTACCCAAGGGGAGAGTCAGAAACTTGGGGCTGGTAGGGGTCCTGGAAGGTTATCTGGTCCAACTCTCTCAGGGCAGGACCCCCTTTGCAGACTGCAACAATATCCATGGAACTCTGCTTGCATACCCCCAGTGACAGGGATCTCATTACCTTTGTAGGTAGCCAAATGTGACACAGCCCTTTCTTAAGCTGGAGCGCAGTGGTGCAATCTCGGCTCACTGCAACCTCCACCTCCTGGGTTCAAGCGATTCTCCTGCCTCATCCTCCCGAATAGCTGGAACTGCAGGTGCACACCACCATACCCGGCTAATTTTTGTATTTTTAGTAGAGACGGGGTCTCACCATGTTGGCCAGGCTGGTCTTCATCTCCTGACTTCGTGATCCACCTGCCTCAGCCTCCCAAAGTGCTGGGATTACAGGTGTGAGCCACTGAGCCCAGCCAGGAATGTACCATTTTGAATTTGACACCTCCAGACCTGGGTCCACCCCCATGTGAATACTTGGTGGCACCCAGGGTTCATCTCCATGTGGAGGGTACACACTCAATTTCCCGAGGGCTCCTGTACCCCCATCCTGAATAAGCTTCTTAAGGGCAGGGAAGGCAGGGGGGTCCCTCCTTCTTGCTGCTGCCCCAGAGCATTCCCAGACAAACTCTGAGGGCAGTACTTGCTGAGCACTCTTCTCCCCAACTGAGGCCAGTGTCTGAGGGGAGGCCCAGGCCAAGGCTGGGTGTGGCGGGCAAGGGAGGCTCACCAAGGCAGATAAAGGCTGTCTGGTAGGCACTGAAGCTCATCCAACAGAATATGGCTTGGCGGGAGGGATGGGGACTCCGATGCAAGGGACTCAAGTCCAGGGCAGCTCCTCGGTGCAGAGCTCGAAGGTTGGTCCTGGGGTGGGAGCCAGGGAGGCAGAGACCTCAGGGAGCAACACACTCTTCCTAAATCCTCCTCTGGGCCAGCAACTGGCCAAACTCCCAATAGAATTTCAACTCACAGCCATCAGCAGGGAAGCCCAGAACTGTGGGAGCCAGGAGGAGGCCACTAACCCAAGATATCTGGAAGAGGTGATATCTGGGTAGTCTTAAACAGTGAACGAGGAATACAAAACGAGGCAGAAGGCTCAACCTGAGCCAAGTCAGAAAAGTGAGAAACAACAGTGAGAATGGAAGTGACACACAGCACAGCCAACAGGTAAAGAGGCAAGGCAAGCACAGGCTGAGGAGCCTTGAATGCCAGAAGAAGGAGGGGTGACCTGTGGAAAAAGATCCCTGGGAAGAGCTCTGAGACCTGGCAAGTGCGCAGGAGACATGGGCCAGTTCTCTGACATGGGTAAGTGCTCGGGCTGCCCCTTCCACCTGCCCTGGGCCTTCAGTGCTCCTCACCACTCACCGCTGCAGGGCAAGCAAGGTGGCATGGCGAGACCCGTACCACCTCTCCAGTGTGCTATGCCACCAGGCTACCCCTCACCTACACTCTCACATGGCAGGGCCACCCCAGCCTCTGTTCTCGTCCACACAGTCCTCACCTCCTATCTCCTTCCATTCCCGGGCAGGTGCAGCTTCCCCAGGCCACCTTCCCTCTCATCCAGCCCACCCGGTGGCCCCTACTCAGGGGGCAAGCTCCACTAGCTGCCCTGAGTTGGTGGTGCCCTATGTCCCTCACACTCACAGACGTTTCCCCAACCAGACAGGAAGGCCCAAGGGCAGGACCCAGCCCCACCTTCTCCCACTGCAGCGCAGCCACGCACAGGTGGGCTCCATGACAGCCCGGGCCGGCAGAGCCCTTCCCTCCCTCCAGGCCCAGGGCCTCCCCGCAGGCCCACAGGACTCCCACTCCTTCCCCACCTCGGCGCTGGGTGAGCCAGAGTCTGTCACTCACCTGTGTGTCACCAGTGAGCGCATCAGGACCAGGAAGGTGAGTAAGCAGGACAAGACCAAGGCTGAGATGTAGCACACTGGTGGGCAGAGAATGAGCAAAGTGAGAGGTCAGGGTCTGGAGAGTCTCCTGGAGGCCTCAGAACCCCTGCCAGGGTGGTGCCTTGTGGGGAGTTCCCCCTGCCCCAAACTGAACTCTGTGTGGAAGCCTCTTGGCCCCACCCCCAGGTCTCAGATGCAGTGTAAGCCAATGACTTCGGCCACCCCATTCTTCCCAGTGACATACAGTGGTCAAGAGATGAAACCAGCTCTGAGTCTGCAGACCTAGTCCTCACCCTGCTGTTGCTGCTTCTATTGCTGTGGGACCTCCATCCAACCTGGCATCTGCCTCCAGCTTCACTGCTTCTTGGCCATGTGGCCTTCAGGAGGGCACTCCTTCTCCCCAGGCCCCCATTTGCTCGTGAACATACCGCACGCCGTTATGCTGCCCAGCTCTCAGGATAATGTGAGCCATAAGGCCCCATCCACGTCTGCACTAATGGTCTTCGTTCAGGGCATAGAGGGTGTGAGTCCACATCGGTGTGGACTGAGTCCATCAGAATAGGGAGGCAGCCGCTGTCACCCAGCTCCCTCACCCTCTCCCTGGCCATGCACACAATGAGTGTGTGCATGATGGTGTGTCATGAACAAGCCTGGGTGTTTAAGAATTTCAGGGGTGCAGGCTGCAACTCTCCCACCTTACGTCCACATCCAGTCTTGCTCTGGACTGTAACAGCAACCCCGCAAGGTTAGACAGAAGAACTGTTCCCACTGGGCTGAAGAGGAAGCTGAGGCTCAGAGAGAGGGCTTCGCCCAGACAGCCATGCTGCTAGGAATGATAGAGTGAGGTGTGTAACCATTTCTAAGCAGATCCAGAATGAGCCTGAGATGCCTGCACCCTGATCTCATCAGTCAGTCCAGGGAAGTGTTCCTGGTGCCCGTGTCACCACCAGAATCTCAAGGACGGGGAGAGCAAACACAGAAAAGGTGAGTGCTAGTTCCACATAGCCACAGGGATTAGAGTGGTGGATCTCAGCACCGATAGCGCCTTTAGGATCACCTGGAGCTGCTAAAACTCGCCCATAGCCCAGCCTGCACCCAAACCAGTTAAATCAGAATTTCTGTGGGTGGGACCCAGCCTTAGCCTGTGAAAGCAACACTGGTGATTCAGTGTGCAGTCAGGACTGACAGCCACTGCTCTGGGGGCTTTCCAAAGGCAGAGCCTTCATGATTTATTTCCATCAGAAATGAATTGAAATCAACCAACCAACCAATATTTATTGGGTGCCTACTACAGTGGTGATCAAACTTTGCTTGCATGAGAATCACTGGGACTGTGATCCCAACACTTTGGAAGGCTGAGGCGGTGGATCACCTGGGGTCAGAAGTTCGAGACCAGCCTGACCAATATGGTGAAACTCCGTCTCTACTAAAAATACAAAAATTAGCCAGGCCTGGTGGCGGGCCCCTGTAATCCCAGCTACTCGGGAGGCTGAGATGGGAGAATCACTTGAACCTGAGAGACGGAGGTTGCAGTGAGCCGAGATTGTGCCACGGCACTCCACCCTGGGAGACAGAATGAGACTCCGTCTCAAAACAAAACAAAATTAGCCGGGCCTGGTGGTATGTGCCTGTAATCCCAGCTACTCGGGAGGCTGAAATGGGAGAATTGCTTGAACCCAGGAGGTGGAGGTTGCAGTGAGCCGAGATTGCACCACTGCACTCCAGCCTGGGCGACAGAGCACAACTCCATCTCAAAAGAAAAAAAAAATCACTGGGAGGGCTGTTCACTCAAAGAGGCTGGGCCCCACTCTGAGAGTTTCTGATTCAGTAGGTCTGGCACAGGGCTTGAGCAACGGGAATGTTAAAGCCACCAGGTGCTTCCCAGATTCAGCCAGGGCTAAAAATGATGCTACAGAAACCTAGGCCCTTCTGCTGGTCCCTAGCTCCCTCCTCCAGGGCCCTCGCAGGGACACTTTTCTCAGAAGCAAGGTTGGGAGAAAGCACTGTGCATGCATAGCTCCAGCCTCTGTGGTCCCCCTTCTGGAGCCAGCTGGGCTGCAGCGAGGGCACATTCTGGACCATTTGCTGCCAGGAGGTGAACAGCCCGCCTGCTGAGCCTGGCCTGGTGAGTGTACAGGCTAACACAGGGTTGAAGGGTTAGCAGCCCCCTTGGCCACAGGCCTGGCCTTTGATCTCCATCCATCTACCTCCTACCTCTCTCTCCCTCCACTGGTTCCCAACTTGGGCACCCCCAAACCCCAGCACTCACACAATCTTCCTGCTCTTTGCCACCTCTGGGATCCTGTGCCTGCCTTCTTCTGGGCCCTGCTTTGGGGGATAGATCTGTCTTCCCTCATGTGATTGAGGGCCTCAAGGGCAAGTGTTCCTTTTTCACTCCAGCACTCATTTTGCAGTTGGGGAAATTGAGGTCAGGAGAGGTAATGCACTTTGCCCAAGGTCACTCAGCTTGTAAGTGATGGAACAGAGATTCTAATCTAGTTTGCCTGACTCAGTCTGAGCTCTCTGTGAGTGATGCCAGGCTTATGGTCCAAGTGCTGGGTGGCAGTCCTAACAGAAGCTCTGAGCTCAGAAGACATTAGCTCCTTAGGCGAAGGACAGACCAAGGGACACTGGAGCCCAGGTTGCGGGATGGCTTTGGCCGTATCTGTAATCCTCCTGGGCCTCAGTATTCCTCATCTGCAAATTTAAAGAGTAACTGTTGCTCTGTTTGGCCCAAGAAGATTCAAAGTGGGAGCCTTTGAGCTTGGAAACTGCAACATGCAATTAAAAATATAAGACATGATGAGTGGAAGCAGAGTCCTTTGCCCTGGATGTGTCTCATTTTGTCTTTGAGCCTCAATGTCCTGCCCTGTGAGCTGGGATCAATGATGCTGACCTACAGGGTCACTGTGAGCAAGGGTCTGAGGTTGGTTGTGGGCTGACCTGGACCATGTCTGCACCTGCCTATGAACCAGATTGCAACCAGCTCAGAAAATCTCCTGGGAGAGGACATTTTCAGCTCACCCGGAACTTGTCACCTGTCCAGTTTGTTGCCCTCAGCAGCAGTTCCAGGGCAGCCTCTAGTACGGGAACTGAGGTGCTCACGGAGATGGTGGAGGTGGTCAGGGAAGGAAGTGGTCACTCCGTGCACCTCTGCCCACCCCCCACTCCCTGCCCCGCCATGACCAGCATGCCCAGGTCTGTAGGATAAGGATGATGTTAATGGTCAGGTACAGCTGCGGAGCAGCTACACCTCCACCTGCAACGCTGGCAGCCCACGCTCTGACCACATGTTACTCCTCAGAAGCCGGGGGCCCATCCGTCCCAGCCTGGGGTCCCCAAGTAAGCAGAAGGCGCATGCCTCCTGAGTCCTCAGCACCGGGCTTTGTCCCAAGGTGATGGAGAAGGCCCCCGCCTAGGCTTCAGGAGCCCTGCGTTCTCTTGGCTGCACTCTGCCCTGCTGGATGGCCTCAGGCAAATCCTTCCCCATGTGTCAAGTGGGGACACTTCTCAGTCCCCTCCACAGCGCTGTTGGGAGCGCCCAGGAGGCAGAGTAAGTAGGTGGCTGCAGGAGGCATCAGACCACAGAAGGGGAAGCCAAGATGGTTCCCTGGTTCAGGAGCTCATTGTCAGAGGAGGGAAGGAGAAAGGAGACGGCCCCAAAAGACAGGGAGTGGGGAAGAGAAAGCCTGTGCCCTGCCCAACGCCAGACCCCTGCCACGAGGATTCGCTCAGAAATCCTCACCATCTCCCTTCGCCGTCTCTTCCCTCCTTCCCCACCCTCAGCTCCCCCATCCCATGGCCTTCCTCATCTCCATGCCTGGATAGTTGGTCAGAGACACTGGGGGTGGTGGGGGAAGATGCCACAGAAGCAGGCAAGGGACAGGAGCTGCTGAGATGTCCCTTCAGGTTTCATGGAAGCTCAGAACTGGAAGCGCCAACTGCCACAATTTGGAGATGAGGCAATCGAGACCCAGAGAGAGGAAGGAATGTGTCCAAGGGCCCCCAGTGTGTCCATGGCTGACTAGGGCATAGACCTTGGGTCTCCCCGCTTTCATTCCCCACTGCAGCCCTCAGGGGCTCCCTGGAGGCCTCACCTTCCAGAGCCCACAGATGGTGCTTCACCAGCTCCACCACCTCCTGCTTGTCCTCGGAGAGCACGATTCCAAAGCCGGCCAGCAGGTAGGAGACATCCGTGGTGACCCCTGCCCTCACCTTCTGGATAGTGGGTACCACGCCCACCAGCAGCAGCAGGGCCACCTGGAAGAGCCCCACAGTGAGGGCCCCATCCCAGGAAAGGGTTTTCTGTGCTAACAGGGGAGACGCTGGGGAAGAAACTGGCAGCACACAGGCCCCAGCCACATGCCCATTGCCCATCAGTGTTCTTATCTGCCCCTTAGAGCAGGGATCTCACGCCTCTAAATGAGGACATTACAGACAGGTGCAATCACAGCCTAATAGGCCAAAGGCATGCCTTCGAGCACCGTAACTTCATATAGTCAGCCCTGCGTATCTGTGGGTTCCACATCCACAACCAACCAATTCAATCAAGCGCAGATCAAAAATATTTGGGGAAAAACCCTCAATAAAAAATAACAATTCAATACAAATAATACAAATAAAAAATAATACAGTAGGACAACTTCTTCTTTTTTTTTTTTTTTTGAGATGGAGTCTTGCTCTGTGGCCAGGCTGGAGTGCAGTGGCGCGATCTCGGCTCACTGCAACCTCCACCTCCCAGGTTCAAGCAATTCTCCTGCCTCAGCCTCCTGAGTAGCTGGGACTACAGGCCCGCGCCACCACCGCCAGCTAATTTTTATATTTTTAGTAGAGACAGGGTTTCACTACATTGGCTGGGATGGTCTCAATCTCTTGACATTGTGATCCGCCCGCCTCAGCCTCCCAAAGTGCTGGGATTACAGGTGTGAGCCACCACACCCAGACATAGGACAACTGTTTACATAGCACTTATGTTCGATATTATAAGTACTTTAGAGATAACGAGGTATACTGGAGAATGTGTGTAGGCTATATGCAAATACTACACCATCGTATATCAGAAATTTGAGCCTTTGGATTTTGGTATGGAGGGGTGTTCCTGGAACCAACCCACCTCAGATACTGAGGGATGACTGTGTCTGCACCTCTATCTATTTACCCATCATCTATCTATCTAAACTTTGGAATGTAAAATTTCTGGTTTTTCTATGTTGTGAAAGTAAATGAGCACAGGAATTAAAGCTGGACAGACTTGGATTCAAACTTAGGCTACGCTGAGATATTAGCTGTGCAGAAACTTGGCCAAGTCAAATTCACCTCTCCAAGCTTCCATTCTCCCCATCTGTAAAGTGGAGAATAATCATACCCATCTCCCAGGATTTTAATTGTTGTTGTTGGTTTTTTCGGGGTTTTTTTTTTTTCGGAGGTGGTGAGGCAGAGTTTATCAAACATGTTGTCTTGCTAAATCTTCCCAATTACTCAAAGAGGAAAATTATTCTATTTTCTCCTTTTTACAGATGAGCTAACAGGTTCAGAGAGGTTATATAACTTGCCCAAGGCCACACAGGAGGTAAATAGTGGAGCTAGGATTTAAATTCGTGTTTATGTGGCCTCCAAAATTAATGCTCCGAGTCACTTCATGAGTCCAAGAGTGAACACCCCGGCCCTTCTGGGTAGGCCAGAACTCCCAAGATGGCCTGCAGCACCTGGTCAGGGTTCTGGATGGAGCACCTGGAGAGCTGGGTTGGGCCGGAACTGCTCCAGGCTTGGGGGTTGAGGGCAGGGCTCCAGAGGCAGATGGCAGTACAGGGTGAGGGACATACCTGGTAAATGGCCGTCCCTGTCAGTGTAGCTGAAAGCACCAGCTTCAGCGGGAGATGGAATCCTGTAGTCCTCAAAGGAAGGAGTATGGTGAACAGCACCACTCAGGCCCGGGAGCCCTCCTCCCTCCCAAGGGGCCCAGGAAAAGGGCCAGCAGGACCCTAAATGACCAAGGCCAGGCCAGGGTCTTCCCGCTGTCCCAAGCTGGTAGTTGTCCCTCTTGATGACAAGGATTCTGGGGAGCAGGAGCCAGTCCTCCACTGCAGCCATTCTGTGCAAGGGAGGGTAACGTCCCCTGTCACGCTCGGCCTCAGCTCCCAACCCCATACCTGGCTGTGGAGTGTAGATGCAGTGTCTCAAGCAGACGCGGGCCCAGGACAGGAAGCCATGCTTGGAGGTGTGGTAGCTGCAGAAAGACCCAGGCAGGTGCGGGGTCCTCAGGGGAAGCCCATTCCCTGAGGGCCAGCCCCAGAGGCTGGTCATTCTTCCCCTCTGCCCCTGCCATGCTGCCCAGTGCCAGCTTCCCAAGCACGGCTGCTAACCAGCCCAATCCATTGGCCCACAAAGGGTGTGTCAGAGACCCCACCTGCTTCCCAGCTTCTTCCTGCAAAGGAGGTTCCTCAGATATTCCTCAGAGTAGCTGCTCTGCAGCCCCTGTGGAGACAGACAATTGAACAAGCAGATGAGATCTGCCTCGACCCATTCGTGGGTCCCTGGCTCAGGGAACTAGAGTGTTCACCAAGCAGGTGCTCCATAAAAACCTGTTGGCCATGGCGGTGGTGGTGAGTGTGGATGGGGCTGACCTGTGGGGATGAGGTCCGTGCCCTCCAAAGCTTCCCTTTTCTCTCTCACAAATACAAGGCCAGTCTCCTATCAAAGAACCATCAATGCCAGGAAGTTCTTCCTAAGATCTGTCTCCAACTCTCGCCTGCTTTACTCAGTCACATCTCTTCACCGTTTCTTCCCACCCCTAGCCCTCTGGCCTCTGCTAGCTGAAACTGGGGCAAAGGGAAGCTTGTGTCCCACGGGCACATCCTAGACCAGGACACAGAAGAGGGTCATTCCAGGTCAGACACCCTCAGGCTTCTCCTGCTGCCACTGCGCAAGGGAGATCACAAGGGTGACCAGATTTGTCTAAGCCACATTCCAGGCCTTAAGCTGCCTGTGAAGTAGCAGAGGCCCATGGGAAGATGGGGTGAGCCCCTGCCTGGAATCACTGGGAGAACACAGGCTGTTGTCACTTGTTGCCATGACAACCCTGGGATCCCGGGCAGGAGTGGGTCAGCTCAAAGCTTGATGGGGGTCCTTTGAGACTTAAACCTCTTTGACCAAAGTCCAAAGAGGATTGTACACCTCTCAAGCCTGGGAGGAAAGGCTGGCAATGGAGAGAGAGATGGGGTGGTGGAAACCCTGGAAGAGAAGGTAAAGGGGCATGCCTCAGGCACTGTGTCGTCCCGGGGGGCCGCTCCCTTTTCAGAGCCAGCTGTAAACAGGAGGGGACACAGGCTTCCTCGAGGGGTGTTGGCCTCAATAGGCAGGAGCTACAAGCGCTCAGAACTCCCTGCCTGCCACGTGGGAGCCGAGTCTGGAGTCCGTGGGCCTTCTCGGACCAGAGTAGCCCAAAAGGGACCCGGGGTTCTCCATCCTGCCTAGGGATCTCACTCACTCTCTGGATTCAGTCTGACCTTGCCGAGTTAACACCCGGTCCCAGCCCCTCTGCTGAGCTCCAGACTTTGAGCAGTACACCCTCAGGACCAAGCATCATCCCAGGAGCACCTGCTCCTCCCTCCACCTTCCCTGGGCCAGCAGCTGGCACCACCACCTACCTGCTGGCTGGCCAGGTGCCTCCCATCAAGCCTTTCCTTCCCCTGCCCTGTCTGAAGAGAAGCCACGCCCTTTGGCCTCTATGTCTTAAGACTTTCTCCTGAGTCTGTTCTTCTTTCCCCTTTGAGGGTCTCTGCAGAGCTTTCTTCCTCCTCCTCTCTCACCAGAAAGAAGTAGTGGACCCCGCCCCCTGCACCACAGTCCCAACACCCGGTGCAGGTTTCACATTGCACTGCAGGTGTTTTGTGCCGCATCTGTCTCCCCCACCACACTGGGAGCTCCTGGAGATCAGACACAAGTCCATCAGCTCCAAGTCCACAGCACTGAGCCCGGGGCCTGACATATGGTAGGTGCTTAGAAGGCTTTTTAGTGAGATTGAAGTATCTTCTAAGAATTCTCTTTTACCATGATGCATTCATCCATCCATCCTTCCTTCCATACATCTTTCCTTCGATCCATCCATCCATTCATCCATCTATTCAAAAATTCAAAAATATTTGCTGAGTATCTATTAAGGGCCAAGACCCACCCAGTGCTGCAAATATAATGAACAAAACAGACACAAAACTATCTCTTCCCCTTTACTCATGCTCTTTCCCGTGCCTACAATGCCTGCTCCTTATTCTCTCATCACTCTAGATCTCCCTGTCCTTCAGGCCCTTGTAGAGTCTACCTCCTCTAGGAAGCCCTCTCAGCCCTCCCCTTTATCTGAAATTATTCAACCACATCCAACCTAGAGTTGACTCATAATGGAGTTCTGCCCTGGGTGCTTCCTGAATCATCTCATTATGTGCAGAACTCGGATTAGGCACAAGGCTCCAGGCTGTCTCTCCAGCCAGATCTCAGTGTTTCACAGACAGAGATATGACTCTCCTGGCTTCTGACTCAGTTCTGCTTTGTTAAGTCCCTACTATTCACACAGCCCAGTGCCGCGGGTATCCTGGGTGCCAGTCAAGGGCCCAGTCCAGCTTTTGCCTAGGGAGGGAGGACTAAGCAGTCACTCAGCAAACATTTTCTGAGCATCTATTCTGTGCTGGGCCCTACATCAAGCACGGCCATGTATCTGGGACCACAGATACGGGGGAGTAGGGCTGTCTTGGGTGCTGAGGAAGAGCTCATCCCAGGCCTGCCCCTTTACCTTGGAGCCTGCTCCTGTCCTACGGCTGAAGCTTCTCACCAGCTGCACAGGGTACCAAAGGCTCAGGAATCCGAGGCCCAGCAGGAGAGGCAGGGAGGCCAGCAGGGAGTAGTACTTGTAGATCTGGACAGACAAACACCCAGACAGACTACTTTCCACCTTCTTCCCCCAGCCAAGAACCAGAATCCGTTGCCCTTCCCACCTCACACTGGGCCCTGAGGGTGGTCTGGGGGGCCATGGGAAGGCTTCAGCTCTATGGTTCCCAACCTGCCACCCAGCGCAAACCTGCCCACTTCCCCTTCTCGAGCCCTGCAGAGATGCTCACCCCTCCCCCAGGCTCCTGGATCCCCACGGGCCTGAGAGGAGCCAAGAGGAGGAGATCACTTGATTCCCTCCTGCCCCCCACTGGAAAGGACACCTCTTTCTGTTTCTGTGTTCCCGGAGCATTAGGAACAGTTCTGAAAATCACACGAAAGCCTGCCTTTGCCTACATATAGTTTTCAACCTGAGCATCAGGAAAGTCTATGCCCTACTCCTCAGGGCTGAGGCCTTCCTGGGGGTGGGCTTTTTGTATACTCATTCATTTATTTGTTGGTTCAATATACTTTTATTGAGAGCTTAGTATGTGCCAGGTTCTAGGTGGTGAAAAAAAGCCACCAAGTTCCCCCTCTCAAAGCAACCTCTTAGTCTTCACCTCCACCCTGAGGGACTGGTGTTATCAGCTCCATGGACGGATGGAGAAACGGTCTCAGAAAGGTGGCACTGTTTCCCCAAGGCACTTGGTACCACCTGGCATCATTTTGTTTGCGTGTCATGTCTGCCCTTCTGAAGTGACGGCTCTTGGGAGGCTAGGGACTGTTTGTCTTGTTCATAGCTGTAGTCCAGTGCCTGGAAATGTCCCTGGTACAAAGTATGTGCTTCAAATATGTTGTTGAATGAATGGGTGAGTGAATGAATGAAGTGGTGAAGCTGGATTCACACTCAGGTTGTCTGGCTCTAAAGCCTGTACCATCACTCTTTGAGTTCTAGACTGGACAGCTTCACAGCCCCAGCCAGCAGCCAGTGAGCAAGGTCCTGAGGTTCCGGAATTCTCCTCTCAGCCCTCTTAGACCATCCCTGACTTCGCACTTGCCGGCCTCCATCAAGCTTCACTCCCATTCCCTCTCCAGCCTGACCAAAGGGAAGCTGGGGGATCACTAACACAGGCATTGGGGGTGGGGGCCATTTCAGGCTTTCTCTTCCCCCTACTCTGCCCACTTCCCCTTCTCCGCCACCTCCTAGACTTAAAGTTCCTGAGGGCTGGGCCCAGCCACCTTGTTCCCTGCCTCTCCTGCAGAGCAGCCAAGCTTGGAAGGGGCACATGTTTGAAGGCATGGAATCCCATGCACAATGGAAGGCTGCAGGGCGGCCCATCATAGAATCAGAGCTCAAAGGAGGCACTGTGGTTTGAGTAGGTTGCTCTGTGCGCCCCTCTGCCCTAGGCCATTGTGATCAGCGGTTACCTTGGGCACCTGGGGACACTCTGCCCTCTGCCAGACCTGGACCCCAAGGTGGGCCCAGGACAGCGTGCTGCCGAGCAGGTGTGCAGCTGTGTGGCCAGCCGTGGCACAGGCAGCCAGAGGGTAGTAGAGGGCAGCATAATAGAACAGTCCCAGTATCTTCCAGGCCCCTGGAAGGTGAAACAAGCAGAGAGACCCATGCTGGAGGGGCAGACATGGGGCCTGCAGTGAGCCCACCCAGGCCTCTCTTCGGTCTCCAGCTTCCAAGCCCTTCAGCACGTTCAGTGGGCAAGAACACTAGGTTCAAATCCAGGCTCTGACTAGTCTCAACTCTGTGATCTTGGGCAAGTTACCTCTTGGAGCCTCAGTTTTCCCATCTGTAAAATGAAAATAATCACAGTATATTAGCAAGGGCAAAATGAGAAGGTGGATATATAATGCTTAGCATGGTGCCTGAGCAAATACTCAATTTAAGATACTACTTCCCTGGCTCTCAGTTCCTCCATTGCAAAATGGGGCTAATATGCATACTTTGTAGCATCGTTGTAAAGACTGGATGGTCTAAAAAGGTCACGTCTCAGGATAGCAGCCCATCTCATTGACAGCTGTTCCTGTTACTCTCATCTCCTTGAGCCAAGCTTAAAACTCCGAGACCCCACCCTACCCCATCCCATCACACCAACCCCAGGGCCTGGGGGTCAGTGGGTACCTTGGCTGGGTGCTGAGGCGAGAGTCAGGAAGGGCAATGCGTCCTCGTCGGGGAGCAGCAAACACAGGGAGCTCAGGAGGACCATGAAAACAGCAGCAGGCACTGCCCGGGGCCTGTCCCCAGCCAAGAAATCCACAGGGCTAGCACAGAGGCAAGGACAGGGCAGGAGGGAGTTGCTCAGCCCCTGCACCCCCATTACCTCCCAGCTGTATTCCATAAATCAAGGAGGTGGAGTCAGTCCCACTTTCTAGATGGGGGAATAAGGCCCCTTCATTCATTCATTCCATAGATATTTGTGGAGTGCCTCTTATCTACCAAGCTCTGGGCCCCGTGCCAAAGGGACTTGGGACACACATACAGTGGGAAGAAGCCCTAAGACTGCTCCTCCGCCCACCCTGGAAGCTCCAGGAAGCAGCCACCTCCACACTAATTGGTCTGTCTGAGCTGGCAAACCTTCAGAGAACTCAGCGAGTCACAACATCCTTGTACAACAGCCGCCGCCCTGGGCTGGGTGTGGACCCGGGGCAGAGGGCAGACAGCGGGCATAGCTGTCCCAGGCATCACCCTTCTGGGCTCAGGGCAAGCCACTCAGACCCACAGCTTCTGCACTGCAGCTTGCATTCATGCTCTGAGAGGTTCATTCTCCCTCAAACACTGCCCCAGCCAGGGCAAGCTCTTTCTGGGGCCAACCAGAGACCCCAGGCTGGTTCCCCACAAAACCAGCACAGCAAGACCTGCCTCGGTGCACAGTCTGGGTCTGGGATGTGAAGCTGTCTACACCAAGGAGCCACCCATCACCTGCCCCAACCCTTTGGTCTCTCGCACACTAGCTTGCCCAGCCCCATCTCCTCAGGATCATGCCTGTCCAGGCTCTGGAGTCACAGGGCTGAAGGAGATAGGAGAAGAAAGCTCCAGCTATAGGGGCTAGATGTCAGTCCCCATAAATCTGCCTTCAAGCATTAGGGTCCAGGTGATACCCTCAGGGAAGATGACGGTCAAGATGGCATTGGGATGGTCACGTCAATCCACACATGGAGGGCTGCCTGAGAAGGTACACTCTGACGCTGGGTCCTGTCAGGCTTGTTTCCCTAGGGTCTGGGTTGGAGTCCTTTCTCCCAGGCGGGCTTGAGCGAGTCCCTCCCCCTTCCTCTGGGGGTCCTGACTAAACCTGGAGACCTAGGTGGGGGTGAGGAAAGCTCCAGGCTGAGGGCGATAGGGATGTCATTAAAGCCAGAGCTGCCTTTTAGGTACCTAACAAATCACCCACCCTCCCAGAGGGACCCTGTCAGCTGGGTCCCCTGAGTGGGGGTGCCCAGGCCATGGTACAAACCTGGGCAGGCCGGGCCTGCCACGCACACAGTCAGGCCAGAGCTGGCGGCGCCTCACCAGCATGGCCAGGAGCAGCAGCACAAGGATCTGAAAGGAGAGTGCAGAGGAGGGCTTGGGGTGCCCAGGCCTCCCCTGAGGGTCTGAGTTTGAGGGCTTGGACTCAGGCCCCAGGATATCCCCTACCTGCCCAGTGCACACTCATGTGACATCTTGGGGACTGGTCAAGGGGTGACAGACATCTGGAAGGTTGGACTTGCATCCTGGTTTGGGCCTCCAAGCTGGGAGAACTCCCAGATAGCTCCCCCCACCCAGGATCTTCCAGGGCCCCCCTTCACCAGCCCCAGTGGGGAACACAGGTCCCACTGCCCAGGCTGGCAGCAGCTTGCAAGCCAGGTTCAACTTGGGTTGGACTCACTGACAGCGAGGCCAGGCAGGCGTGGTACAGGCCGGGTGGTATGCTGGTGTGGCAGGAGGGCACTTCCCTGCAGAGCAAATGAAGGCTGGCTCAGGCCTGCGTCAGGCCCCCCTGGGTGTGCAGATGGGTCTGGGGTTCAAGACTGTTCACACTGAGGCTTTACCCACTACCTCCCTCAACCCTCTGATCCCTCCTACACAAGCCTTCCCAGTCCCACCTTCTCAGGGTCATTCTGGGGCCCTCGTGTCCCTGTGATGTGCCAGCCCCATGCCAAGCTCTGGGGTTATAAGACTAAAGGACATGGGAAGCTCCCAGGGGAAGCAGAGTAGACCGGCTCGGCCTGATCACTTATTCTCTTTTTTTTTTTTCTGGAGGGACAGGGTCTTGCTCTGTCACCCAGGCTGGAGTGCAGTGGCTCGATCTCGGCTTACTGCAGCCTCAGCCTCCTGGGCTCAAAAGATCCTCCCACCTCAGCCTCATGAGTAGCTGGGACCACAGGTGTGCACCACCATGCCTGGCATTTTTTTTTCTGTATTTTTAGTAGAGACAGGGCCTCACCATGTCGCCCAGGCTGGTCTTGGATTTCTGAGCTCAAGCAATCCTCATGCCTCAGCCTCCCAAAGTGCTGGGATTACAGGTGTGAGCCACTGTGCCCGGCTGAGCACTTATTCTTGCTCACCCAGATGCTTCCTGTCCTTCAAGGCCTCCCCTCTCCAGGGAGCCCCTCTGACTGCTCCTGGTCTCACAGACGTCTTCTCAGAACTGCAGTTGAGCACACTACCTGGGTCAAGCAGTCAAGGGTTTGGCCCTGTGATTCGCCCTCTACTCACTGCCATCTGAGGTTGGTCTGTGACTAAAATGATCTCCCCTGGTCCCTCTCTTTTCCTGCTTCCCTCTCATTGAGAGCCTCCATGGACAGCCATGCAGGTTGCCCACTGCACAAAGATGCTCAGCCAAGGGAACGAGCAGGCCACCCTGCTCACCAAACCCAGCACCTGCTGAGCTGAATGCACCTAACTGGGGATCCCTTTCTCTAATTCCACAGAGGCTCCCTATGGCCTGGCAATGGTCCTGCACTCACCCTGGCTGAGCGCAGAGGTAAACCCACAGTGGAGATAGGGGTCACTGAGGACAATGAAACCCTCCGCTTCCCCAGCAGAATCATGTGGTGGAGAAAGGGAGTGAGGCAGGAGTCCTGAGCTCAGGGCTGGCCCTGGCCCTGGGAGAGTAGGCAGGACTGGGTCCCTGGTGAGCAGTAGAGCTCCGGGTTTTCCCAGCTTGGGCCTGGGAGAGCCAGAGGGAGGGTGGCAGCATGGGTGAGGCCAGTGGGGTCTGGTGGGCGAGGGCCTGAGATGGAGCCTGGGCTGCCGCCAGTCCCTGCCTGCACAGAGGGCTTAGCCGCCCACCAAAACGCCCTCCACTGTATGAAGAGAGGCATCAAGGCTGCATTATCCAGGGGAGTGCAGAGCCCTGGGATGCTCTGCTGGGTCAGCTCGGTCTGTCCTGCTCGCTTTCTCTCAGGAAATCCCAGCGGGTGAGCGGTGGGAAAGAAACCAGTCACTTGGTGGAGAGGCAGAGTAAGTCAGCTCTGGGCAGCTTCTTGGCCAGGAGACCAGCCTCTTCCCAAAGTAGAACTGGGATCGTGAGTAGCAGCCACACTGACTCCAGTGTCAGCTCCCCACCTCCAGCTCCAAGGCCTCTCACTCTGGTGCGTAGGGCAGCCCTCCCTCTCAGCCGGCATCTCCCCGCATGACTAGGTCCCGCTCCACCTTTACACCTGGGCCCGGCAGGGACTTGGAAAACTGTCCCTGGAGTAGTTTGACCATTTTCCTATGGACCTTACCCCAAACCACCCCTACCCCCAGAAATGCCCTCCAGGGCCCTGCCTGGGGGAGCCTCTGGCCCTTTCTGTATCACCTGAGGTCCCCATCTGACCTCTCAGCTCAGTGTGAGGGGTCAGATGGGGATCTCAGGTGGCATAGAAATGAGCAAATATTTGGCTAGTGGCTTGTGGCCCCACTTTTTGTGCCATGGGACAGGCAGGATGGCACAGACATAAAGACCTTGGAGAGGGTGGTGAGCTTGATCCTGGGACAGGCACAGCAGGTGCTGAAGGATGCAGAGGAGGGAGAACTTTGGGCAAAAGGAGGTGGTATCTGATTGGAGTTTAAAAAATGGTTAGTGGCTGGGAGCAGTGGCTCACGCCTATAATCCCAGCACTTTGGGAGACTGAGGCAGGCAGATCAACCAAGGTCAAGAGTTTGAGACCAGCCTGGCCAACATGATGAAACCCTGTCTCCACTAAAAATACAAAAAAAATTAGCTGGGCGTGGTGGCACGCACCTGTAATCCCAGCTACTCGGGAGGCTGAGGCAGGAGAATCACTTGAACTGGGGAAGCGGAGGTTGCAGTGAGCCAAGATCGCACCACTGCACTCCAACCCGGGCAACAAGAGCGAGACTCCATCTCAAAAAATAAATAAATAAAAGTTGGTTAGCATCTCTTTAGGCAAAGAAGGGGAGAGGCAGCTCCAGGTGGAGGGAAGTGCATGAGGAAGCAGAGAGGCAGGCGACAGGCAGCGTGGCTGGGGCTGGGCAGGCCTTCCAGTTTGATTGCAGCCCAGAGGTCAGGTGAGATGAGGTTACAGCAAGCATGGGAGGCCCCAGGAAGCCACTGAGGGTGTTTGAGCCATTGAATGTTCTGGATTTTAGGACATTTCTGTGGCTGACTCCACTGCCATCAGTGTTCATCCACCCCAACTCCAGCCTGAGAGTGCTGGGGCACTGGGCACTCCGGAGTTCTTCAAAGCTCTGATGCAACATGTCCCCAGGGTGTCTGACTCACACAGACAGAGGTGAACCCAAGTTCATTTCCTTGGGATTCCCCTGAGCTCCCAATTTTCTGCTCCCACTTTGAGGGCAGGGGGATGGCAGGCAGCTCAATTGGTTTGGCTAAGTAAGTAGATTCAAACAAATCTCTTTATTCTTATGGATGTCATGCCCTGCAGTGGGAGAAAGAAGCTGAATCTTCTAGATGTCACCCACATGAGGGACTGGACTCCCCATCACCCAGTGCCTGACATACACACAACTTTATTCTGAGACAACAGCTATAGACCACAGCTACATTTACAGGCACCTGGCCCCCAGCCAGTGCCCAGGCCCTGAGGCTCCCAAGGACACAGCTTCAGATTAGAGCCTTCACCTAGGTCAGAAACCATCCTCATGGGTTCCTGGGCCTGTCCTCATTCTGGTCTCTCGCAGGCCACACATACACAGCAGGATATGTGGAGCCCACAGGCTCTCGGTCAGTCAGGCAAGATGAGTGGGGAGCACGCCCTTGCTGACTGCAGGCTATTTTCCAGGTGGTCAGAACCCTGAGTCCTCCAAACAACAGCTCCTTCCCCGAGGCCTGGGTGGAGCCTCTGTCCCTGCTGGATGACCCAAGCCCAGCCAGGCCGCAGCCCCAGCCCCTGGGGAGGCACGCAAGGATTTTTCCTTCTCAAGTTTCAGGTTTTGATGGAGAACAGATGTGCACACATCTGGCTCGGCAACCCCCAGCCTCACCTTTCTACTTCTCCAAACCGTCAGACAGAGCAGGGAGATAAGGGATGGGGCCAGGCCTGGGAACAACAGGGGAGAACTGGCTCTGGGTCCTACACAGGCAAGACATCCTGGCAGGAGGTGGGGGACACAGAAGGGGCCCAGCTCCTCCACCAGGGTGCCCAGACTAAACCCCGGTAGAATGGACCCAGGCAAAGCAGCTGTGGCTGGGTTCTCAGGCCACCCTGGGGCGGGCTGCCTTCCTGCTCCCACCCTCACCTGGGCTGGCCTGAGCACTTCTGCTAAAGGGAATAGGCTCTCCTCATCCTCTGAGACCATCCAAAGACAACAAGGGTGCTTGTTTCCTCAGTGACTTCTCACCAGGCTTTCTCCCTTTGGTTCTCTGCCTTCCCCGAATCCCCCAGCCTGCCCAGAGAACTTGACACTTGGAAACACCACACCCAAATGCTCACCACAGAGACCAATAACCCCTTGAAGGGAGGTCTGCTTGCCTCAACTGCTCTCAGCAGCTTCTCCATCCTGGCTATGGGCCAGAATCACCCAGGGAGCCATCCCTGCAGATCTGAATCATCTGTATTTTTAACACGTCACACATCATACCTAAGGTGACCAGCCTTAGGTGTCTTAACAGCAGGGTGAGGGATGTTGTTCTCATGTAACAGAGGCAGAGACTGAATGAACCCCAGAGAGGCTGTGACTTGCCCAAGGTCACACAGCAAATGAGTGGCAGAGCCAGACCTAGCAGCCCCTGCCCAGGAGCTGCTCCCTGGCCAGTTGCAACCTCTGCCATCACCCCATTCTGATGGCTGACAGAGTGAGGTGGGGTGGTTCCACACTTACCCCTCTGGCTGGAGCTCCTCGCCCCCCTGGGGCTCATCGATGTACCAGCTGCCATAGGAGTAGTCCTCTGTGGCCCCGGGGGAGGTCTGGTTCCCTGCTGGCTGGGACGACATTCTCTGGCCCTTCTCCTTTGACCCCAGGCGAGAGAAAAAAAAAGCCACTACAGATGTGAAAAGAGGCTTAAAAGAGAAAAAAAAAGAAAGAAAGACGGAAAACCCAAACAAAGAAACATTTCTCTTTAATCCTGAAGGTTACTTTCTTACTTTTAGCTCTCTGGGAAAAGCCCGTCTGGGACTGAGGGCCTGAGCAAGCTGGCACGGGAAGAGGACAGGGCCTCTCGTGTCCCCTCCTCCCTTCCCGCCCATCGCACTGGTCCTGCAGAGATAGCTGTCCCCTTGGGGCCCCGGGGCTCCCGCTGGCGCATCTGTCTGACCAACCACCAGCAGGCGTGTGTTCAAAGGACCATTTTCAAAGAAGGCTTGTCCAGTCTGAGCTGCCTAAAGAGACGCCCCTTCCTTCCCCTTTCCCAAGCCCACCTAGACAGACCCACAGACACACCAGAAGGGAGGCCCAGGGAGGAAGGAGTTGCAGAGATGAAAGGGTAGGCAGCCCACGGCCAGCTCCGCACTGCCTGCCTGGGCCCTCCCAGCTGGGCTCCCTTGAGCCCCTCCCCCAGCCTCAGCCTGCCCCTTTCTGGCCCCTTTGGGCCTCGGTGATGGAAATACACCATAATCCTTGACAAAGCCCCCCTCCTGGGGGAGGAGGCCCCAGCACCATTGGCGGCCTGAGCCCTGCAAGGGTGTGGCCAGGAGCCACCCCCACCCCCGCACCTGACTTCACACACATACCTGCCTTCAGCGCCTGCCCCAGAGCTCCCAAGCCCCTGCCCGCCACATCTGCAGTGCCGCACACAGACAGGAGACCAGCATTACAGCAACAACCGAGTGAGACGGACCGCTGGGGCTGGGCTGGGGCGGAGGCAGGGAAGGGGAATCTGTCCGTTTCTTCTCCTAGGGTTTCCATGAAGGAGGCAACATGTGTCTCATTGGTAAACCCTTTTTGTTCCTACAAGTTGATTTCACAAGGAGATAACTCACCCCCACAAGGCGGAAATTAGCTCTTTAAACACAAACCAGACCCACGGGTAGGCAAGAGGAGCCCCGCCTGCCTCCTGCTCCTCCTGGAGTGAGGTTGAGGGTGAGCAAGGGAAGGTCTGGGCCAGGGAGGAGGGCTCCTCCGCATTCTCCCTCCCCAGGAGCAGGACCCTGCCCCAGCCTGGAGGAAGGGGCGAGAGGCAGAAGAAGGTAGAAAGCAGTTCTCAGGCCACTGTCCCTGGTGGAGGTTTAGGCCCCTAAAACTGTGAGGGTCTCTGTCCTTCCAATACCCTACAAGGGGCTTCGGCTTGGACCCTGTCAGCTAAGGCAGTCATTCAACAGCTTTTTTAAGAAGACATTATTCATTTAGTCTTTTAACTTAAATTTATTGAACACACACTATGTGCCAGCACTGTTCTGAGCCCTGAGGCAGGAGAGATGACAGTTCAGCGGGGACACAGCCAGATAACTAAATCCCCTCCAAAGTCTGAGGGTTACAAAGGGAATCACAGGTTGAGCTGGTCTGTACCATGGGAAACCAAATTTAGTCCAAGAGCATTTGGGGATGGGGGGAGATTCCTGAAGAAAAGAACCTTTCCGTGGTGATCTGAAGGGCAGGGGAAAGTCCGCTGAGCAGAGGGTGGCAGGCTCAGGATGGGGATGGGGGTGGGGGAAAGTGTGTTCCCCACAGAGGAAACAGCACGGGTGAAGTCTCAGAGTAGACAGGGCTTGAAATCCTGGAGGCTCTCTTTCAAATTCCCAAGCCTGCAGGGCAGGATTAGGGGCTGAGCACCCTGCTAGCCTGAGTTCCTCCCCCTTCTTCCCAAATGGCCCTTCTTGCAGGAAGAGGGCTCTGTTGCTCTCCACCATCCCACAGAGATATCAGCATCTGCTGACTCAGAGCTGAACCCGAGCTTTATTTGATGTAATGAGGAGCCCACACTGGCCCTTCTGATCCCAGGGATGCGGGAAACTTGCCTTCCAGGCGCGAGTGTGAGCTCCCGGAGGGCGGGACTCTATCCCTCCCACCCCTCCTCCTGCCTTCCCCTGATGCTCAGCGCCTGGCCCTTGGGTAAGAGGGACTTCAGAAATTGAGCTTGGCAAAGCCATTGCTTGTTCTGGCGGCCAGTATTCATTTGTGGGCCTGTCCTATACAGGCGGCTGCTGTGCCCTGAGGTTCACCAGCTGGGCTTCCCAGAGTCCCCGTGCCCACACCAGAGGCCAGCAAGCCCTTCCCTGCTCAGGGGTCTCAGACTGTTACCTTAGGGAGCAGCCAACTCCCATCTGATTTTAAATCCACCTCCAACCATTGGAGTCCAGTTCCAGACAGGGAGCCCACTCCCTCTACAAGGCAGCAGTGTCAGGGGTTAGACATCCTTGCCTATCAGAAACCATGCCCTTTGGCCAGGTGTGGTGGCTTACACTTGTAATCCTAGCACTTTGGGAGGCCGAGGCAGGTGGATCACCTGAGGTCAGGAGTTAGAGACCCAGCCTGGCCAACAAGGCAAAATCCCATCTCTACTAAAAATACAAAAAATTAGCCGGACGTGGTGGCGCACACCTGTAATCCCAGCTACTAGGGAGGCTGAGGCAGGAGAATCGCTTGAACCCAGGGGGCAGAGGTTGCAGTGAGCCAAGATCGTGCCACTGCACTCCAGCCTGGACAAAAGAGGCAAACTCCATCTCAAAAAAAAAGAAAGAAAGAAAGAAAAGAAACCATCCTCTTCCTTGGAGGAAGCCTAACTCTGCCTTCCCCAGGCTGGTTTGGCAGCGAGCAAGATGAGTCAAGGCCTGCACCAAATGGAACCTGATGTATGGTAGGGCTTAGGGGAGACAACACCAGAGGGGAAGTGAAGTGGGGGAAGAGAAGAGAGACGGGAGTTGGCTGTTTGAGACAAGGTGGTCAGGGAAGGCCTCACTGAGAAGGTGGTGTGTTGCTGATACCAGAGGGGAGAGAGGGAGGTACCAGTTGGGCACTGTGTTCATCTGTTTCGCATTGCTGTGAAGGAAAACCTGACTCTGGGTAACTTAGAAGGAAAGGGGGTTTATGTGGCTCACAGTTCTGCAGGCTGTGCAGGAAGCAGCACGGCACCAGCATCAGCTTCTGGGGAGGGCCTCAGGAAACCCACAATCGTGATGGAAGGTGAAGGGGGGTCAGGCAGGACACTTGGCAAGAGAGGGAGCAGGAGAGATGCCAGGCACTTACAAATAGCCAGCTCTCACATGAACTGATAGAGCGAGAACTCACTCATTACCACAGGGAGGGCACCAAGCCATTCAGGAGGGATACCCCGCAATGACCCAAACACCACACACCAGGCCTCACTTCCAACACTGGGGTCACATTTCAACATGAGATTTGGAGGGCACACACATCCAAACCATATCGGGCACTGAAGAAAGGCAATCAGGTTGCCTGAAGGAGCCTCCATCTGCCCAGGGGCTGCAGCCAGGCTGGCAGAAAGGGACCCCAGCTGAGCCCAGGCACAGTCCCTTCCCCACCCCCCACGGAGAGCCCAGTGCCAACAATACCACCTCCCTCCTCATGGGAAGACACAGAGGCCACCAAGGGAGGCCCTAAGCAGAGGGGAGGAAATGGTGAGCTTCGTCCTTTTCCCCTGGTGGGGGCCTAGCAAGCAGAGCGCAGCCTTGTGCCTGGTACTTTGGCCAGGGCATAGCTGGAAGGTCCAGAGGTAAGGGCCAGGTTTCTGCATGGCAGTGGAGAACGCCTGGTTGGGGAGGCCACCTAGCCGGATTTGAACCCTGGGACTGGCTATGTGGCCTTGAGTGAGTCTTTTCCTCTCTGTGGGTCTCACTGTCCTCTCTCAAATCCGGCCTGGAGATTCTCCAGTTGTGAACTCTCCCCACAAGGCCCCCGTCCCTGCACACCAGTAACCAGTTGTAACAAGAAGGTCACAGAGAGTGGTTGTGACTTCCTAGGTGCCCCCATTGCCTCCCACCTGCCCCCTCCTGGCCCCCAGCTGCCCTGCCCAGTCTGGTGCGGGCAGGGTGGGCAGGCTGGGTTGAAGATCCATGGATAGCGGGTGGCCGCGTGGCTCAAGCTGCAAGGTGAGCCCACTTCTTGAGCCCAAGGTACCTCCTCAGCTTGGGGCTAGAATCGCTTGGAGCTCCCATCTGCAAAATGGGAGGCTCGGCTCTGAGCTGTTAAGAAAGATGCTACCTGGGAAGACGGCAGGAGGCAAGAAGTGTTAGGAAGAGAAGGATGGTAATGATGTGCCCCTGAAGAATTTCTCCAAAGGCCTGGGCAGCAGAGTCAAGGGCCTGCCCTCTGGAGCTGGCTTTAAAGGGGCACTGATACCCAGGAAGGCCCAGCCCTGCCCTCAGGAGAGCAAAAGTGCTCAAAAGACAGAACTGCCAAAGCCTGAGGAGCGGGGAGGGAAAGGAGGAGATGGCTTGGGCAGTCTTGCAGGCTCCCTGGAGGAGGGGGCCTGGAGCAGGGCCCTGAAGCCATGGAAGATCTGGAATGGTAACAAGAATGAATTGACACGTGTCTCAGGAGTGCCAAGAAGGGAAGTCTGAGAGACAAGGAGAGAGTAGCATAAGGGTCAGGGCAGGGCTCCCTCGCTGTGACCAGCATGAACCCACGTGGGCACTCAGATGAGGCTGATGCCAGTATCCAAGGAGCAGCTCAAACCAGCAGGTCTCCCAACTGGGCACAGATTGGCGGGTGGCTAAGCCCTGCTCACTATGGGAGGAGGTCCTAAAAAGCTTCTGGACTCTGAGCCAGTGAAGGCCATCTGCCATTTGGGCTTGGCACAGAGCTGCTATGCCCCTCGGGTTGGAGCTGGCCCATGAAGGCCTTGGGACAGGGCTTCCTTCCTCTCATGTTTTTGTTCAAGTTGATTAAACCTGAGGAATTTTTGCATCCAGGAGCAGAGGCCCACGTGCATTTCTGCGGGAGCCTGTGATTATCAAATCCTCAAAGGGCAAAGTGCCAAGCTTAGAAGAAGCTAACAGCAGGCCAGAAGGAATGGGGAAGGCCAGCAGCATCCCCAGAACCTCAGAAACATCCCCTCAAGGACTCCCAGATCTCCCAGAGAACCTCCAGAATCTCAGCAACATTTCTGAGTTTCAGTAATGCCATAAGAAGCCCTGCAACCTCAGTATTGCCCCCAAGAAGCCCCAGACCTTCAGTAACACATCAGAACCACTGCAACACCTCAGGACACTCAAACTCTGGCAAACTCAAACTCTGGCAAATCAACCACAGATTGGAACAAGATGTTCAAAAGCCTGTGACCATTTGCAGAAAGGCCAGAGACCCCCGTTGCTCTCCACCCTCCCATCTCAGCCCTTGACTCTGAGTCCAGCAGCAAACCCAATAGTTTACAATACTCAAACCTCAGGTACACCCCCAACTTCGATAGCACGGAAGAGAACACGCAAGAGAGGCGTTCCAGGAGTGGGGGGATGGCCACTGTGCCCACCTGTGCAGCCCAGTCCCCTTGAGAGTCCATGAATAAGCAGCCGAGAGAGTCAACCTCATGCGGGCCCGTGAGCTTGGGGTGTGCCCTCAGTGGCACAGCACACTCACACACACATCCAACTGCCCTTCGCACACATACGTGCTTAATTCTGGCACCAGACCAAGTCTGACTCCACACAGTGGGCTGGAAGGCAGTGTCGTCGGCTGCCGTGCTCACGGCAGGAAGAGTATGGGTGACTCTCCACCTCCTGTCTCTCTACCTCCTACCTCCCCTGCCATGTGGGAGGGTCAGAAGCACCATCTGATGTGCCCTTCCTGCAATTCTCATGCCCCCCTCACCAACAGCATCATCATAACATAAAGGATTTAGACCAGGCTGTTCTGGTATGAGGGTGGACACTGGTGAGGAGGAGGAGGGTAGCCGGCTGTGCCAGGGGAGCAGCATGTTCTTTCCCTCCCAGAGGGCTAGGCTAGTACTGACCTGGAGGAGGGAGGCAGATTTCAGCTCAGAACAAAGGTAGCCTTCTAGAGTAGTGAGGCCCCCATCAAGGGAGGCAATCAAGAAGAGGCTGTTAACATCAAGATGCAACAGAGGGCTTCCTGCCTTCGGAGGACTAGACACAAGGCCATGAAGATTCCCCAGCTATAAGAGCCCCACGTTCTCCGTTCCCAGCACGTTCCTCCCTGGGCTGGCCACCGTGGTGTGGCCTTGAGATGTAGGCTTTGTGCTGCCCTCCTTCCTCACTGAGGACATTGACTGCTGGGCAGATCCCCTGACTTCTCTCTCCTTGTTCCCTTGCTGACCACAGGACAGGGCTCTCCACCAACCTTTTGCCCACAGCCAGTCAGATCCAACTCAGACAGGACTCTGCGAATGTCTCCTGCCTTTTGGAGCTCCTGCTAGCCCCCCAGTGTCCCCTGAGGGCAGCCCACCCCAGGTCTCCAAACTTACTCATCAGAATTGCTCCAGCCCATCACTCTGCTCACTTCCTGCCCCTAGGCTCTGACTCCTGCTCACTTCCCACCGCACACCCCATGTGCCTTCTCGCTGTTCCCCGACCTGTTCCAATCCCACCTGGCCTCCCAGACTTGGCTCCAGCCTACCTCCAATCAAGCGCTCTCCTGACCTCTCCCTTCCTTGTCTCTTTCCTTTCCTTTATTGATCTCTCCCGGAAACTTGTCCCTCCAGGCAAGCAGGGTGCTCCCAACACGGGGCCTTCTCCTCTGAGCCCAGCACCAGCTGGGCTGGGATCCTAGAGGGGTGGCTGGTTGTGTGGTCTCGGCAGTTGGCCCTGAGAAGTGTCCCCAGCACCTGCTTTAAAAGGTGTTTGATCTGCTCCTCCCGGAAGGCAGCTCCCCCCTTCTCCAGTCTGGCTCTGCCCCTCCTCCTGCCCTCACAGACCTCCCGCCCTTGATTCCGGGATCAGAGGAACCCACCCCACCCCCATCTCCAGCTCAGGCACAGAGCAGGGGCTGGGGCCCCACACAACACACAGGGCGGCTTGTCTCCAGCGGTATAGCCTCTCCACACCCCCAAACCGTTTGCTCGAAACTTGATCTCCTTGGCCCTCAGAGTCACCTCAGTGGAGAAGCCTGCACAGGGCTTTGATGGCTGAGTTTCCCCAGATGTGGCCTTAGAGAAGCTGAGGAACCCCCTACTTACCTCCATTTGTCCCCATCCATCACTCCCAGGGGGCCACTGCCTGATGAATTGCCAGAGGGGAACCACCAGCTCGGCTCTTAATAACCGGATCTGCATCCTGCTGCTGCCCAGCTGGGCTGAGGGCCCTGACCACAGCTAAGGGGAGTCATCACAGGGCTTCAGGGCTGGAATTCCAGGTATGATCTATTCCCAGGGGAAGTGAAAAAGGCCCCCTCGGAGCTTTCTCTTCTATTTCTCACTTCTCACAGACAGGCTGGGGTTCTGGAGTCCTGCTCTTCACCCCAAGTACATGCCTGCAACCTCCAACGCTGCTGGACAGTCGGCTGCATCCCCCCTCACCTGAGCACAGGCTCTCCCTACCCCTCCCTCCCCTTCCTAGAGGGGGTATCCTGCAGGGATGCAGACAAGACTGGGGAAGGAAATGGTGCTCAGAGGGTGCTCCACCTAGGTGCTGTGGCAAGCAGGGCAGGGAGAGAGTAGATAAAGGCCGGGCCAAGAAGCGGGGCCCTAAATTCTCAGGAGAAGGGCCCTGGAGAGGCAGTCTCTTCCTTGAAGGAGAAAGGGAGTGCCATCTATAAAAAGGTGGGACCACAGGCTTTTGTATGTGAGATTGGCTTCCAATGATAGTAAAAGACCCTGGAAGAGAGAAGGACAATGCCAGAGCCAGGCCTGCCCAGGAGAGGCAGGGAGAGAGGGAGAGAGAGAGCAGCTCAAGCCGAGAAAGGGAAGCAGCCAGCCAGCTTGGATCTGATCACCATCTTGTCCATGGAGAAGAGGATTTTTAGTTCCAAAGGGTTAAACCCACATAAAGAGAAAATTAACCTTTGGCACACTTTTAGGAATCCATTCCCAAGGAATGCCTGCATGCATATATATGGAGACAAAATTCCCAAGGCCGTTTGTAATGGCAAAAATAATTGGCAACAACCCCAATATCCATCCATCAATGCTGATAAGTTGACACACTGAAGTACTATTTTGCTGATAAAAAGAATGAGGTAATTCTCTGGACTGACGTGGCAGAACCTCCAAGACATATTGCCAAGTAACAGTAACCAAGAAAGCAAGTTGCTGAACAATACATAAATCGTGATCTCATTTTATGCTTCTTTAACTAGGTAGACATATGTGTATGTATGTGTGTACACATAAAAAGTGAATCTGGCAGACACACAGCAAACTGTTCACAGTGGTCACACTTGGGGGAGGGGTGAATTTTGGAGAATGAAGCAGGATTTTTCACTTGTTTGAAATGCATATTTTAAAACTCATACTGCATGTGTAATTCTTTTTAAATAAGCCTGCTGTGAGTAAGGAGCTGTGAAGGCATCACTGAGCTGTGTGAATTTGATTCCGTCCCCAGCCCAATATTGCACACTTCCCAGTCTCCCTTGAAGCTAGATGTAGCCCTTAGACTAGGTATTGGCCAGTGACTTGGAAAAAGAGTGTTGAGCACAATTCCCAGGTTGTGTTCTCAAAAAGAGAGGTGTTCTCTTTACCCCCTCCTCCTTCTAGCTGGGTGAAAAACAGTTGTGATAGCTGGATCTCAGGCAGCCATCTTGGACTATGAGATAGAAGTCATGAGTTAAGTAGAATAGAGCAGTAAGTTACTGGCAAAGACAGAGCCTTAGCTAAGGCCAGATTATAAGGCTGAAGGAGACTCCTGCTGTACCCCAGACTCCAACACATCCAAAAGAAACTTAAGCCCAGAGAGGCCACATGATGTGCCAGGGTCAGTGACTGACCTAGGGGAAGTTTTGCCAGAGATTCCCCCCCACCACTACGCACGCACACGCACACACACACACACACACACACACACACCTCACTGCTTTTTCCCCCAAGAACATTCCTTCCTAGAGCTTGGACTCCGTTTCATTCTATGGCTGGGAGACTCCTTCTGGGATTGAGGGAAGGCCCCAAGTGTTGATTAAGCCAAATTGCAGGATTGGGACACACCTCTCAATACTCTGTCTGATAACACAGCAGAACCCCTGCCTACTGCTGGGTCTCTCTGTCAATATCTGCCCCTGGCTTTTTTTTTTTTTTTTTTTTTTTTGAGATGGAGTTTGGCTCTTGTTGCCCAGGCTGGAGTGCAATGGTGCTATCTCAGTCCACTGCAACCTCCGCCTCCTGGGTTCAAGCGATTCTCCTGCTTCGGCCTCCCGAGTAGCTCGGATTACAGGCATGCACCACCATGCCCGGCTGAATTTTTTTGTATTTTTAGTAGAGATGAGGTTTCTCCATGTTGGTCAGGCTGGTCTCGAACTCCTAACCTCAGGTGATCTGCCCACCTCGGCCTCCCAAAGTGCTGGGATTACAGGTATGAGTCACGGTGCTCAGCCCCTTTCTCTCTTTCTATCTGGTTGTCCTCCTGTCTGCCTTTCTGCCCCTGTCCATCAGTCTCTCTGCCTGTCCCTGGTATGCCACTCTCTGTTTCACCCTCTCTGTGTCTGACTCAGTCTCCCTCCTTTCCTTCTGTCTCTCTCTACTTTCCTTCTGTCTCTCCTCCTCCTTCTTTCTCTGTCTAACTCTGTGTTTTCTCTCTATCACTCTCTCTGTTGTTTCCTTTTTGTTTCTCTCTCCTGCTCTTTGTTTTGCTCCCCACTCCCCAGTCTGGCTGTGAAGTTTGTGTCTCTCCTCCTAAAGGTTTTAGGCAGTACCTTTTCTAAGCTAGCCTGGGCCATGCCTAAATCTCTGATCTTGGGCCTTGTCTTGTGCTGACTCAGTGCTGCCCCTGCCATCTCCTGCCCTCTTTCCCGCCTTACCTGCTCTGTCTGTCCCCAGTGCTGCAGGATGAGTGGCGCTGGTCTCGGGATCCGCAGAGTCTACAGGGCCCTGGGCTTGGACACCGTCTCAGGGGTTTGTGCCTTCAGAGCCTGGTGGAGCAGCCAAGCAACTGGGCACATGAAGACAAAGGTCAGTGCTGCTGAGCAGTAAGGCTACCTTCTCCCTCCCGCCAGACCAAGAACTTTAGCCCCTCCAAGGCAAGTCTGGCAGAGGGGGGCTGTCAGGGCAAGCCCAGGGATCACTGATGCTGCCCTAGCTCCCCTCCTCCAGCTCCTGCTCAGCTGGAGGTCAGAGCAAAAGGACTTGAGGGATGACCCAAGACTTTCCTGACAGTGCTTGGTGCTGGAGCCCGGAGCAGGAGGCCAAGAGAGGAACGGAGTGCCATCCAATGGCACTGGCGTGGCAGACAGGATCACAGTTACTACTCATGGCAGAAAGCTTCAAAGTAGCCAGGCCCCTCGGTGGAAGGAAGAGACGAGGCTTCTAATTTTGTTTTTACTACTTACTAGCTGAGTGACCACAAATGCAGCCTGTTGGAACTCAGAAAATAACACCCGAAAATGAAAGCCTCAGAAGCAAAAGTGACCTTCTAGCCTTCTCCTGCCCTCCTGTGTCTCAGGCCCGTTTTCCCCCAAGGACGGACATAGAAAAGAGAATCCCTCCTCCTCAAGGCGGGTTATAGAAATCAAAACCCCTTTTCCCCAAAGCTAGCCATAAAGCCTACAAACTCTAACTTTCCCCAATTTCTGTGTAAAAACTGGCCACAAATAAATTCTCAGGCCTAGGTGGGGCATGGTGGCTCACACCTATAATCCCAGCACTTTGGGAGGCCGAGTCGGGTGTATCATTTGAGGTCAGGAGTTCAAGACCAGCATGGCCGACATTATGAAACCCCGTCTCTATTAAAAATACAAAAATTAGCCAGGCAGTAGTGGTGTACACTTGTAATCCCAGCTACTTGGGAGGCTGAGGCAGGAGAATCGCTTCAACCTGGAAGACGGAGGTTACAGTGAGCCGAGAACGCTCCACTGCACACCAATCTGGGCGAGAGAGCGAGACTCTGTCTCTAAAAAAAAAAAAAACAAAAAAAATTCTCAGGCCTACCTTGTTTGATTGTAGGTCAGACCTCCATTCCAGAAAGTCCTGCCCCATACCCACACCCAGAAGGAAGAAATGCATGCTCAGAGGGGCCAGGAAGAAATCCAGAGAGACAGGCCTTGCTGGGTGTCCCCACTCCGTCTATTCACATTCGATCATTGCCCTTTTTGTCCAGTCATATCGCTACACAGCTGTCCATGTGTCCTTGAAACTCAGCATAAAAGTGGACAATTTTCCCTGTATCTCTGGGTCCTTGTTCTGAAGGCTCCTGTGTACATGTTAATAAGGTGTACACCTTTCCTCCTATTCACCTGCCTCTTGTTGGTGATTTCTAGCCAACCTTCAGAGGGTGGTGGGGAAGCTTTCCCCTGGCCGCTGCAAGCCCCTCCGTGTTCGGGGTTCCAGTTTTCCCATTTGTGTGACGGAGGGAGACTGGCTGCCATTCTTCCCTTTGCTGGTCTGAGCCTGTGATCCTGTTGCCCTGTGGGCCTCTGGCACTGTGGACTTGAAGGGAAGGGAGTGGGAAGTGGGCCTGGGGTGACGTACCCCTGCGGGGGAAGGGAGGCTGCTGCAGGGGGCTGGGTGCTGAAGGCCCAGGGTGGAGCAGTGATGATCGCATGATCACCTAATCGCAGTGGCCCAGGAGTCAGGAGATCAGAGGTCTATCCCTTCACTAGCCACGTGCTCTCTCTGCACCTCAGATTCTGCGCCTGTGGAAGGAGATGAGTCCCAGCCCCAGATCCTTGGCTCCAGAGAACTCATGGGCTCCCTGCTTGCCAGGATTCAGCTCTGCCTAGAGGAAGGAAGTAAAGTGGGGGTGGGGAGGGAGTTGGAGGTGGATCGTTGAAGATAGGGGTCTCAGAGCCCTCAGGGGCCATGGGGGTGTGTCAGCGGGGGAGGTTGAAAGGAGCCATTGTGGGAAGCAGGAAGGGGGCCCTCTGGGGTGGGCTAATTATAGGCCCTGGCTCTTCCAAACAAAGCCAGCGGCCTCTGAGTGGCCATTCTTTGGGGGAAGAAAGAAGACTGGAGGGCCCCATTAAGGTCTTTCACGCTGGGACTTTGGAAGGTGGCTTGGAAGTTCGCCTTCCAAGGCTGCTCCCTTCCTGCCTCCCTCCACTCACCCCAGCCCACATCCCTTACCCCTTCTTGAACCCCTCTGGGGAACCAGGCCCTGCCCCCCAGAGACAGTCTCACCTGGAGTTTAAACTTTTTGAAAACCGTGGGAGGCTGAATCAGGGAGGCAGCCAGGAGTAGAGAGAACCCTGAGAAGGGAGGAGGGATCTGGTGCTGCCCTGCGGCCCTGGGCTCAGTTTCTTCATCTGTAAAATGGGCTTGCCGTCTAGCCCTGACTTGCTGAAATTCACTGATGTTTCCAGATTTCTACATAGAACTGAGGCCAGACTCAGAGATGCCTGAGCATCAGGGTTTCTGCCTCCTGTCCTATTTACTACCCTCCAACACTGGTACCCTCCCTCCTCACCACCTGCTTGCCCACTGAGGCACCAGGTTGCATCTCTGAGTCTAAATTTGACTCAAAAGCCCAAATGGTCTTTGCTTGTCACAGATGGACTCCAAATGAAATAGCCAAAAGAACTCTTATTCCTTTCTGCATAAGTAGAAGCTGGGTTGAATTTCTTCATCACTTCATTCATTCATGCATTCATTCATTTATTCATCCATAATGCTTTAACCATTTCCCAGGCACCTATCCCTCGCCCAGCGTGGGCACACAAACATGATTCCTGAAACAACATTCAGGGCAATGAATGATGACTTGTGTGGGCAAGTCATCATTTGAGACAGGAGAGGAAAATGCAAAATGGGATGGAGGAGGGAGTCACTAACCCGGGTCACAGGGGAGGAGGCTTTTAGCCAGTCTGCAGGATGAGTAGGGCTGCTGTCGGGTGGAGCTGGGCAGTTTGGGTAGTGGAAATCACACCAGCAAGGGTAGGGAGGTGAGAAAGGGCAGACCTGGCCTGGAGCAAAAGGGAACCTTCCCCAGGACATTATGTTAAGTGAAATAAGCCATTTGTGAAAAGACAAATACTGTAAGATTCCAATTCTATGAAGCACTGAGTATTCAAATTCACAGAGACGGAAAGTAGAATGGTGGTTGCCAGGAGCTGGGGGGAGGTGGAAGAAGTTGTTGTTTAATGGGTGTAGAGTTTCAGTTTTGCAAGATGAAAAGAGTTCTGGAGATTGGTTGCACAACAATGTAAATTTATTTAACACCACTGAGCTGCACATTTCAAAGTGGTTAGGATGGTACATTTTATGTTATGTGTATTTGACTACAATTTTTTTTTAAAAAGTAACTGTACACACACACCAAAAAAAAGTACCTTCCCCAGAGATAATGGGAGAGGGGAGGCAAGAAATAGGAGTGGGTGTGGACATTAGGTGGTGGAGGATCCTAAAACCTTGCTAAGGCCAACAGAGCCACCTCAGATTCTTTGTAGAAAGTTGGAGGGAGGTTAGCCGGGCGTGGTGGCGCATGCCTGTAATCCCGGCTACTGAAGAAGGCTGAGGCAGGAGAATCGCTTGAACCCGGGAGGCAGAGGTTGCAGTGAGCCGAGATCTCGCCACTGCACTCCAGCCTGGGCAACAAGAGCAAAACTCGATCTCACCAAAAAAAAAAAAAAAGAAAGAAAGAAAGAAAGAAAGAAAAAAAGTTGGAGGGAGGGAAAGAAGGGAGAGCAAGGGGTATGTGGGAAGTATTGAAGGGACTCGGGATAAACCGGCGTGATTCTGAGCGTGGGCCCTGCTTGCAGGGGATGGGGCCAGGATACGTGCACAAAGGTTGGCCCTAGGGCAGAAGCAACTGGACTCCTATCTTGTAACATTTCTGCTGGTCACTTCAAATATGCAAGGGAAGAGAGCTGCTATTACTGAGTCACTAAGCTCCAAGACCTCAGACCTGGCAGAGGTACACCACCGCCTCCAGACCCACACTGGTTGGCCATGCCCAGCCGCTGAGGCAAAGGTTTCCAGGTAGTCTCTGCCACCTACCCTCTCCCCAAAATGGCCATACTGTGGTCTTTCCCGACATGAATTATAGAATTTCAGACTATCAGAGCTGAGAGATGACTTATCTGCCCCACTACCCCAATCATACAGATGGGCACACTGACACCCAAACAGAAGGGATCTCCTGAATTTCACTTACAAGTCAGGCGACTAGAACTCTTTGTCTCAGCTTCTCCCTGGGGGATCTGAAGAAACTGAATTTTAATCATTGCAGAGGAAGCCTGCTGTATACATTGGGACCTGTAGCTGGGCTGGCCAATACCACTTTTTTTTTTTTTTTCCGAGATGGAGTTTCGCTCTTGTTGCCAGGCTGGAGTGCAATGGTGCAATCTTGGCTCACTGCAACCTCTGCCTCCTGGGTTCAAGTGATTCTCTTGCCTCAGCCTCCCAAGTAGCTGGGATTACAGGCATGTGCCACCACGCCCGGCTAACTTTTTGTATTTAGTAGAGACGGGGTTTCACCATGTTGGTCAGGCTGGTCTTGAACTCCTGACCTCAGGTGATCCATCCACCTCGGCCTCCCAAAGTGCTGGGATTACAGATGTGAGCCACCACACCTGGCCAATACCACTTTTAGACTTGGTATCTTTTACTTTATGAAAATGATGCATTTCAGTCAATGTAACTTCAAGTGAGCTTTTTTTTGAATGAAATCAATGCTGTCTATAAATGTTCTCTTTAGACTCAGAAGTGTACTACAGTTTTAGGGTACAGAATTCCCTGTTCTCTAATATAATACATTTAAATCTTTGAGCCCAGTCCCAGGACATGTTTAGTAGGGGTAAGTGTAGATAGAATTCTGAGGTTCAGATCTCAACAGCTACTCACTAGCCATGTGATCTTGGATGAATTTCCTGACATTCTCTCAGCCTTGGATTCTTCATTTGTAAAAGGGGGAATAATTATATCTACTCACAGAGCCATGTCGAGTGCCTGGTATCCAGTGGCTGCTCAACAAAGAGTTGAGGCTGATGATGATGATATTGGGTAATGATGATGGTGATGGGGGTAATAATGATGGTGATGTAGGTAATGATGGTGATGTTGGTGATGCTGCTGCTGCTGGCGATGGTGGTGGTGGTGACTGTGATGATGGTGGTTATAGTGATGGTGGTGGTGACAGTAGTGGTGATAGTGATGGTGGTGATGGTGGTGATGACTGTGCTGGTGATGGTGGTGACAGTAGTGGTGGAGGTGATCGTGATGGTGGTGGTGGTGATA
This sequence comes from Homo sapiens, assembly GCF_000001405.40. Taxonomy (NCBI): domain Eukaryota; kingdom Metazoa; phylum Chordata; class Mammalia; order Primates; family Hominidae; genus Homo; species Homo sapiens. The sequence continues at coordinate 44,920 of NW_021160016.1, forward strand.
ATGGTGATGACAGTGATGGTGATGATGGTGATGGTGGTGGTGGCTATGGTGATAGTGGTGATGGAGGTGGTGGTGATGATGGTGAATGTGGTGGTGATGGTGGTGGTGGTGGTCGTGGTGATAGAGGTGGTGGTGATGATGGTGGTGATGACTGTGCTGGTGGTGGTGGTGATGATGGTGATGATGGTGATGGTGGTGGTGACTGTGGTGGTGGTGGTGATGATGGTGATGATGGTGATGGTGGTGGTGACTGTGGTGGTGGTGGTGATGGTGATGATGGTGATGGTGGTGGTGACTGGTGGTGGTGGTGATGGTGGTGGTGATGATGATGGTGGTGGTGATGGTGATAGTGGTGGTGACTGTGGTGGTGGTGATGATGGTGGTGATGATGGTGATGGTGGTGGTGACTGTGGTGGTGGTGGGGATGATGGTGATGGTGGTGGTGATTGTGGTGATGATGGTGGTGATGATGGTGATGGTGGTGGTGACTATGGTGGTGGTGACAGTAGTGATGATGGTGATGGTGGTGGTGGTGATGGTAGAGATAGTTCTTACTGAGGGGAGTCCTGAATCTCCCATCTCCCACTGGGTAACACCAAGACCCAGAGTCAGGGAGAATGGATTCCAGCTTGATAACTCTTTGGTGTAAGAGGCTCTGGGCTGTCTGCAAAGTGAAGCTGTGCCTCACATTGTGAGTCTTGATTAAGAAGGTAAACTAGGCCGGGTGCGGTGGCTCACGCCTGTAATCCTAACGCTTTGGGAAGCCAAGGCAGGTGGATCACTTGAGGTCAGGAGTTCGAGACCAGCCTGCCCAACATGGTGAAACCCTGCCTCCACTAAACATACAAAAATTAGCTGGGCATGGTAGCGCATGCCTGTAGTCCCAGCTACTTGGGAGGCTGATGCAGGAGAATGGCTTGAACCCGGGAGGCAGAGGTTGCAGTGAGCCAAGATCCTGCCACTGCACTCCAGCCTGGGTGACAAAGTAAGACTCCATCTCAAAAAAAAAAAAGGTAAACTAAGGGCTTGCTCCCTGAGAATAGACACTGTCTCCCTTCCCTTGAGACTCCCCTACACCCCAAGTCAAGAACTCTTGAGAAAGAATAGGCATATGAACAGGCTCTCCCAGAATGGGAAGTTCTGGATACCACGTACCCATGAGCTCCCCACACCAGAATCTTCTTCCTTGTCCCTGCTCTAATTTTTTCCATAGAACTTAACATCTTCTAGCATACATTATAATTTACTTATTTTCCATATTTAGTGTTTATTTTTGTCTGTCTCTACCCACCTCCCCCACTAGAAGATAAGCTTCAGAGGGCTGGAGTTATTGTTTGGTTCACTGCTGGATTCCAAATGCCTAAAATAGTATCTGGCACACAGTAGGTGTTCAAGAAATATTTGTTGAAGGAACAAATGCTAAAAGGAAGGGATCGATGGAAAAAAACTTCCCTGGGTCAGGCCCAGCTTCCTGCCTTGTTACCTGGTTTCTCCTCAAACAAACAGAGGTGGGTGGGGAGTGTCCCTGAGCACCCAGCCTGCAGGCTTTCAGACTGGGTCCAGGCTGGGCTGTGGGTGAGAGGGTGCAGTGCTCAGCCTGGCAGTTGGTCTCTCAGTGGCCATGGCATTCAGGGGGCCTGAACCCTGGGTCTCTGCATCCCTGCTGAGACAGAGGCTGAAGGCCGAGGAGAAGACGCTGGATCTGGAGTTCGAAGTTTTGAGCGTGGGGTTTAATGAGGCGGGTAGATACGCCCTGAGACTGTCAGCAGAGAACCCCCTGCAGGTGGGCTCTGGGGCTGGGGTGCAGTTGCAAGTGAATGATGGGGACCCCTTCCCTGCCTGCTCTGCTATCACTGATGTCATTGAGCAGCAGGAGCCTGGCCAGAGCCTCACCCTCACCAGGAGCAAGTTTATCTTTACTTTGCCCAAAGGTATGAAGTAGGGGTGGGGTTTGGGGGAGAGAAAGACCCTGGAACTCCTGCCTGAGTCCCTTTCTGGGACCCCAGAGAGCCTCAGGAGAACTGGGAGGGTGGGGTCAGAGCTCCAGACTGCATCCCAAAGCTCTGCCGGTGTGACCTTGGGCAAATTCTGGGCCTTTGTAACCCGTGCCTCCTTCAGTGTGGCATGGGGACACTGGTGCCTGTCACGCAAGGTCAGGTGAGAAGGAAATAGAAGGGCAGATGAGAGATGGCTTTGTAAATGTAAAAGTGCTGAGCACACAGTGGGTTTGGGGGCCAGTCCTGAGCAGTGGACATTACACCGAGTAATATTATACTCAGCCCTGTGTGCCTGTCCCTGAGCCCCACTAGATTGTGGGTATGTTGGGGTGGACAGAAATGAGGGGACCTGGGCCCTGCCTTCTGGAACTTCCAGAGCAGGTGGAGAGGAAGGAACTCCAAGCAGAGAAAAGTAAAGTGAGCTGGAATGAGAAGGAAATCCATGCCTAGACTAAGGCCACCCTGGCAGGCTGCCTGGAGGAGGAGGGATGTGAGGGAACAGGGAAACCAAGTCCCAGACTTTAAATGGCTATAAATCAGGGGCAGGCTGAACTCTTCCCCAGTCTAGGAGTCTATGGTGGTGGCAGGACCTAGGATCATCCCACAGGCTAAGCCCTCCCTTCCTCACCCCTGCCCGGTGGGCTTGGATTGGGCATCAGCAAAGGGAGGGAGCCATGGGTGGGGCCTAGGAGGGAGTCGCCTACCAGGGAAATCTTAGCCAAGACTGCTTGGCTTTGACTCAAAGTCTGGGCAGCCCAGGTTTCCCCAGGGCCCTGCCTGTCCTCCTAGTCACCTGGCAGATGCAGAGAAACCTGAGACCATCTCTGAGCCCTGTGTTCCCTCATCCAGGTTTCTGCAAGAATGACGGGCAGCATGATGCTCAGCTGCATGTGGAGGCACTGAGGCTGGACGAACCCTTGGGACGGGCAGCCCAGCGGGTGGGTGAGGCCATCTTCCCCATCTACCCGAGGCCAGACCAACCCCGCATGAACCCAAAGGCTCAGGATCACGAGGACCTGTACCGCTACTGTGGCAACCTGGCTCTGCTCCGGGCTAGCACGGACCCCACAGCCCGACACTGTGGGAGCCTGGCCTACAGTGTGGCCTTCCACGTCCACCGGGGCCCTCAGCCTCCAGTCTCAGACAGCCCTCCCAGGGCTGGCCAGCCAGAACTGATGTCACCATGCCCAGAGCCCCAGCTCCCCATACTGCAGGTGGGTGCTTCCCTGGTCCCAGTTCAGGTTCTGGGCTCACCGGGTACAAGACCCAGCCTCCGTGATAAGCCAGGCTACCCCCTGTCCTGAGCTGAGCTGAGCAGAGCAGCAGAGCTCCCAAGGCTGCCATGTTCAGTCTGAGGAACGTGCAGTCTGAGGATGGACATGGGAGTCCCAGTTACAATGGGCAGACAGAAAATGGGGCAAAGGCCACACAGAGCAGGGAGCCAACCAAGTGGGGTTTCTTTTGCCCTGTGGGTTAGTGTCCCCTGAGACCCTTCAGTTCCCAACCTCGTTCTCACCAGTTTTTGTGGGAGGCCCCGAGTGACCAGGGGACAGAAGCCTCCTCTGTGTGCCCACCCTCAAGCCCATCTAGCATCCACCCTGACCAGGAGGGGCTCAACCCCAACCCAGGACCCAGGTGAGAGAGTCTAGTCCTTATCCGAAATATAGGAGGCTTCTCCCCTATGACCATGTTCTGTGACCAGACAGCATGTCTAGTAGGCCTCACGCCAGCACAGATAGAAGCTGGTAGAGCAAGTAGTAGCCCATTTGACAGGTGGAGAAACAGGCCCAAGGTATGCTTGATGCCATTTAATGTCAACAACATTTCCTGGAAACCTTAGTGTATAATAGTGCACAGAATCCAAAAGTGACAGCACCTAAGCTCAGGGTGTCGCCTGGCTTGAAGACAGTTGGGTATAGTGAGGGTATCATCTATGGTCCTGTAGGGCATGCCTGGCAGGAGAGTTCTGGTGAGGGATTGTACATGTCAGATTTTGGTGACTAGGAACGGCTTCTTGGAAGAGGGTTTATTTGAGGTGAATCTTCCCATTCATTCCTTCATTTACCCTTTTATCCATTCATTCATCCATCAGACATTTGTTAAATGCTAACTCCGCCGACTGCCTGCCAAGTGGGTAAGACTTAGGGATAGCAATACTGGGCTTTGGGGAGGGTATTCCAGGAGGAGGGACCATGATACACTGGCTAAGAGGAAGGGAGAGGTTCCGCTGGCAGTAGAAGATGAGCAGAGATTGGAGCCAGAAGTTGACAACCAAAGGCTCTTGGCCCATCTGCGGTGCTTCTCTCCCTGCAGTGCATTGGTCTGGTGCTGAAGTGGAGCCCAGGTGGTGGACTGTCAGGCTGGGAGAGGGCCTGGGGATGGGAGAAAGTGGAGGGAGTCGAGGGCACCAGGAAGAGCAGAGGTGGATGTTCATTTCAGGAGGCAGTGGGGAACACCAGAGGGGTTTGTGCAGGGTTTGTGCGGGAGAAAGACCAGATCTGAGCTGTGGTTTAGGCCAAGTGATAGGGCAGCATGTACCAGGATAACTACGAGGATGACCAAGGACGCAGGGACCCAGGGACCAGCTTCTCTTGCCCAGTCACTCAGCCTGTTGACATGGCCCACTATGGCCTCTGTCCATTAATTCATTCATCAGTCAATCAACACATACTTTTGACCACTTCCTGCACACCCAGCTCTGTGCTGAGTGCTGATCTTGTAAAATAAAATGCATGTCACCTGCATTCCTAGGTGACATTCTGTTCCCTTAGACTGCAAGCTCCCTGACTTCAGGGCCTGGTGTCCTACAGTTTGTCACAGGACTAGGCACACAAAAGCTGTGAACTCGGAAGAAGCTGTCCCCTGCTCTCCAGGTCCCAGAGTGCCCTGGCCACCTGAGCCACAGGCCACGTGGACGATGCTCTTCAGGCTGCAGTTCTGAATGTGTGCGAGGGAGGGGAAAGGGGACTGGCGAGATGGCTGAGTCGAACTCGGCAGCTCTAATTTCTGTTATTTAAAGCCATCATCTCCCCACCATGCTCCCTCTTAAAGTGTCAGATGTCTGCTTCTGCCAAGACAAGAAAATGGCTTTCAAGGGAGAGGAAAATCGCTTCCCTGGGGGAGAGTGGGGGGAGAGTCAGCAATCATAACCCTGACGACAGGGCCAGGAAGCACAAGGGAGCAGACAATGAAGACAGGTCCTTCAGAGAATACAGGGGCTGTTTCAGCTCCAGATAACTTGCTCTAGCAGTTCAGGCTAAGGAAGGCAGGCACCTTTCTGGTGCTGCTACTTGGAGGCTCAAAGGCACAGCTGGAAGGACAGCAGCAAGAGTGGGCTGTCAGCGAGCAATATTCAGATCAAAGCTACGGATGGATTTCTGGCTCCAGATGCAAATGTCTAGGCTCAAAGTCACCTCTTCCAGGAAGCCTTCCCAGCATTGATTTTATCCCTCCCAAGTTATCCTCAGTCCTGACTGTGATCAGGCATTTCAACAATTGAATCTATTCAATTCAGAACTTGGTTGTAGGCTCACAAGTTGTTCTCCAGTTTGTGTAGTGTGTGGCACTGGTTTTTTTTTTTTTTTTTTTTTTTTTTTCACCAGAACTGATGATGGTCATGGGGGGCAGTGGAGCAGGGGCAGGAGAGCAGGATGAGCAGGAATGCAATAATCAAGATGATCCAGAATGAGAAGGAAGCGGAAGACAAGGCTCAGTGTGAGACCAGGGTCAGAGCTCAGCAAACTTCCACGACTGGCTTTGAATCAGAATCATTTTGCTTCTCAGCCACGGCCCCTGGGTTACACAGCCTTAAATGGCCCTGCCAATGCTGGTCACAGCATTCCCTAGTCCTGGAGACTCGGGAACTAAAACAATCAATTCCCCTGAGCAATAAAATTATGGACAGTGAACACCTTCGCTTCTCCAGTCCCCAAGCTTCCTGCTCTGTGTGGGTGGGGAGGTGATGGTGGGAGGGACTGTCCTCCATGAATATTTCCAGCATGCACAATCACAGCTCCAAGATAGAGGTCACTCCCTGAGCCCTTGACCCAAGGATGGGGATGCTGGGAGCATGCAGGCAGGGGCTGCAGAGGGAATTTACCCACCTAGAGGGCTAACTATTTCCAGGTTCCTGCCAGCCAGAGCAGCAGCCCTTCCCAGAGGCTCAGGGTGCTTCCTTTCTGGGTAGAGCTCCACTACACTCGTCCCACCCCCTCAGCGCTGCCTCCTGTCACCTCTTGGCAGGTTTGAGACCATAGAGCTATGCCTCTCCAGCTCCCAGAGCCTCTCCTTCCCCGGGGTAAGGGGGAGTTCATCAGACCAGATGAGGGTGGCCTGTTCGGTGCTGGACAGAGCACCCCGGGGTGAGGAAAGCAGCAAGGTGCAACCCAAAGCCGGCAAAAAGGCCATCAGATGTGACTCGGCTGGACATTTTTAGGGGAAAATGATGACTCTTGGAGGGCTGGAAAGGGCGGGGGAGACCACAACAGCTGTGGGCCTGGGGCTGGGCTCTCAGAGGCCACAACGCTTCTGGTACCTCACTGCCCTCTCCAAGAGATCCCTGAAAGTCTACTGACAGTCTCCCACTGGCATAGCTGTTCAAGAGGGAAACTGGAAATTCCCAGAGATATAATTTCTGGAAACGCAAATTTTAAGGTTCCTTGTTTGTAGCTCTGGGAGCCATCCTGGGGGCTCCCTCGCTAGAAGGCCGGGAACTCCCTCCCACACAGCTCTGAGCTCTGGAAGGAGAAGGAGGGGTGCACTGCTCCTCCCTCCCCCAGCATTTACCTCTTCCCAACAATCGCAGTTTTGTTTCATAGAAACGATTTCGTTTCCCAGGAGCCTTTTAAATGACACTTTCAAGGTTGTTTTTTTTTTCTTTTTCTTTTCTTTTTTTTTTTAATTCCTTCCGTTTAAAACACCTTTTTTTCCCCCAAGGGGAAAAAAAGGAGAAGAAAAGCTAATAAAGCAATCACCAAACGCCAAGCACCTGGCTCTAAGCCTGTGGATTCTGATTGTGAATTTGGCACCCACTGGCTAGGGGGCTTTCATTAAGGAGAAGTGGAGGGGAAAGGAGAGCGGCCACGGAGCTGTTGTGAACGGCTTTCCTAGCGTCCCCTCGGCCACCCCTACCCCCATCCCACCCCACTCCCCCGACCCCCGCCGCCTGCATGTCTCTGGTCCCAGTTCTAGTTGGAGCTCCAGGCCGGCGCTCTCCCAGCCCCAGGCATCCTCTTGCCTTTAAGGCCCAAGCACTCCGTCCTCACTCCCCCCGCCCCCATGGCCTGCTTTTAAATTCATTATGCCTTTTATTGCTCGCGATTGCATACACTATTTCTATTGCCCTGGAGACTGGAATGGTTCAAGCAGGGAGAGGCACATGATGTGGATTTCATTAACTTTACTCTTTACTGCCCGTTTAATCTCAGGGGTGCAGCACGGGGGTGTGAGTGGGGGCTGGCGTGGCTGGGGAACTGGGCACCTCTTCGTTCATGCCCCATCCCCTCAGTGCTGGACCCTTGGGTTAGCTGGTTTCCCTCATCTTCTGAAGCCTCCCCTTCTGCCACTCCCTCTGCTCTCCTGGTGAGGGGAGTTGTCACTGGCCCATTTCACAGGTGGGGAAAGAGAGGCTCTAGAAAGCAATGCTTGGGCTGCTACCAACAAAGTGGTGGGAGGTGGGGAAGGTGAGAACAGGTTAGATCAGGACTGCCAGCCCCTCCCAGGCTGATGTCCCAGCCCTTGGGTACTGGGGTTCCCCCTCCTCCTCCTTTCCTGCGCTTCACCAAACACAGAGGACTGGAGGCCAGTCAGCTCCTCCTTGCAAATGAGGCAGTTTTATGGGCTTTAGAAAAACACTCCAATTGTTCCCTCAATTACCCTGGAGCGGATTGAATATATTAATCTCTCTCTTAACTCGAGTTAGAGACTCTGCTGCCACCCCTCCCCCAGCCACCAGTGCCCCTCTACAGGCACGTGCCAGAGATTGACTCCCAGCCCCCACCCTCTGGGCCTCAGGCCCGAGCAGGTCAGCCCCGTCCAGGCAGCATGCTTCTGCTGAGGCTGTGCCCACCGCCAGCATACACACACACACACACACACACACACACACACACACACACACGCAAGCATGCACACACACACACACACACACAGCAGACAGCAGACAGCTGCTTTACATTTCTCCATCAATTTACATTGATTTTCTCCTCTGCCACTATTTGGAAGAGCCTTTTCCTTGAGTAAACACGATCATGGGGGCTCCCCCTTGAGTAGGGGGTGGGAAGGGGACTGCAGGCAGCTCCCCCTTCTCCTCCTTTGACAACTGCCTCCAGCTTAAACACACTCTGCCCCAGGCAGCTGAGCCCCGTTAAAAGCTACCTGAGGTTTCCCTTTGTAGCTCGATTTTCTTTTATTTCAGGGGAACAAAGGCACTGTCATGGCGTTCTCAGAGAATGCTGTCACCCACGCAGGGAGGGGTGCAGACCGGCACCATGGCGGAGAGAGAGGTGGGGCAGGCAGGTGCTGGCCCTGGGGAGGCTGGGGTGGGGGGCACTTCCAGCCCCCACTTCACCCCTGCACCTCCCACCCTGTCAGGGAGAGAGGCCAGGGGCTAAATACATCGTGATCACCCTGCAGGCAGCCTGCTGGCTCCCCTTCCTCCTCTGGGTGCGTTGAAACACTCTCCATTCATGGGGTCCCTGAAGGAGAGCCCAGAGGTCCTGGGCAGCATGGACGAGACTCAAAATTGCACAGTTTGAGGGAGTCCCATATTTGTGTCCTTGCCCAAGCCTGTCCCTCCACCCCTGTGCTTCCAGATTTCCATGTCATCTGTATATGCTTTTAGGGTCCTAACAGGGTCTGTGCCTGGAACTCAGCAGAGTAGAGGATGGGAGGGATTTGGGATTCAACCAGCTTAGGGTGAGAGGCAGGTGCATGGAAGTCAGGAGGACCTGGATGCTGATTGGGCTCTGGCATTGATTTAGCAGCGTTTGACCTGGTGCAGGTTATATAACTTCCCTCAGCCTCCACTTCCACGTCTGTAAAATGGGAGAGAGCAATTTCTGTGCCCTTTATTGCTGGCAAGATGAAATGAGCTAGTGTACAGTTAGCCTTGCCCTGCAGTAAGTGGTTAATAAATTCCTGCTGTTCTAGTAATGATTTGGGATGTCTGTATTGGGCAAAGAGGATGTGTCTGGGCCTTGGTTTCTGCACCTAGAAAATAGGATTGCTCCTTCTTGCCCAGCCAGTCTCCCAAGGGAGGGGTGTTAGGAGCTTGTGAGTCTCACTGTGTCTGGGCCCAGATTCCAGGTTGCAGGGTGGAGAAGGCCAGCCCAGCCTGGGTGCTAGTCTGGGAAGAGCCTCCATTAGCAGATTGTTGTAACCGAACACACCAGATGGCCCTGCTGTCCTCCTTCATCTCTGCCTTTCCTCACCCCAGCCAGGGGCTGACGCTGACTCACACCTCCTGGAGGCGTGTGTGTGTGTGTGTGTGTGTGTGTGTGTGTGTGTGTGACAGAGAATGATGTGGGGGGAGATGGAGAGGAAGGGGTTGCCTGCCTCTGATGTCTTCCCAACCAGACCAGCCCCAGCCCCAGTGAGCAGCTGATGGGCTCCAGGGAAGGGAAATGTGGTGGCCTTCTCATCTCCAGAAATTATCTTCACAGTGAAGGAAGCGGGCATAATGTGCAGGAAGGCCCAGTGACGATGGCCTTTTCTTAACCTTACACCCATGGAAAGCGGATGTGCCCCCAACTCCTGAACACCCTCCACCCACCCCCAACTCCATCCACCCTCATGGATGCTGCGACACACAAGGACACATACACATGCACACATACGTGAATATACACAGACCTCCAGCATCCTCAACATGCAGAGACCCCCCTACCCTCCACCTCCATCTCAATGATAGATTCACCCCGAGACACCAATGGACATGCCTGGGAAGCGCACATCCTCCCACACACAGACTCGCACCTCCCTGGATCTCCTGCGTCTCCCTGGTTCCATCTCTGTACAACAACCCCAAGTGCAGCACCAGGTGAGAAAGGGACTTGGGGACATGGCATATGTGATATATGAGGTGAGATTAAAACCCTGCGTGAAACCCATCTTTAATATACCTCTGACAGTGGATTAGGGTGGGGAGCAGCAGGGTAGGAAGGCTGACAGCACCCAGTGAGCCCACCCTGGCCCTGGTGAGGGGTAGGGCTGTTAGGCCAGCCCAGCCACCCCCAGCCTGGGTCCTGGGCTAGTTCTGCAGAGTCCTGGGGTCAGGAGCAGCTGAGGCCAGCAGGTACCAGGCCCCGTCCCAGGGAAGATGGAGAATGCGTGTGGGACGTCCTTCCTCCACCTGGACCTGACAGCCTGCCCTGGGCTCCAAAGGTCCAACCTCCCTCAGCCTGAGGTGATGATCATTCATTCATTCATTCATTCACTTTCCCAAGCAGTAAACTGGGTTGCTGTATGTCCAGCCTTCAGGGAGCTGCCAGGCTGGGCAGGGAGAGGAAATAGGAGGAGTTGAGGAACAATCACTTTCCAAGCCGATTGTGGAGGAAGTGGTGGGCATGAGCTGGGTGGTCGTCAAGGACTCAGTCTGTTGGAGGAAGACAGTTCTGCTGGCAGTCAGAAGACTTAGTTTAGAACCTCATTTCCCAGTTGCATATGAGCAGTTATGACTTGGAGCAGGTCCCTTACCTCCCTGGGCCTCAAATTCCTCATCTGTACGATGGACAGAGTCCTATCTACTAACAAGGAAGTTATGAGGCTCAAGTGAGGAAGAGATTGGGAAATTGCGTGGTGCTAACAACCCATCCCACAAATGTCAGGGAGACAGTTGCACCCTGCCTCTATGGTGGGGTGGGATTCCAGCAGAGAGTGGGGAGAATGGTTTTCAAGGGTGAGCCAGGCACGGTGGCTCTCGCCTGTAATCCCAGCACTTTGGGAGGTCAAGGCAGGCAGATCACAAGGTCAAGAGTTCCAGACCAGCCTGACCAACATGGTGAAACCCCGTCTCTACTGAAAAATACAAAAATTAGCCCGTCGTGGTGGCATGTGCCTGTAGTCCCAGCTACTCGGGAGGCTGAGGCAGGAGAATCGCTTGAACCTGGGAGGCAGAGGTTGCGGTGAGCCAAGATCACACCACTGCACTCTAGCTTGGGCAATAGAGCGAGACTCCATCTCAAAAAAAAAAAAAAAAGGTGGAGGACAGTGTGAGCAAAGGCGTGGAGGTATTCGAGGGACAAGCAAGTAGGGGGGAAACAGGAGGTGGAGAGAGCTGGTTCGTAGGATGGAGGTGGTAGGGAGTTGCAGGGGATGCCAATGGAATGCACAGGAGGTGCCATCTCTGAGTACTTCGAGCTCTGTACTATCCCCTCTGTACCAGAGGCTGCTCTGGGCCAGGCTGGCAGAGGTGGAACTTATATCACATTTGGCAGCCTGCAGAGCCCATTGGAGCATCATACTGGTCTTGGGAGGTAGGCAGGGTAACCTTGATAGAGCCCATTTTCTGAAGCAAGAAACTGAGCCCCTAGAGGAGATAGACAGCTTGCCCAAGGCAGTCAGTAGCAAGGTCAAGCTGGAATCCAGATCACCATATATTTTGGTCTTTCTGAGCCAGTAGTCAGCACACAGGTGGGAATGACTAACAGCATCCTTTCCCAGGGAGACTCACACTTTGCAAGCTGTTCCTTAGCCCATTTGCAAGCTGTTCCTCAGCCCATGCAGCACTAATGCTGGGCTTTCTGGGCACGTGAAAGGATCACGGGGAAGCACTTTGAGGGAGGAGATTTCTTCCTGGTGGCCCCAAATCACACCGAGTCCTGCCAAGACAGGTTACTTGGTATTACGCTGGCCCCAACAATGAGTGCTCATTTATTGCACTGAATGGTTTGGGAGCAAGGCTGGGGATGGAGTTGGGGCTGTCAGTGGCTCAGAGTCCCAGAGCAAACTCCCTGAACCACTGCTGTTGGCTAATGACACTTAGAAAAAAGTGTTGCATAAGTAGCCCTGGCCCATAATTAAGGCCTTTCCACCCTGTCTGAGAAGTGACAGTGAGTTACAGTCAAGAAGGTTCAGTAGACAAACTTTGGACTCAGGCTTGAGTTCAGGTTCCTGGTCTGCCTTGCAATAGGTGTTCCTGAGCAAGTCATTTTACTTCTCTGACTATTTTCTCATCTGTAAAAGGGGGATAATGATGTCTACTTGGCAATGTGGTTGTGACAATTAAATAACATTCTAGCCTCAGTGCAGTCCAAGAGGTCTCGGAGGAGAGGGGGTTCCAAAGACTTCCAGAACACAGGCAGCCTGGAAGCCACCCTGATTCACAGCCTTGGAGGCGGGGGTGGGGGGATGGGCCACCCATCTCCACCCCATTACCTCTGCAGAGAGGTGTTACTGATTCCTCCATGCAGGAAGCATTTGTTGAACCCTGATTCTATGCCAGGCCTGGCCTCTCAGAGCTCTTGGAAAGACAGGAGCACCACAGGGAGAGCACTGCAGTCCCTGGGTATAGAAGGGGAAGCAGCTGGACCCACCTTGTGGAGGCTGAAGGCGCAGTAGAGGGGTGGAAAGTATTTGATCAGGGCAGAAAGGCAGAGAGGAGAGTAGTGATGGGCTCTGGTTTCAATCCTTCTCTGCCCCCTCCAGCTGTGGGACTTCACCTCTCTGCACCTCCTTTCCTCATCTGTAAAATGAGGATGATAACAACACTCGCCAGCAGGACTGTTGAATTCAATGTGTAGTAAATTTAAAGACTATAGCCAATGCTCACAAAACGCTGGCCATTCTCGTGACGCCGAGTGAATGGCAGCTTGCCAGGTAGGCAAGGGTTGGACGGAAAAGCTTGAATAAAGACCCAGGGGCTGGAGAGACTGTGGCTTCTTTGGGGAACTTGGAAGCTCTCTGGGGAGCCAGTGATTGTGGGAGCAGTTGAGGGGCTGGGCCATGGGGCCCCCACTCCTTACCCCACCCGGAAGCCTGGTCTTGAGTCACTATTGGGCCAGTGGAGCTCACGGATGGGCATGGGAGCGAGGAGGTTGTAGACATTATTTTAATCTTCCTCTTAAAGCATAATTGCTTTTTGTCGGCGGGTGTTCCTGGAGACGCCTCCCCGTGGGATTGTTTTCCAGGCTCCTCTCTTCCAGGAGACAGGCAGGGGCCGGGCCAGCTCCACGCTGCATTAATACGCTGCAAATGCGATTTCATGGCCTCAAATGAGATTAGGGCCAGAGGCTCTGCTCTCTGGTAGAGATGGCGGGTGGTGTGAGCGAAGGGTGGCGGGCGCTGAGCAGGGAATCTGAGAGGGAGGGAGCCCGGGCTGACTTGGCCTGAGTGAGCAGTTTCCTGTAATTGGAGCCCCTCGGACTTGCTGGCGCATCCCGGCTGCAGAGCCAACCCTGAGGCCCTGTCCAGTGGGCGAGGTACCCAAGGCTGTCACCCCCACCCCCAGGCTCCCCACAAGCACCTCAGTAAGGAGAGTGCTGTGATTAAGGCCACAGTCTCTGCAGCTAGGTGGCCTAAGTCTGAAGCTTGCCTCCATTTTCTTATCTTTAAAATGGGGACAACAAGCTGGGGGCGGTGGCTCACGTCTGTAATCCCAGCACTTTGGGAGACCGAGGCAGGCAGAACACTTGAGGTCAGGAGTTCGAGACCAGCCTGGCCAACATGGTGAAACCCAGTCTCTACTAAAAATACAAAAATTAGCCAGGCGTAATGGCAGGCACCTGTAATCCCAGCTACTTGGGAGGCCAAGGCGGGGGAATCGCTTGAACTTGGGAAGCGGAGGTTGCAGTGAGCCAAGATCCCACCACTGCACTCCAGCCTGGGTGACAATTGAGACACCGTCTCAAAAAAATAGAAATAAAAATAAAATAAAGTGGGGACAATAGTAGCACCTACCTCATATGTCATTGTGAGGACTGAGTTAACGTATGTAAAACACACAGAATATTGCTCACTGTTAGCTATTATTATGAGGTTCCTATACACACCCGTGCATGCCCTAGCAAGGCGAGAAGGCACTGGGGGCTTGGACTGTGGAGAGGGAGGGTTTGGGGGAGCAGGCATCACTGTCCCAGGCTGAAGTAGCAGGAAGGAGGAAGATACTTGACACAAATGTCATCCCTCACTCATACATCAAGCACCCATCTGGTGCCAATTCTGCACCAGGCAACATGCTGGGCCCTGGGGACATGGTCCCCGCCCTTGGGGAAGATAGATCCTGTCCCAGAGAAGCCCACAGTGGATCATGAGCCAGGGCAGGGGAGGCCCATGGGCTGTGGATCTGATGTCCCTGAGGTCGGGTGGGGGAAGGTTGCAGCGAATCTTTGTGCAGGTTGTGCACAATTCAATTGTGTCTTGAATTATTCAGGCTGGCTGGGGAAGAGGGATGGCCCAGGCACATGGAACAGTAAAGGTGAAGGCCTGAAGGCTGGAGAGACCACTGCTCCTTCACAGGGACCACAGGCATGTCATGAGTGTGGGTGTGAGGGCCTGGGGTGAGCAGACCAGGAGGCTGGCAGGGGTCCCCTGCAGTGATGGGGTCCTACTAAGGTGTTTTTTGAAGCAGAGGAGGGCCTTGGTCAGATTTGGAGGTTGGAAGAGTTGGGGTGAGGGGACACAGGTTTGCTGGAAACAGGTTGAGCCTATTGTCCCCACCCCAAGGCCTCTCTGCCCTCTGAGTAGACCCCCCACCCAACCTTGGCAGAGCACTGCTTCTGCCCCTCCTGATGGAAGGAAATGGCAGGCAGCTTCATTGCTCACTCCTTTATTCAGTCCCTTGTTACACGAGTTATTGATTTTTCAAAAGAAAAATGCCCAAAAGCAACGTTGCATCTTTAGCAAAGTGATTTATGACATGATGGAGGGAGCTGGGCCGCCCCAAATGAGAGCTGTGGTTGCCAAATGCCAAGAGGAATCCTTCAACATGGCAATCCATAAACGTGCCTGCTAAGCAAATGGAAGCCGCGTTGTCCAACAACGAGAACATCACACTCTACTCGTCACCCCCAAGTCTCCTGTTGCCAAAGCTTGGGCCAGAGGTGCTCCATCTTGGCATACATTGGTGTAAGTGTGAGGGAAAGCTCACTGTGGGGCTGCCTACCATGTGAAGGCATCCATTCTCTTATCTAATCCTCGCCACCACCCTGCACAGAGCCTGCTGGTAGACCTGCTCTGCAGATGAGGAATGGGAGGCTCTGAGGGATCAGGGGGTTTGCCCAAACCCTCACTCCGGTGCCTGGCAGAACCAGGGTTAGAGCCAGGCCTGACAGATTCCAAGTCATCATGCTTTTTTTCTTTGCTGCCAAATCTTTTTGCCTATTTGGTGGTGACCAGAGCCCACAAGAACTAGGTGCAGCAAGAGAGGGTCAGGACTATCACAAAGTCTGCTCTGAGACAAAACACAGATACACAAGGGTTTAGCCCAGTAGCCGTTTACTGAGCTGATAGAAGTCACCTCTGCACGGCAAGCAACCAGGGAAAGGTCAGAAGGGCAGGCCCCCAGAGCCTCCAGGATCCCACCCTGGCCCACTCAGCAAGCAGACCCTAAAGACAGCAGCCTGCATCTAACAGGCTTAGCTGGAAATGGGAGCGAGCTACATTAGTGATAGAGTCACAGTCTGGGGTGTTATGACCCCACCAGCCCTCATAATCAAACAGCCCTGCAGCCCCTCTGTGCTGGATAGAAGTGATGTCCTCCAGGCCCCCTGGCTCTGCCCTTGCTTATGGGGGCCGGCCAGCCATGCCCAGCTGAGCCTCTGGGGCACACCACCTCAATCTCCTTTGACACCAGTGTCTGCAGGCTGCACTGCCGCAGAGCCATTGGTCTGGCCTCATTCAAAAGGCCAGGTGTTTTCATCTCTGGTCTTGAATTTTTCATGCTGCCCCAGTTTCTGGAGAGAGGAAAGGAGAGCTGCGACTCCTTTCCCAGAGTGAAAGGAAAAGGCAGCGTGGTTTGGTGGTAATGATCTCGGACTTTGGAGCCAGCAGGCCTGGAGTCAAATCCCAGCTGTGCCGCCTCAAAGCCGTGTGACCTTGGGCAAGTCCATTCCCTCAGAGCATTTGTGTCCTCACCTTAAAAATGGACTCTGGCCAGGTGCGGTGGTTCACGCCTGTAATCCCAGCAATTTGGGAGGCTGAGGCGGGTGGATCACTTGAGGTCAGGAGTTCGAGACCAGCCTGATCAACATGGGAAACCTTGTCTCTACTGAAAATACAAAAAATTAGCCGGGCGTGGTGGCATGCCTATAATCCCAGCTATTGGGGAGGCTGAGGCAGGAGAATCACTTGAACCCAGGAGGCGGAGGTTGCAGTTAGCTGAGATTATGCCACTGCACTCCAGCCTGGGAGACAGAATGAGACCCTGTCTCAAAAAGAAAAAAGAAAAGACTCACAGCAATAACTCCGGGAGCGTAAATGTGAGGATGAAATGACATGGCGCAGGTCAACTCTTGGCATGAGACCTGGCACACAGTAAGTGCTCACTAAAAGTTGGGGGTGTGAAGGGGCTGGTGGTGACGATGACAGCAGTAATACCAGGACATCAGGCGGGGCGAGAGATTGGGCCATGGAGAGGGGCTCACACAGCAGGTATATCAGCCAGGGTCCTGCCAGGAAAAAGAAGGCATTCAAATTCAGGAGCTTGAGGGGAGTTTAATAAAGGGACTATTTACAATACTGAGGGTGGGGTTTAGGAAAAACAAGAGGGAGACTACAGCGCCTTGGGGGCTGGAACCTGTGAGAAGCCTTCCCTGACTCCTAGGTTTGAAGAGACAAGAGGGAACAATGACCATAACCTGGAAAGGCACTTGTATGGAGAGAGTTGGCTGCCAGGCAGAGTCCAGGAAAGTGTGCCTCTCTCCCAGAGCCCCCACACTTGGCCTTCTCTTTTCCTGACTCTTGCCCCTTCCCCCATATCTCCCTATCACTCTTTCTCCATTGCTTTTGGGCAGCTGAGTTGGATGAGGTGGGAAATGTAGGCAGTGTGATTTTATAGCAAATGGCAGCTCATAGCTGTGTGATCTTGGGCAAAATGTTAACCCTCTCTGAGCTTTGGTTCCCGTCCTTATCCAGTGGGAGAATCAGGACTGCTCTGAGGGCCGAATGAGACCATGAAGGTAAAGCTCTTAACGCGGACAGTGAAGTCCCCCAGACGTGCTTGCTTTTTTCCCTGCTAACCAACTTTGGACTTGGTGAGTTCTCCCCCACTGGAATGGGCCAGAGAAGTGAGAAATGGCCATGGGGTGAAGTCTGCATGTCTCCACCAGCGCTTGAGCCTTCACACCCACCCAGACCAGATATCATCCCAGGCCCACTTGCCCTCTTCTCTATCCCCTCTCTGTTCCCGGCTTCCAGGCCCACGCCCATGGCCGCACCTTTCTCAGGTAGCCCTTCAACAGAAATGTCCCCTTTCCTACCTAAATCCAATGTGTTCTCAGGGTCCTGCTCAAGGCCCTTCATCCCGGAGGCCTTCCTCGACCCCTTTATCTCCTGCTCTGAACGTGTGTGCAGTCCTCCTGGTCCACAGCAACACCTCCTGTGTGTGTGCTGCTTCTGGAGCTGCAAGTTCACTCCTGGTATGTAAGAAACATGAGGCAGGGGCGTGGGACCAGGGCAAGTCCCTGCCCCTCCTTTGATTATTTTGACTGTTGTCTACTGAAGCATTTCCTTTAGAGGGTCTCTATGCTCCCACTGCCACGCACCCTCGGCCCCAGTGGTGTAGACAGCAGGTCTTCACTTGTTGGCTGAAGGATGGAAAACTCTGAGAGGGCTCCCCGCTCTGAATCCACCGGCTGCTGGCCAGGACCTTCGAGGGCTGCTCTGACCTCATATAAGTTATGAGGCTCAGCCTCAGGAGTTTCTGCAGAGAGATTGGAGAGCTGGCTTTGCCCTGTGCTTCCACAAGGGCTCTAACTGGGCCCCTTGAGGCCAGTTCACACCCCACCCCTTAAGGTGCTGAGCTGGGTTTAAACTGAAGTCACTGCCACCCAGAGCTGCACTAGAGAGAACTTGCCAAGCCCAAGGTTGGTTAGCAGGGAAAAGCGAGCATGCCTGGAGCTCATAACCATCCGTGTTAAGAGCTTTACCTGCGTGGTCTCATTCAGCCCACAGAGCAGCCCTGATTGCCTCACTGAATAAGGATGGGAACCAAAGCTCAGAAAGGGTTAACATTTTGCCCAAGATCACACAGCTTTGAGCTGCCATTTGCTACAAAATCACACTGCCTACATTTCCCACCTCATCCAACTCAGCTGCCCAAATGTGGGGGTGGGACAGGACTCACAGGGAAGGAAAGGCCAAGTCAGGAGGCGGGGGCGTCTCTGGAAGACAGACACACTCCCCTGAGTCTCATTGCATGGGTAGTTTGTCCTCACAGGCTGCTTCCTCAGACTCCAGGCCCCAGACATGGCATGAGGAAGCAGGGCTGACTATGAGCCACATCTGTCTACCCAGATTCTTCTTGCTGTCCAGCCAGCAAGATCCCTCCTTCCCCAAGAGCCAGCCCCAGATCCAGCCTCAGGGGCTTGCCCCTCCCAGAACTATGGGCTCTCTAGTGGCCACATTTAACCCCTGGCCCCTCCTAGTGATATAGCTCCAAGTGCTGTCTCCTGTGGGTAGGGGGTGGGCACAGTTATCTATTAGCTGTGAGATTAATCATTCCCTGCTCTCCCTCACCCTGGAATCTCCCTGAATCATCACAGCTTGGGGCTGGCCCCTGGACATTTGAGGAGCAAGCCCACTTCTCTGGGCTGGGGATATAGAGCTCACCTTGCTGGAGGAAGGGGAGGAGAAGGTAGAGCAGCTGGGCTCATGCTGCTAAGGCCTTCTCACAGGCAAGGAGGAAGCAGCTCTCGGGGGAGGTTAGGACAGGCACAGGAGCTGGTGTCTCAGGGGTCCTTGGTCTGGGGAGGTGAACAACCAGCAAGTCAGGAGGTAGAAGGGCCCTACTGGTGGCTGCTGAGTGCACAGGGCCCACTTGCACCCTGGAGCCAGACGGCCTGGAACCAGTGCCCAATCGCATTATCTTCCCAGGCAGGAAGATGGCAGGGGCGTGGCTGCAGAGGCAGAAAGCTCAGATGCCAAGGAGGGTAGCTGGGTGAGAGCCCCGAGCCCCGGGGACTGAGGCAGAGCTGCAGGGCAGGGCAAGGACCACAGTGAGGCAGGCAAGGTGGCCAGGGCACAAAATGTGAGGCTCTGTGTCGGGAGCGGAGCGCTCGCACAGCCCTGAGAATGAGTGCTTCATTAAAGTTTGCTTCCTAGGCACCTGGCTTGCATCTTCAGTCCTGCTGCTAGAGAAGGAGCAATGGCTCCCCACCCCCTGAACCTGCTGCCCTAGCCTCCTAGACTAAGCAGGCCTGAGAGGTTGGGGGAGATGCGCTCTAGAGAGACTGGGGGAGCAGCCACTGAGACCTTTCCACACATACACACTGTGCTGGGACATGTTGGCCCACAAGGGAGATAAAGCACAGTGCTCACAGCCAGGCCATTCCTGGTCAGGCCCCCAGCCCCAGAGCCCCAGGAGTACCACTCTTGGCAGGCCTAGACGGGGAGAAAATTAGGAGTGGGGTTCCTGACTACCATCCCCCACCAGTGTCTGGGTGACCTTGGCTGGTCCTTTCAGTTCTAATCAAAAGCAAAGCCTCAGTTTTTCTGTCTCTAAACTGGGGAGAACCACATCCTTGCTGCTGCTCTCTCTGGAGTGGGGGTAGAGAGGGAGGCTGGGAGGCCTCTGCAAAGCCGGAGTCTCCTGCCTCCTGGCTGCCAGGCTGGTCCTGCTCTTCGGCCAGATTAAAAGAATCTCCAACTTGGGGCCCAAAATAGGTAGAAATGAGGCAGGCCACAGGGGCCCCCCAAACACTTCTGAACACTGCCCAGTACCCCAAATCCCTCCTCTTCTAGCCCAGGATTTCTGATCATTCTTCGAAGCCCAGTTCAGACCTCACCTCTCTATAGAGCAACCCCCCACCCCAGGCCAAGGACTAGTCTCTCTTCATTCTGCCATCTCACCTCACCAAAAGCACTTAGGACCCTGCCTGGCGTGCAGCAAATGCTCTTTGTCTTTGTAATAATTTCTTGCAGTGCTCAGAACTGAACCATAATCTTTGGTTCGTACTCTAGTGCCATCACTGACCCATCATGGCTTTCTTTAATTGTTTAATTATAATTTATTTTCAATAATGTAATGAATTTCCATTAACTGACCACCCAATCTAAAAACCCAAAAGTTTAGAATGTATGCTCTTACCCTCTTCTCTCCCCGATCTTCCCACCCACCCTCCAAGAAGAAACCATCCTCTTGAAGTTTGTGTTTATTATTATCAAATAAATGGAAGACTATAGGTACCCAAAGAGGCACGATGGCTGGTAGATTCTTCAACAGAAGTAGCTGTTTTACCGATCAAGCTGCAACACTCTTGAGAGCAGTGTCTGCTTCCTCTTTTGCTGCAGCTTGAGCAGCATGGGGCTGGCCACACCACAGGGTTGGTGGAGACTACTTGAGGCACCAAGAGCAGGAAGGGTGGGGCCTGAGTGCCAGGCGGCAGGTGGAACACAGCTCCAGGAATAGGGAAAAGGGCTTCGCGTTCTAGCTCACTGCACCTGGACAGGTGCCTGTGTGACTTCGGCCCTGCCCTGTGACATCACACAGTGTTGCCCAGGTGACCCAGCTAGGTGGAAGAGCTTATTGTTTTCCAGGCCTGGGCAGAGACAGGGCCCCCCTGCCCCATCTCTCCACCGTCCTAGGTGTGCCAAGAGTCAATTGCCTCATTGCTGACCCTGTCCAGCTGGCCATGGCCCTCAACCCCCAAGGCCCTTCCACCCACAGACCATCTCGCTGCTGAGAGATCCAGGACCTGCTCCCACCTGGCCACCCTCCCCCTCCCCCCACATCCAGGCCCCAGGGCTGGTGTGTGGCACCCCTGAGACCACATTGACCTCCATACTGTCTACTACCCATAAGGACTCCAAGACGCCCAGGCCAGCTGTCTGGGCAGGACTGATTCCTGATCACCCACTGATACCAAGTACTCATCCCCAAGATTGTTAAACAAGGCCAGACACTCCTGGCCTCAAGAGGATGGGACTGAAAAACAAAAAGGTAAGGCCAGGGGCATGGGCCATGCACCTGCATGAATCCGTCCCTCCTTCAAAGTCCTTCCTTCAAAGTTTTGTTTGCTCCTTAATCATGACAAAAGCTTCCCTTCCCTGGGTCTCAGTTTTCACAGCTGTGAAATGGGGAGTGAGGTGGTCTCTGTGGCTCTCCCAGGTTAGCTGCCCTATACTCTTGGGCCACACGGGAACTGGAATGCAGTGTACTTGCAGGTGTTGTCAATGCTGACCACCCTTACCTGGTTGTTTCTGCACTCTTATTGCTGGGGTCACACAGTCTGAGAGCCCACTGAGATGGTTCATTACCCCTGTCCAAGATCTCCCAGGAGATTCCCAGGCTGCTGGCTTGGCAGCCCTGATGCCCCCATTGCCCCCATGCTCTCCAATCCCTGGCCCTGATTTTCTGGGGCCTAGGCCCCTGTCCTGGAACACAGATGCTTGGGTCTCTGAAGAGAAGGGATTTTTGTGTGTTTTGTTGATCACCGTATCCCCAGCACTCAGAACAGTGCCTGGCACATAGTGGGTGCTTAATAAAAAGCTGTGGCCCAGCAGCAGGGCTCTGTCAGGAAGGGACTAGAATCTCAGTGTGATGAGATGTAAACAGTTGAATGTAAGGGACCCCTTACCTTCCTCTCACTAGCAAGGCTGAGCCCCTGCCCTAGATGGTGTTAACCCACAGGGATAGCAGAAGGAGCTGAGACCAAAGGCACACAGATACTTGCAAATGGGGGATACCCTCTTTGTAGTTACACTCAGGTTGAATAAGCCAAATAGCTGGGGGTGCCCAGGCCCTAGTGTGATTTCCACTTCATTACTCTTGATTTTGATGTCTCTGGTTCCTGATGTTCTCTGCCCACAGCTGCCCCCCACCCCCTGCAGACTCTGCCCTCCCCATTAAGCCTCTTTCTGTAATGCCACACACTCAGAACCGGTCACCAGGTTGACCTGGCACCCTAAGCTGCCAGCTGGTCCCCACCTGCCCCACAGAGCTGGATTTGGGGATCTGGGGAGTGTGCGTGGGAGTCCTGAGGAGGAGCCAAGGTTGCTTTGATTAGTAGCTTTGAGAAGCGCTTTTGATAGCTGGGTAGAATCGCCTATAAGGATGCTCATCATGGCCGGGGGTGGTGGCTCACGCCTGTAATCCCAGCACTTGGCGAGGCCGAGGCAGGAGTTTGAGACCAGCCTGGCCAACATGGTGAAACCCCATCTCTACTAAAAATACAAAAATTAGCTGGGTGTGTTGGTGCACGTCTGTAATCCCAGTTACTCAGGATGCTGAGGCAGGAGAATCGCTTGAACCTGGGAGGCAGATGTTGCAGTGAGCCGAGATCACGCCACTGCCCTCCAGCCTGGGCAACAGTGTGAGATTCTGCCTCAAAAATAAAAGGACGTTGGCCAGGCCTGGTGTCTCACTCCTGTAATCCCAGCACTTTGGGAGGCCAAGGCAGAAGTTCGAGACCAGTCTGGCCAACATGGTGAAACCCCGTCTGTACTAAAAATACAAAAATTAACCAGGCGTGGTAGCGGGCACCTGTAATCCCAGCTACTCGGGAGGCTGAGACAGGAGAATTGCTTGAACCCAGGAGGCGGAGGTTGCAGTGAGCCGAGATAGCACCACAGCACTCCAGCCTGAGCAACAAAGAGCAAAACTCCATCTCAAAAAAAAAAAAAAAAAGGATGCTCATCATGTATATATAATACATATTTGTGTTTCTTCTTTTGTGAATCCCCAGTTCATGTTTTTTAAATTGGATAATGTTTATAGGTTTCAGTGCTCTTTGTATACTAGGGATATTAATCCTTTTTTAAATATGCAGCAAACATTTTCTCCTTTTTTTCTTTTCTTTGTATTGCAGGGCATTTTGGACCATTATAGAAGTTAGTATAGATTTTTAAAATGTAATCAAACCTATCCCTTTTTAATGATTTCTGACTTTTGTGTCATCTTTTGGAATGCTTCTCTGCTCCAAAGAACATAATTCCTCTTGCTGCCACCAATGGATACTCAGATTATGAGTTCAGGGGGGCATCCACTGTGGAGCAGAGAAGGGATCCACATCCAAGGAAGCATGGTTAGAGCACAGCAGAGACAGCAAGAGTGTGGGGTCAGACAGACCCAGCTTCCAGTTCCAGCCCTGGCCTCACTAGCTAAGCTGTGTGCTTTCATACAAGAGGTTTACTTTCTCTGAGTGTGCTTCCTCACCTGTGAAAGAGCTTTCCCCTGGCCGCCATAACTCTCAGGCAAGTTTAGATGTTGAAACTAGAAGGAACATGGGGGACCATTTTTAACTGAAAGTCCTTGTGAAACTGCTGGGAAATAGCCCCACTGCAGTCAAGTAACTTGCCCAAATGACAGATCCGGGCAGCCAGGCACCCTGCCTCCCAGCCCAGCCCCGCTCCAGCTAGTGTGACTTTTCAGACACACGGCCCTTCTAGAGGGCAGAACTGGGCTCAGCTCCTCAGGCCTCCCAGGCTGCTGGAGGATAGGGAGGAGTGGGTGGAAGAGTTTGTCTCCTTCCATCTCTCTCCCCACCAGAACCAAGTTAAGCACCCCCCAACCCACCCGCGGGAGCTGAATTCAAGGACCATTAACTCCCTGTTGTTCCTACCTCCTCCTCTCACCCTAGCCCTTCCCCCCAGCACATGGATCCAAAAATGCCCTAAGTGATGGGCAGTCCTAGTTCCCCTGCAACATCTGCTGGCTAATCCTGGCCTATTGAGGGCAAGGCTGCCTGTCTGTTTGGATAAGGGCACTGGAGTTAGCAGCTTCCAATCTTGCCAGGCCCAGTGGAGTAGCTGAGAGTGCTGAGCTTTGGAATCAGGCTTGCTTCGGTGCTCACAGCCCAGCCTCTCATCCACTGGCTGTGTGGCCTTGGGCAGGTAAACTGGCCAAACCCCTGCCTGGAAAAGCTGCCTGCTGATCTCTGCACCCTAGCAGTGTTGGGTGGGTTAAGTGAGAGGGAGCCTGAGAAGCTGATGGTGAGCATCCAGCTTTGCTCCCAGCCAAGAGGAGGCATGAATTCCCTCCCCAGGGCTCACCACACCCCTACAGATGAGTTTGTGCAAACTGAGAGTTACGGGGGGGGTACCCCATCACCCCCAGTTCCCTACCACTCATGTAACCCAGTATATGCATTTTCTGTTCCCTCATCAATCCTCTAGTGCAGGCCAGGGGTAACAGATGGGTCGAGGACATTGGTTCTGATGCAGGACATCTCTGAGGGAAGCCTGCAGATTCCCATCCAGACATGGGAATAAAAAAGGGATAGCAGGAGGTTAGCAGCCCTGGCCCACCATCCCCCTTCTGGCCTTACCCTTGGCCCCAAGCCTCCCTGGCCCTGGGCCCAGCCTGCCCAGCGGGCACATGCCTGCAAGCCTCACCAGGAGGCGCCAGCCTGGCAGTTGGCCTCATGCCCAGAACTGAAACACAATAGTTCTCGCCAAACTTCCTGCAAGCTTTATTCCCAGAAGGGAAGGCTGTCCCCGAGGGGAGGTGCAGGGGAGATAGAGGAGGAGCCGGTGTGACTCCTGGCCAGGTCTGCAGATGCCTAGTTGGGCTCTGGGGCTGCCAGGGAGCCAATGAGAGCCCCTGGACAATGGTCTTACTCCTGGGCCCTCCCTTTCATGGCCCTAGGGAGCTCATGAGAGGCCCTGTGCCCTCACAGCAAGGTGAATCCATCTAGGAACATGAATCACCCCTCCCAGCCTCACTGCAGGAACTTCAGGCACAGTAACCACTGGAAAGGCTGAATCACAAACTATTCCAGACATTCCCATTGGCCAGGTGGGAAAATCAAGGCTCAGGGAGGTGGTACAGAGAGGTAGGGCCAGAGCTGAGCTGAAACCTAGGTCTTTTTTTTGTTGTTGTTGTTGGAGTCTCACTCTATCACCCAGGCTGGAGTACCATCTTGGCTCACTGCAACCTCCGCCTCCTAGGTTCAAGCAATTCTTCTGCCTCAGCCTCCCGAATAGCTGGGATTACAGCCTCATGCCACCGCACCTGGCTGATTTTTGTATTTTTAGTAGAGATGGGGTTTCACCATGTTGGCCCGGCTGGTCTCGATCTCCCAGCCTCCAGTGATTTGCCCGCCTCGGCCTCCCAAAGTGCTGGGATTACAGGCGTGAGCCACCACACCCGGCCAAGTTGAAACCTAGGTCTTTTTGCCCTGAGGCTGCCAGCCTTACTCCTGTGCCACTAAACCAGGAGAGCAAGGCTGCTGGGGAGTGGGGGGGTCATGGTGGCCTGCATGAGGGTGGATATGGGAGGAAGCTGCCTACCCAGGAGGGCAGGGAACAGCACTCTGGCTGCTCCTCCTCCTTCACCTCCAGGCAGGGGCATCTTCCCCTCCCCTCATTCTCCCCTGACAGGAGCATGGGGGAGAGAAGGAGGGGCAACCCTCATCAACACCTCTGTAGATGGTGACAGGCCCTGCTGGGTCCTGGAAGAGGGTGGGGGTGGCCTCCTCAGTCAGAGGAAGGAGAGGGGGGCCTCTCTGCAGGACTGGCACTTCTGATCTGGGGGGCATGTATTCTCACCTCCTAATTAGCCATCTTGCTAGGCAAGGACCACAGCCTGCACCAGGCAAGCCAAGGGAAGTAGGGGAGCAAGGCACAGGGATGACAGTTCTGGAGTGACACCCAGGGTGGAGCAGAGGAAACAGCTAGGGCAGAGGCGGGGAGGCAGGAGGGAGCTTGGTAGGTGTGAGAAACAGCCAGGAGGCCAGTGTGGCTGGAGCGGAGTGACCCACAGGGCCCGTGGGACAAGATGAGGTCAGTTTTCTGGGCCAGCTCCTGGAGGGCCCCACGGGCCATTGCAAGGCTCTGAGAGAAGCAGCAAGCTACTTCAGGGTTCTGAGCAGAGGAGAGAGAGGGTCTGGGTCCAATCTGTAAAGGCTCACTCTGGCGATTGGATGGGGTGGACGGAGAGTCGGAGAGGAAACAGAACTCCATCAGAGGCGAGTCGGGACATACAGGTGTCTGGGACCTGAGTGCTGACCTGAGGATGCTGAGAAGGGTCAGAGTCCAGATATAGTTTGAAGGTGGAGCTGACAGGATCTGCTGAAGAACTGGATAAGGGATGTAGAGGAAGAGAGGGAAGAATCAGGAAGGACTCCAAGATGTGGGGCTTGAACAACTAGAACAATGGCATCGCCATTAACTCATTAACGAGTTGGGGCAGACAGCAGGAGGAGGGGTTTGAAGGGGAGTCCAGAGTTCGTTAGCTTTGAGAGGCCAGTAGACCCCCAAGGGGAGCTGTTGAGGGGGTGTGTGGCTCCGATTGGTGGGCACCCCACGCTACCGTGAGAAATGGATGAAATAACGTTCCTAAAACTCCTCGGGGCAGAGCAGAGCCTCAGGCACTGTGCCCTTTTCTTTCTGTCTGCCTGAGGCTTCCAGGAGCCAAGGCTCAAGGTAGGAGCAGAGCAGCTTCCAGATAGGTCGGTCCAAGTCCTCATCTCCCCACTGGGGAAACTGACTCTCAGAACATGGCTGGCTTTGGGGCCCAGCATGGTGAGAGGCAGAGCTGGTTTAAACCTACCTCTCCTGACACTCAGGGCTCCTCAGGAGCCGGCCATTCTGAGCCAAGGACCCAGCCTGCCGAGGCTGCCACCAAAACCAGAGCCCGTCCAGGGCCCAGGTCCTTGCTCCTGTCTGGGCCTCAATTTCCTCTCTATGTAATAGGACATTGTTCTCAACCCCACCCAACCAGGGCCTGCCCTGGAAT
Organism: Homo sapiens; assembly: GCF_000001405.40. Lineage (NCBI taxonomy): Eukaryota > Metazoa > Chordata > Mammalia > Primates > Hominidae > Homo > Homo sapiens. The sequence continues at coordinate 71,746 of NW_021160016.1, forward strand.
GCAGGGTCTGACAGGCTGAGCTTTCCAGAGATGAGGAACAGCCTGCCAGTGGCCCCTCAGGGCCCTGCCTCCACCCTGAGGAGGTCCATTGCTCCTCTCCCAGAGCCAGGAGTGCCCCTCTATGGCCCCTCATATCAGCTGGAGGGACAAAGGGTAGGCAAGACCTCCTACCACGGGAGGCCTATCAAGGGTTAATCTGTGTCAGATTAACTGGAAGTGGTGAGTCAGCCAGCCGGCCAGTGGAGGACCAGGGCCAGGGAGGACAAGGACACCCCTGAGCCACAGCAGCCTCATGGCCACACCCCTCCCCACCCCACCGCGTTTATATGCCCAGCTCTGCCGTCTTCTCTGAGTCCCCACTGCCTCCCCAGTCAAACTGAGCCACCTCTGGGCCTTGGAAAGCTCTGCCCCTTCCCGCTTGCTGCCTTCGCTCCAGTGTTCTGCTCCTGGCCTGTCCTCCCTGACTCCACTCCTGCACCTTCTCCCAACCCTTTAAGGCCTCCTCCTCCCTGCTGTCTTCCCTGACCGCCTCAGCCGGCCAGGGCTTTGTCTTCTCTCAGCAGCTCTCGTTAAGATGGTCCTTTGGGCCATGAATCCACAAGTTACTAAGCTGCTGAGTCCCTGCTTGGGGCAACTGGTGTAGGAAGCCCCCTGCATGGGCAGGCACCTCTTCCTCCCTAGTCCGCAAGTTTCCTGGGTAGAAGACAGGTGGGGCATCTGGGACAGACACATGCATTCACCTCCACGTAATGCACTGAATGCCCCCATGAACGTGGAGAAGCTTTGTCAGCTGTAAAGTGCTGTGCACAGGAGGGACCTGAGGTGATGGGTGAGCTGAGGTGAGGTTACAAGATAGACTGAAGAAGGTGGCCCATTGTTAGGACTGCAAAAGCAGGTGGGATTTAGGAATTACAGACGAGGACACCTGCGAAAGCTAAGGCTTAGAAGTGGGACCAGACTTGAAAGGTGAGGTGGCCTGTCTCATCCTGCAGGAAGGGTAGGATCCAGGACTAGAGGAGAGGCACTGAGAGAGACGTGGGATGGGGACAGAAGTAGGGAGAAAATGGGGCCAAGGCGACTGCCTTGCAGAGTGGGCGGAAGGGTGACAGAGGGAGGCAGGCACTTGACGGAAGCTGTGAGTGGCTAGTGCTAGAGGGTGGCAGTGAAGGGAGGTGCCGCAGCAGAGGAGGCCACTCAGGGCCAGGTGCAGTAACTCATGCCTATAATCCCAGCACTCTGGGAGGCCGAGGCAGGCAGATCACCTGAGGTCAGGAGTTTGAGACCATGGGGAAATCCCGTCTCTACTAAAAATACAAAAATTAGTTGGATGTGGTGGCACATGCCTGTAATCCCAGCTACTGTGGAGGCTGAGGCAGGAGAATTGCTTGAACCTGGGAGGTAGAGGCTGCAGTGAGCCAAGATGGCACCACTGCACTCCAGCCTGGGCAACAGAGCAAGACTCTGTCTCAAAAAAAAAAAAAAACACTCAGCCCTGGCTCTCCCCACAGAACACTGAAGACCCAGAGGAGCCCCTGATCGCCTCCCAGAGCACGGAACCTGAGATCGGTCACCTGTCTCCCTCTAAGAAGGAGACCATCATGGTCACCCTCCATGGGGCTACCAACCTGCCTGCCTGCAAGGATGGCTCCGAGCCGTGGCCCTATGTGGTGGTGTAAGTAGCTGCGTGAGAGTGGGGGCAGGGGATGGGTTGGGCTGTGAGCAGAAACCAGGGGACAGCTATTTGGAATACTAGCACCCAAAGGCCCAGGACTGGGACTGTCATACCCAGAGGGGAGGAGCTGCTGTGGGCACTACCTGGCATCTCCGCTGCTGCATGGGAAGCTGCTCACCAGGGCTGGGGAAGACAGGGTGCCAACGGATCCAGAGAGTCACCCCTCCCCACCCCACACCAGTGGGGCAGGGATTGGTCACAGCTCAGCTCCAGTGGGGCAGGTTCCTTGTATGCAAAAGTCTGGGCTGGGCTCATGGGCATGATGGTCAGATTGGGGAAGGGGAAGATTTGGGACCTGCCTCTCCTGACTTCTGGGTGCCCCACCCCACCATACCCAGCCCTGGGGTAGGGTCCTCATAACCACCCTCCCCTCCTCCCCTCCTTCTCCAGTCACTTCTATTATGGGGACTCCCCTAGTTCTGGGCCTTTAATGCACCCCACACACCCCCTCCAGCCAGCTGCTGTCAGGGTACACACTTCCCCAGCCTGGCACCAAGGCCTGCCACGCCACGTCTATGCCCACCTCACGGGTCTCACTTCTTCCAGAAAGGCGCCAAGGGGCAACACAATCTCCATCCAGCCAACCTTCGCTGGGGACACTGAATATTTGCTCAATCTTTATTATAAAGCACCCTCCAAGGAGCATGTCACCCCTAGACCTTCTATAGACAGACGGCGGGAGCCTTGGTGGCCTCCCACCAAGCCACCCTATACTTCCCCTCCCCCACCAATACTGGCACCATTCAGTTCCTGCCAAGAGTCTGTTGCCCACATTTCCTTTTGGGGAGTGCCTGCCCCAGCCCACTCACCAATGCCTGCTGAAATCCTGCCTTCAAAGCCTCCTCCTCCAGGCAGCCACCAGAGTTGAGCTCTCCCTCTTCTGGAGCTCCACAGCAGTGGTGACCCTGGTCTGAAGCACTTTATATCAACATGGTTTATGCACTCCTCTGGGGCTCCCTGAGGACGGATCTCCTCCTCCATTTCCCTCAACAATGCATCCAACATAGGCCTGAGCCCAAACTTAGGAGCCAAGGAGTGACTGAGGCCAACACCTGGTTACTATGATAAGTCCCTGCCCCCCCAGGGCCCCCACTGTGAAAGGGGGGTAGAAGCTGTGCCGAGAGCAACAGGTGAAACACTTGCCTTAAAAGCCCCATTTGTGCCAGCCCAGCTCCTCGGCCATCCCTCCCCCAACTCCATTTCCGTGGTGAGGGAAGCACAGGTGGTGGGAGCAGGCTTGGCAGGGAGGCTGGTTTCTAGCGGGGAGCTCGCCTTCTCCGCTCAGCTATTTCCATAAACCAATTATCGCCGATCATCTCGGGAGATTGAGGCCCTGACTGTCACCAATCCGGCCTGGGCGGCGGGGCGGGGAGCTGGGTGGCTGTGTGGCTCCTAGGCAGGCACCGCGACCCGCGCCATCACCCGGTTGCCATGGGAACGCGCGGCAGGAGCCTAGGCGACACGAGCCTGGGTGGGGGTTCGGAGAGCCGGGCACACCCCGAGTCCTCCTGCACCCTCCCTGTGGCTGCGGCACGTGGGGCGGGAGGGTGGGGACAGAGAACGCGGGGAGGGGGGAGGGGAAAGCACTTCGCTGCACCCTTCTCCAGCTGGGAGCAGCGCCCGGGCCAGGCTGCAGCCTGCGTCCCAGGGCTCCAGACAGGCGAAGCTGCCACCAGCTCGAGGTGGTGCTAATGAGATGCAAATGATGGGAGAAGGAAGGGCTTCTGAGAATGTGAAGGCCGAGCTGTCAGGACCTGAAGGGGGCTTTCAGTGCTCACCCCCAGCCCCAGGCAGAAACCCCAGAGGGAGGATCCAGACCCTCAGAGGCCATAGAACCTGGAAAGAATTTATATCCCTGCACATCTGATTACAAATAAACAAGTAACAAAGCACACAATAGGCATAAGAAAGTTCATGAAAGTTTTCGTTTTGTTCATGATGAATATTTCAATGCTTTTTAAAAATATGTATTTGTGAAGACTTCAATGTAAGACCTGCAACTGTAACACCCCTAGAAGAAAACACAGGGGAAAGGCTCCTTTACATTGGTCTTGGCAATTAATCTTCGGATATGACACCGGAAGTACAGGCAACAGAATCAAAAATAAGTGAGACTGCATCAAACTGAAAAGCTTCTGCGCAGCAAAGGGAATAATCCACAAAACAAAAAGGCAGCCTATGGTATGGGAGAAAATATTTGCAAAACATGTATCGGATAAGGAGTTAATATCCAAAATATATGAGTAACTCATACAACTCAATAGCAAAAAGACAAGTAACCCAATTTAAAAAATGAGAAAAAGACCCGAATAGACATTTTTCCAACAAAGAAATACAAATGGCCAACAGGCACATGAAAAGGTGCACATCGCTAATCATCAGGGAAGTGCAAATCAAAGCCACAAGGAGATAGCACCTCACACCTGTTAGGATGGCTGTTCTCAAAAACACAAGAGATAAGTGTTGGTGCGGGTGTGGAGAAAAGAGAACGCTTGTACACTGTTGGTGGGAATACGCAGTAAAATGGTGCAGCCATTATGGAGCACAGCACGGAGGTTCCTCAAGAAATTGAAAATAAAACTACCATATGATCCCGCAATCTCACTACTGGGTATATATCCAAAGGAAACAAAATCAGTATTTTGAAAAGATATCGGGCCGGGCGCAGTGGCTCACGCCTGTAATCCCAGCACTTTGCGGGGCCGAGGTGGGCGGATCACAGGGTCAGGAGTTCAAGACCACCCTGGCCAATATGGTGAAACCCCATCTCTACTAAAAATACAAAAATTAGCCGAGCGTGGTAGCAGGCACCTGTAATCCTAGCTACTAGGAAGGCTGAGGCAGGAGAATTTCTTGAACCTGGGAGGCAGAGGTTGCAGTGAGCCAAGATTGCGCCACTGCACTCCAGCCTGGGCAACAGAGCGAGACTCCCATCTCAAAAAAAAAAAGTAAAAGAAAAAGAAAAGAAAAGATATCTGGGCCTGGTGCAGTGGCTCATGCCTGTAATCCCAGAACTTTGGAGGCTGAGGCAGGTGGATCATCTGAGGTCAAGAGTACCCCTATATTCATTGCAGAATTATTCACAATAGCCAAGATATAGGATCAACCTAAGTGTTTGTTGATGAATGAATGGATAAAGAAAAAATGTCATATATATATATATACACACACACACACACACACACACACGTCATATACATATATTTGTATATACTTGTGTCATATATACACACACAATTATATATTGTATACATATATATCCACATATAGACAACATATACACAATGTAATATTATTCAGCCATAAAAGGGAGGACATTCTGCCATTTGCGATAATGCAGATGAGCCTGGAGGACGTTATGCTAGATGAAATAAGCTAGACACAGAAAGACAAATACTGCATAATCCCACTTAATGGAATCTAAGATAAACTCATAGATGCAGAGAGTAGAATGGTGGCTGTCAGGGGCTGGGGATGAGGGAAATGAGGAAATGTTGGCCAAAGGATACAAACTCTCAGTTTTGGGATGAGTAATTCTGGGGATTTAATATGCAGCAGGTGACTCTAGTTAATGATACTATATTGTGGCTGGGCACGGTGGCTCATGCCTGTAATCCCAGCATTTTGGGAGGCCAAGACAGGTGGATCACCTGAGGTCAGGAGTTTGAGACCAGCCTGGCCAACATAGTGAAACCCCATCTCTATTAAAAATACAAAAACTAGCTTGGCGTGGTGGTGGGCACATGTAATCCCAGCTACTTGGGAGGCTGAGGCAGGAGAATCACTTGAATCTGGGAGGTGGAGGTTGCGCTGAGCCGAGACTGTGCCAGTGCACTCCAGCCTGGGCGACAGAGTGAGACTCCGTCTAAAAAAAAAAAGATATTATATTATGTATTTGAAATGTGCTAAGAGTAGATTTTAAGTGTTTTCACCACATACACGAAAGGTAACTGTGAGGTGATAGATGTGTTAACTAACTTGATCATGATGATCACTGCGGAAAGTATATGTGTATCAAATCATCACTGTGTACATTTTAAATACATCTAAATTTTATTTTTTATTTGTCAATTATGCCTCAATAAAACAGCGAAAATATGTATATATATTATATATATTATATATAAGTTTACATTCTTTCCAAGCATTTTTTCTCATCTTTTTGCTGCCCCTGTTTTTTGGTACCCTGAGCTTAGTCTCCTGGCTTGGTTTCCTGCCCTCTGCCATCCCATCTTCTCTCACCTGAGGTTGGGGATGGATATCCTGGGAATCCCTGTCTCAGCCTGGATTCTGTCCTTCTCTCTGGGTTTGTTGCATCCCTAGCAGGCAGGACCACAGTTGCAGGGATCGGGGCAGGGGAAGTAGTGAAGCACAGACCTGAGAGTGCCCCAGAACTGTTCGTTCATTCATCCCCTTAGTGGGGAGCTGAAGAGGGTTCAGGCCCAAAGATGGTGCTTCTCTTGTTTGGGGCATGGCCATTTCACCCCTTAAGGAGGCACCAGGCTTGAGCCCATATAGTAATAGGCACATCCTCCAGCCAAAACTATTCCAGACCAGCAGGCACTTGGCTCATCTTGGGGGTCAGCCTGTCTTCATCTAAGCCACTGGTTGGCTTCCAATCTGACCCCACTTCTCCACCAATATAGCTTCTCTGTAGTCACCAGTGACCACCATCTCTGACCCTGCATCCAACGGGCATCTCATCTTTTGCGATCTCTCAGGTAAAGGAAATAATGTATACAGTGGTCCATTGCCAAGACAAAGTGCCTTAAATCAGCTTAGATCAGCAAACTACAGAAGAAACCGGATATATACTAGGCCCCTGCTTGGATAGCCAACGCCTGCTTGTCGGCAGCCCCCCACCCTCCCTGCTTAGTCGCCCTCACCAGAACAAGAAGTTTAGTCTAAAATGAAAGTTTATTAGTCTGCAAAATAGCTCATTTTGTCTGTTTTTATCAGCCCGCCCAGCTGCTTAGGTCATAAGCCAAATACTTGAGGCCGGGTGCAGCGGCTCACACCTGTAATCCCAGCACTTTGGGAGGCCGAGGCGGATGGATCATGAGGTCAGGAGATCGAGATCATCCTAGCTAACACAGTGAAACCCCGTCTCTACTAAAAATACAAAAAAAATTAGCCGGGTGTGGTGGCGGGTGCCTGTAGTCCCAGCTACTCGGGAGGCTGAGGCAGGAGAATGGCGTAAATCCAGGAGGTGGAGCTTGCAGTGAGCTGAGATCAAGCAACTGCACTCCAGCCTGGGTGACAGAGCGAGGCTCCGTCTAAAAAAAATAATAAAAAAATAAAAACAACTTGAATAGCCCCTGAGCTAACTAGGATTGCAGTGCATTGTGGGCTGCAAAAAATGCAATAAGACAACCCAAAAACAAACAAACAAACAAACTTAAAGCTAACAATCAATAGGTGACATCTGGGAAAACTGTGACCCCGCAGTATTCACCCTATGAGGAACCGGGGGAGAGACCCGTGCACTAGGGGTAAATTGCTTATTGAAACTGTGCTGGGTGTGCCTGCCTATCAGACACCCAATCTTGCAAGACCCGTGTTAAAAGTCTCAATTTCGCTGTTCCCTGGGTCTCTGAGTCCATTCTTTGGGTTTGGACGGGTGAATTTGTTTATTACACAGAGGCAGCAGCCCCTCCAGACAACTCAGTCTCTTTGAAGCCCTTTCTCCCCCTCCAAGTTACCCCACTCTCCCACCTTCCCCTATGGCCACATCTCTTGATCTCGTCTACCTGACCTTAAATGTTAGCCTGTCTCAGGTTTCTGCCCTATGTGGCTCTTCTTTCTCTAGCCTGTACTCTTTTTCCATGTGATCCCACCCCATCCTGGTGTCAGGAATCACATTCTTCCCTCATCCAATCCATCACCAAGTCATGTCCATGTCTCCCGGTCTCTCGGATTGAGCTGCTTCTCTCCACCAGCTCCACCACCGACTTAGGCCACCGCACTATTTCTCCAACTGCTCTTGGTTCCTCTACTCTTGCTCCCTGAAGATCCCTTCAAAGGCAGGTTACCATTGGGTACTGTGGTGCCATAGTACCAAAGGAACTCAGTGGCTTCCCATTGTTCCCAAAGTAAAGAGGATTCCAGGCTCAGCACGGTTGGGTCTTTGCCGGCCCCTCCAGCTCCCCAGCAACAGGACCTCCACCTCCCTCTCTTTGCTCCAGCCACACTGGACATCTCTCCGTTCTCTGAGCAAACCCTGTTCCCTCCCACCCTAGGCATTCTCAGAAACATTCTGAGAAACATTCCCAGAAACATTCTCCCTTCCCCTTTTCCCATCTCAGCTGTCCTCACTGATCTCCCAGATGAGGCCAAATCCTCCCTCATTACATGTTTTCATGCGACTCTGTACCAGGATATGTGCTTATGCACTTTATGTGATTATGTGCGTACTCTTTGCCAGTGCCTCCCCATCCCGCCTCCACTGTGCCCCACTAGTTCCGTGGACAACCACCAGGTCTGCTTTGCTCACCATTTTATTCCTATCATGAAACACAGTATCTGGAACATAGGAAGCTGTCACTAAATAATCGTCGAATGAATCTGGCCCTGTTTCTAGCTTGCTGTATGACTGTGGGAAAGTTACTTTGTCTTTCAATGCCTGAAAACCTCACCTGGGAACCTGTCTCAAAGGGCTATAGAGATGGTGGTGCTAGACAGTGTGAGATGCTGCGGGTCTAAAGCTCTACAGGGGGAAGGGGGAGTCCTGAGCAGGCTCACAGTGGGCACTGAGACCTATCATAAGAAAGCCACAGGACAGTGGAAAGAAGCCAGGCTGGGTACAGGAAGACCTAGCATCTGGCCCACTGCCCCTGACTCCCTGTATGAACTCAGGCCAGTCCTTGCCTTCTCTGAGCCTCAGTCTTCCCATGGCCAGGATGTAAGCTTTGGCCTGCATGCTGCTGCAGGCCTGCCTGGCTGGCTTGTGTTCTGGCCTGGGAAACACTCTCAGTTCTTTAGAGAAAACAAGAACCCCAGCTCTGCCACCCGAGACAGATTCTGTGCCCAGGTCTACTGGGCCAGTCTCCAGGCCCAGGGTGTCCCATGACTGGTCTAGGCCTGGCTCAGTGCCCTGGGGCTTGAACAGTACCCAGCACCTGTCACCCAGCCTGACACAGAGAGACCTGCCAGTCAGAGCACAGCAGGGACCAGGAAGACAGTGGCACTGACAGGCACGGGGTGCCCCAGTGGACAGGATGAGATATGGAAAAGGGGCTAGCCAGGAGATGGCCTGTGGGGTTCTGACCCTTGGCCAAAGGCTGCATGTCAGGGCTGCCAGCATTGGCAGCTGCTTCTTCGGCTGCCTGCTGCCCAGAGCTAATGAGTGGGGACAGAGCCAGGACTCGAAGGGGAAGGCGCTGCTTCCTCTGTGCATGTGGGGCAGGCTTGGGATGGCACAGGGGAGGTGGCACAGATCAGGGCCAGCTAGAGTCATACTCAGAGGATCCTTGGTTTTCTTAGATAAGCCTGAGAGCCCTGACCCTGGCCCTACACTGAGCTTGACCTTGATTGTAGACTGAGCTCAGCCCTGACCCTGGTCACAGACTGAGGCTGGCCTTGGTCACAGGATGAGCTCTGACTCTGGTGACTAATTGAAGAAGATGTTAAAAGTAGGACAATTGTTTGAAATCCTGGCAAGAGGGGGGATAAAGAAGGTTACAGTTATCAAATACTCACCATACCCCTGAGAAATAAGCTAGGAGTGTATTGTGTGTTTCATACAGTTTAATCGCCACCCAGTCCTATAATTGAGGTATAATATTATCATTAAACCTCATTTTACAGATGAGGTTCCTGAGGCTCAAAGCATTTCCATGACTTGCCCAAGGTCACAGAACTAGTTAGTACCCAAAGGAGGATGCAGGATCCAGGATTTCAAAATCTAAAAGCTCCCTCCACCTCATTCTTTGCCTTGATATTTCATGCCGTGGTTACCCCTTTTGGAAGGGGGGTTGTTGAGACAGGATGCTAACCCAGACTTCCAGAGAAGATGCAGTGACTAGTGTGGAGACCCATCCTGGGATCTGGAGTTCTCCTTCCTCCCTGTCTGGCTGGGGGCCTTCAGTCAAGGACCCCTGAAGGCAGGGATCTGGGCAGAGTGGGTGGAGGCTCACAATGACTCACAGGTGACCCATGGGCTTGTCTCAGCAGCCAGAGGGTTGGGCTCAGCAAAAATAACAATAACACAGTGACAGTGATCATGGGATAGTCCCAGGAATAAGGCAGCCCTCACTTGCTGATGATGTTCCACTCGAAGCTCACTGCGAGCTCGGCTATTTACACCCTCTGGTTCTAACGGTGCAGTCCTGGAAGCAGGCTGCGTTATTCCCATGTGATAGTGGAGGAGGCCAAGGCCCAGGGGAGAATGTGGATGTGTCTGAGGTCACATGGCTGGCCAGTGGGAGTGGAGCAGATGAAGATGACTATTCCCATCTGGCCGCTGGCTCCTACAGAAGCCAAGGCTCCTTCTCTTCCAGCAGGATCCCCATGGGAAAAAAGACAAGGGTGGGGAGCAGGCCTGGGGTGAGGCCTGGGAACCAGGGTCTTCATCTACCCTGCAGGGCCCCCACACCATGGTTTGATTTTCCACCCACACCTGCCCCCCATGACATCAGTTCCTGGAGACTCAGAACCTCAGAATTTTTGTTCAGTGAGAACTTCCCTTTGTCCCAGGGTTATAAACACAGCTGGTGTCAGTGGTTGAAGGATGGTTGGCCTGAGAACCATCCCCAGCCAGACCGAAGCCATAAGGATTCTTTCCAGATGTTCTCCCATCTCTGCCACCTGGGGCCCCTAAGGTGTTCTCATGCCTGAAACCCCCATTCAGACTCAAGAAGCATGAGTTCTCCCCCACAGGCTTCTTCTGGAATCCTGCATAACAGCCTCAGAGGGCATTCATGGGGGAGATTTGGGGCCATGAGGCAGGCCAGAGGGGGCCTTCCTGGTGTCCTCATTGCATCCTGCATGGGCTGTCTCCTCTGCTTACTCCTGAGCATGGGCAGAGCGGCTGACAGCCTCCTCCTCCCTCCCTGGTCATCATGAGCAGCCAGGAGGCTTGGTGATCCCTCCAGACTTTATGTAGCTTCCCTCTCCCTAGCCTGGCCCCCGTGGGTCCCAGGGTCACATGCCACAGGGTCTAGCTTGTAGTGGAGTGAGGGAGGCCATTGAGCAGGGGCTGGGGCTCTGGGCACCGATTAGGCTCCTCCTACCCCTGTGTATTCCCTGATTCTGTCATCCTTCCATGCACACACTTAAGTTTCCAGCAGAAGGAGCTGCCCTGGAATCCCGTTGATCTCCTCGTTCCCCCCCTCCTTCTCTGAGGCTCCCCCTATCCATCCAGAAACCTGTGAGATACTGAACACCATTATCAGGGAGAAGCTGAGCTCAGAGATGCTTAGGGGATGTGCCACACAGTCAGCAGCAGTGGAGCCGGGAGCCAGAATTCAAAGTCAATGTCTTCAGGGCCAATCTACTTATGCAAATCCTGTAGTTCCTGGCATGTGATGCAATAGAGAGAGGAAGCAACTGTGGCAAACCAGAGAGCACCTGGCTCATTCAGAGGAGTAGCCCCTGCCCGTCCTACTGATCTCTACATGGAAGAATGAGGGCATGGGTTGTCAACCCTCTTCATTTTTGTTTATGTTTAATTATTAGGTTTTTTTAATGTGTAGAGATGGGGTTTCACTGTGTTGCCCAGGCTGGTTCAAACTCCCGGCCTCAAGTGATCCTCCCACCTTGGCCTCACAAAGTGCTGACATTACAGGTGTGAGCCACCCTGGCCAGCCTCTCTCAATTTTATTTATTTTATTTTTTTATTTTTTGAGATGGAGTCTCACTCTGTTGCCTGGGCTGGAGTGCAGTGGTGTGATCTCAGCTCACTGCAACCTCTGCCTCCCAGGTTCAAGAGACTCTCCTGCCTCAACCTCTTGAGTAGCTGGGATTACAGGCGCGCGCCACCACTCCCAGCTAATTTTTGTATTTTTAGTAGAGATGGGGTTTCACCATGTTTGTCAGGCTGGTCTCGAACTCCTGACTTCATGATCTGCCCGCCTCAGCCTCCCAAAGTGCTGGGATTACAGGCGTGAGCCACTGCGCCCGGACGCCTCTCTCAATTTTTAAAGAGAAACCAGAAATCCAAATGTTTGTGTAAAATCAGCCAAGTTTTACTTTCAGGCCAAACACCTCTGGTCAGTGAGGATCTCTGGGCCCCTCATTGTTCCTCTCCTGAACCCTCAACCCAACTCGGACACCACCGGTGCCTCCAGCTTTGCTGACTGGTCCCCCTCTGCCAGGGGAGTGACCTCCCAATGGCTGTGCATCCTCCACACATGTATAAGTAGGCATTCTCCTTTCTTGAAGCCCCTTCTTTCCTCGCCTCCAGGACAACTCCCTCTCCTGATTTTCTACCCTGTCTCTGGCCACTCCACTGTGGGATACTCTTTGTCCCAGTACCCTGCGAATGTCAATGCTCCTGGCTCAGTCCTTGGCCTCTCCTCTGCATCTCTACCCTCCTTCTTTTTTTTTTTTTTTTTTTTGAGACGGAGTTTCACTCTTGTCACCCAGGCTGGTGTGCAATGATGTGATCTCGGCTCACTGCAACCTCCACCTCTGGGGTTCAAGCAATTCTCCTGCCTCAGCCTCCTGAGTAGCTGGGATTACAGGCGTGTGCCAACACACCCGGCTAATTATTGTATTTTTAGTAGAGACGGTGTTTTGCCATGTTGGCCAAGCTGGTCTCGAACTCCTGATTGCAGGTGATCCACCTGCCTCGGCCTCCCAAAATGCTGGAATTACAGGTGTGAGCCACCACGCCTGGCCTCTATACTTTTTAAGAGATCCCCCCTCACCTAGGCATCCCCCTTTCCCCCCATCCTGAAAGCCCCAGAATCCCTGGATCCAGCCCTCTCCTGAGCTCCAGTTCCATAGACCCACCTGCCAATATACGTCTCCACTCAGACTCAGCCTTCCTCATTGATCTCCTCATCCTCCCTCCTTCTCGAAACCTGTGAGATACTGAGCGCTGTTATCAGGGAGGAGCTGAGCTCAGAGATGCTTAGGGGATGTGCCACACAGTCAGCAGCGGTGAGCCAGGAGCCAGGACTCAAGCCCACGACTGGTGAGCCTGAACACAAAGCTGTCTCTCTGGTCTTCAGCAAGCCTGGCCTGGGAATGCTCAGGAGGCCCTGGGGTTTTATCCCTGGGAGGGCAGGCTGTGGCCTACCCCTTCCCTGTTCCCATACAAAGGTGGGGACAGAGGAGCAACTGGCCCTGAGTGAGGAGAGGAGCTAGTGGGCATGGCCCCCTCCCTCTCCTGTCGACTTCCCAGCGGTGTGCTCCTGCGGTGCCCTGTGGCGTTGGAGGAGTGGGGCCTAGGGACTAGCCGGGGACTGTGGCAGGGACTCTCAGGATGGTCAGTGTGGCTAACAAAACCAGACCTCGATCCCTCCACAGCACCCTGGAATGGGACAGAGAGACCAGGGGCCAGGCTGGACCGAGGCGCTCAGTGCCCCCTGGGCCTGGAGGGAGCCCAGTTCCCCCACTTTCCCCCCACAGCTGGGTTCTGCTTCCCCACTTTGGGGACACGCTCTTGGGACAGGACTTGGGATCTGAACCCTCCTCCCAGCCAAGAGCTATTTCCAGGACAGTTCTGAGGAGCTGCCACTGGCTCAGCAGCCTGGGCCAGTGAGTTGGCCTGGCAGAGCTTGAAAGGAGGGGCTGCCACTGTCCCACCTGATTTTCCAGTGGTCTGTCCCTTCTTCTTTCTTTCAGCAAACACCTGCTGGGCCCCACTTTGCCCAGGCAGTGGGAACTGAGCTCCAGCAGCGACAAGACAGGTCCCTGCCCTTGAGGGGTGAACAGTCTAGTAGTGGTGGTGAGGGTGGGGAGGCGCCAGGAATCATAATGCTGTCCCCACTCACTCATCCTTTGCCCACAGTCTCCCAGGAAGGCGGCCATCCAGGCTCCAGTCGCCAGCACTAGGGTATCGGAGCCCCTCAGGAGGCTGGGCTCTGTGTCTGAGCCAGGGAGTGGCCCCAGACCTCAAAACGTGGACTGAACACCACACGAGTTAAGCAGGGAATGAGAATCAGAATGACAGGAATCAGAAGAGTCCGGTGATTTCTGTGAGGTCAGGAAGTTCGACTTTATGTCTGGCCCACGTTCCTCCTGCCCTAAGGCTGCGTACGGGAGAAAGGGGGTACTCGAAAGAGTGGCTGTTCAGAGTGACCGAACCATTGAGAGGATTCCACGTCCTGGCAAGTCCTGCTGGGTTGCTCATCCAGGCCCACACCTTCCAAGGGGACTGTCATTGCCTCCCCATAGGACTGTGATGGTGACTGACAGGTCCACCCATTGCGGCCCAAGAAGGTGGCTCCCAGGGCCCCTCACCAGCTATGCCACAGGACAGGACACGGCATGACACTCCAAAGGCTGACAGATGGTGCAGACAGCGGCCCTTCCTGACCCTGCATCGCCTCCAGCCTCAAAAAGAGCAAAAAAGTATCTCTGGAAAACAAGGAAATCCCCTTCCCAGAAGAGGGTAGAAGGTGCAACAATGCCCAGAACACCGGCACTTAAGCCTGACTTTGGGCCATCACAAAGCTCTGTGGGCTGTGGCTTTCTCCTTGTCCGCCATGGGTGGAAAGGAGGGGTACCCACACTTTTGGATGAAGTGTGAGTAGTGGTGGGGTGGAGGAGCAGCATCCTTGTTTGACAGGAAGATCTTTGCCTTTGCTAGAGTGCTTCTCAGAGTTTCTCGGAAGGTGCCCTTTCTTTTTCCCAGAGCAGCCCCCATGCCCTGCAGGCAAGGGCAGGGGAAGAGCTGGGCCCTCAGGGACTGGGAGCTGCTGGCCTCCAGTTGGTGCCCTCCTTACTCCAGAGTCAGTTATTCTGTAAACTGAGGCCCACCTGCAGTGTTGTAGCACCATCAGGAATTAGTGATGCTTCATTAGAGTCCAATTAATAAATGAAACCCAGGATGAGAGTCCCTCGCGTTGCTGAGAATAACAGCCCTGCTCATGCCTTAAGTGGCAGCCTCCTGGGGCTCAAAACCCACAAGGACCAGCTGCCCTGCCGTCAGCATGGGGCTGGGGGAGGCGGCAGCACAGACTGGGGGCCTTGTCAAGGCTGTTGTCTGGTGAAGCGGGGGCGAGAAGAGAAGGGAGCTTCAGCACTGACTCCCTGCCTCAGATCTCAGCTCCTCCTTTGAGGAGTCCCTGGGCACAACCCCCTGCCCAGCAATCCCAGGGGAGCTTGGCTAAGGCCAGAGGTGTGAGGGCTGGGGCTCTTCCCTCCTGCCTGCCTGGCTTCAGAAGACACTGATTGTGGCCACGGCAAAAAGGGGCCTTGAGAGGGACTCGGGGGAGAACCACAGCCTCCCTCTCCTGACTCCCCCAACCCATGCTCCGAAGTCAGCACCTGCATCAGCCAAACAGCCCCCCTCAAGCCTCACCTTCTCTCCTCTAAGTGGAAAGATCCTCCAATCTATCTGTTCAAGCCCTGCCTTCTCCAGGTTTAGGGTCAGAAACACAGGAACCCAGACTTTGGCCACCCCATTCAGATGACTGTCTCTGCAGAAGCCAACTCCACACCTCCTGTTGCATAAGACTGGGCTCCTGGATTGGGAAGAGGTCACTGGGTTTTTCAGAGCTTCCAGGAGTGGAGGCAGGCCTAGCCTATGGCCTGGGAGTCTGGCAGCCTCTTGGACTTCTGGAGGATGGGGGAGGCAGGCCTCCCTGGCTCAGAAGTTGGCATGGAGGAAGCAGGTTGAGGAGAATTGCCCTACCTTCTCAGGAAAGATTGAGACCCAACCATTACACCTTGACAGCTGGCCTGCAGGACTGCCAGTTCCCTCACCTCCCTCTCAGTTTCCCAGGTGAGCCAGCAATGGGTTGTGATGGGCCAGGTCAAAGGTGCCCAATACCTCCTATTCCACCATCCATCCACTTAAAGGTCTGCTCCTTATCCACTATTCCCAGTGCCTGCCTGACTTCCCCAGTGCCAGGGGCTTCTGGGAACATCACTCTAGTCTCTCAGGATTTACAAGCCTGCCCAGCCAAGACCCCAGCAGCCACAGCAGATCTGAGTCAGGGCCCTCCCCTTTCCTTTGCTCTCTTGGTGGCTGTCCTGGGATTGGCACTCAAAACAAACCAGGCCGCCTGTGCCCCAGCTTCTAAAGCTCTGCCCAGGAGGCGGCCAGGTCTTGACTATTGTTCATGATTTGAGGCTTTGAGGGAGCCAGAGGCCAACAGGACAGGCAGGGCAGGTGGGGGAGGTGGGCTCAGGTGTGAATAGAAGACCCCAGAGGCAGCCTGAGGACTGGGTAACAAGAGTGGGTACAGTATGGTACTCACACCTCTCTGGGCAGCCTTTGTGCACGTGCATGTGTGCATGTATGTGTGTGTGCATGCATTTGTGCGCATGTGTGTGCATGTGTGTGTATGTATGTGTGGATGTGTGTGTGTGTCTCCTGGAGTGAGGGGGAAAGCGGCTCATGAGCACTCTTGCTTTCTGTCCATCAAATCCCATGCTTTTCCGATGCTCATTTCTTCCACTCACAGCTGCAGCCCCCGGGAACCAGATGACATATTTTCCCTTAGTCATGACCTTGCAGAAGGAAAGCAAAGTCCTTGTTCCCTCCCACTCACAGCTGTGCTTGAGCCTGGCCCCCTTACACCCTGCTGGGGTGGGGGCCCCAGGAATGCCTAGCTGGGGACTGGAGTTTGTCAAAGACACACACACCCTTCCAGCAGCCTGGAGGGTAGGCCAGGTTGAGGGAGGTTTATGTTTTCCTGCAGCTTGGTCTCAGGGCTGCTGCACTCTAAACCCAACTCCAGTCCTATCCTGGCATGGCTGCCCATGCTGTGGCTGGATTAAATCTGGCCCCGAGACAGCAGGCACCACCCACTAGCTCCTCCTGGCCCTGGATGCCTGGAGCCAACGGGTCCAAGTCAACAGGGCAGGTCTTTGGGGGGACAGGGAGGGGGGTCTCTCCTTGCAGACAGCCTGTGGAGAGGCCTAGGGAAGCAGGTCTTGGTGAGGTCCCCTGGGTTCTAAGACTGCATTGGGAGCCCCGAGAGAGCCTGGGGACCTGGAACTCAGCCACGTGCCCATCTGCGGGGTGCAGAATGGGGCTGGGAGCAGGGAGTGAGCTCATCCCCTGCTCCTATTCTGTGAAGAATCAGAGGCCCTTCTTGCTCTCCAGATTCTAGAATAGCATCAAGACCCGGAGGAGTCAGCTGTGCCAGGAAAAGCCATTACCCCGAGAGCCTCCCTCCACCTGCTAAAAGCCTCCCCCTTCCCCTGGGGCCTCCCCCTCCCACCCAGTTGCTTTATCTGCACTCACCTAGCCCTGATGACCTTCATATTAGATGGGGCAGGGAGGTGGGGAAAATAGTTGCTTAACTCTTTCTCTGCTGGAGGAAAGTCAGCACCTGCTCCCTTGCCTTGCCCCGTCACCTTTACCCACCTCTTTGCACCTGGGAATTCCTCCTGCCACCCTCCCAGGAGGGTTGGGAGGATACGAGGACAGTAGAAGACAGGCTGGCATGGGGTTCAATCTGAATCCTGTCACTATGTTGCCTGTGACTTCACACCTTCATTTGTGTCTTCTCTGTGCACACAGAGCCACATGAAGATCCCTGGGAATCCCCCAGGAATGTGTCCATGCAGGTGCAGTTTTGTGTCCAGCTCTGGGGTTGACATCTGGGTGCAGAAGGACTGACTTCTTCCTGACACACCCTTGGCGCTTCTGCTTTTCTGCTGTTTCTGTGCAGGTCCCTGAGGAGGGAGGCTGTGAGGCCTTATTGTGCACTAACTATATATCTATAAGTAGCAGATCGGGTGGCTGGGTAGCACAGGGAGGCTGCTGAGAGCCTGAGGTCTCTGACTTTGCTGGGGCAGCTGTCAGGAGCGGGAGCCTAGGCACAGAGCGTCATGGGAGGTACTTAGATTGCACCCCTTGGTCAAGCATGGTCACAGAGCCGGAGGGAAAAAGGGACCCGAGGGTGGAGGGAGCAAGCTGAGCGCCACGTTCCTGCCAGGCTTCTGCCTTCCCTCTCTAGCCTGGCAGCCTCCCACACACCACTTTGCGGGTGTGAGGAGTCCATTCTGCAGAGCCTGCAGGGGTGTGTCTGGATGGACGCTCATCTGAGAAGGACTCCGGCTCTCTGGGAGATGCCCCTTCTCACCCCAGCTTGTACTCAGTGCTCCTTCCCCTTCATGCTGCCCTCAGGCAGGTCCTCTTGCAAAAACACCCAAGCTGTTTTGTATCACAAATGAGGGAATAACATGAACTGGGGCTTTCTGGATGCCAGGAGCTGAACATGCTTTCTTTCCAGTCCTTATAACACTCTCTCAGGGCGGTACTATTGAAAAAGGAGGAACTTAGTAGGTGCAGAGGGGAGATGATCTCGCCAGGATAAACGCGGGCTCCAAACCCAGCTCTGAATCATTCCCAAGCCTGTGCTCTTTCCAGGATTCCACACCTTGGCCCGAGCAGCCAGACATTCCCAATTGTAGACCCAGAACTGGGGGCATGATGGGGAAAAATCACGCCACGGCAAAGGGGCTGGTCACAGGAGGGTCAATAAGGCTAAGCTCTCTGGTGCTATGGGGTAATAACAGGAATCATATTTATATTTTAATAATTTAAGGTACTAAGAATTATTAACACTTTCTTGGTACTTAGCAATGTGCCAGGCACTACACATATTCATTCGTTTCCTTCCCACAACCGCCCTGCAGGCTGGGCACCGTTAGCATCTCTGTTTTATAGATGAAGAAAATAAGGCACCACAGGTTCTGTACCTTGCCTAACATCACACAGCTGGCACGGGGTAGAGCTGGGATTTGGAACCCAAAATGCCCAGCTGCAGGGTCCTTCTTACAATCACTGTGTCATACTGCCTCAGTCAAAGCACAGCAGGAGTCCTCAGTTGACCCCTGGAACTTGGAGATGGAACTCCTGCAAGCATGGTCACCCACAGAAGAAGGGCTCCTGCAAGCATGGTTACCCACAGGAGCAGGGCTGTGATGAGTGGGAGCAAGGAGCCAGGTCACAGCGTCACTTAAGTCTAAAGGGCAGAGGGAACAGTGAGGGCCGGGGGACTCCAGAGGGCTTCTTGGAGGAGAGGAACAAGCTGGGCTGGGAAGAACCATGTTGGTATTGCTAATGCACAGAGAAGGTGGGGTCTGAGCCAACTGGCCTGCCCCACACTCCCTTTGGGGTCCTTGAGGGTGAAACAAGGGCTGGTGGGGATGACGTCTTTGTTCCCATCCTGGGGTACCATTAGTGCGTCTTGCCTCCCTCCGCAAGGTGTGTGGTGTGGCTCCCCCTGCTACAGGATCTCTGGGATGATTCCTCAGCCCATGACTGCTGCAGTTAATGGAGCAGCGCTGGGGATGGCCCTGGCCTAGTAACCTCTTCTACAGAAGAAGTATTCACTCTCTCCCTGAGCCGTTTGACGGCTCTGGATCTCCGATATCTGTGGGGTGCACTGGGATGCAGAGGGCCCAAGCTTACCTCTCACCTTATACAGCCTGGTCCTGAACAATCTGAGTGCTTGAGGGCTGGAAAGCCCTTTCCACCACCCCCTGCCCCCAGGCCTGGACCCAGCTCCAGGTTTCCAGCTCCAGGGGCCCAGCCCAAGGCCCTGCACACAGCAGGCATCTCAGAAGGCAGCAGGATGTGCGTGCTTCATTGCAAGCATTTAGAACTGGGATTGCCGGGTGGAGCCTGGAAATCTGGGCCAGAAGTTTAGGGAAATAAGGTGAAGAAGAGAGGACAGCCAGGCGGGGCATCGCACAGCCACTCTGCCCAGAGGATTCCTCCCACCGAAACAGAACCTAGAGAAGAGGGAGGCCATGCACACGGGCTCCTGCTGGAGAGCCCTCCCTGGCAAGGGCTAGGAAGTCAGGCGGGCAAAGCATCTACCCTCTACCCCCATCCCTACCCCTGCCCTGAGCCTCTCTAAGTGAGAGGCTTGTGACTAAGTGAAGGCCTCAGTAGTGGCCAGCGAGACAGTGTGGTCACCTGGGCTGGCAGGAGAGCTGGGGGAGAGGCCTGGGATGACACAAGTGTCTATGCATGGGACAGAGCTCTCCATATTCTGTCCACCTTTCACTCAGATTTATGGACAGTGGAGCCTGGGATGGGGACAAGCAGCAGACAGAACCCCTCCCTTTGACTCACCCTGCCCCTGCTCTCCCCAGGAAAAGCACATCTGAGGAAAAGAACAATCAGAGCTCCAAGGCAGTCACATCTGTGACCTCAGAGCCCACCAGAGCCCCTATCTGGGGGGACACGGTGAATGTGGAGATCCAAGCTGAGGATGCAGGGCAAGAAGGTAAGCAGGGGCTGGGCAGGGCCGGCATGTGCAGGCAGGGTGTGAACACAGCCAAGGACTTAGAGCAAGAAGCAGGCTCCCTCTCACTGCAGCTGGTAGCCACCTGAACACCTCCTTGGGCTCAGTTAAAAGCACTTAGAAAAAATCATAATACTGTCACGCCTCATCTCCCCATCCTGCTCGAAAAATGAGTTGTTCCACATAAATGAATTTTCCAGACAATGCAAGCTTATCTTTTTTATGACTGTTGTTATTATTTTCATGGCTGTTATTAGCGCTGTCTCCTACTGAAACAGGACATTACAGCTTCCTGGCACGTCCCCACACATCACTCATTGGAGTCACCACCTCCCAGGAGGAGCAATGCTGCTCCCATTGCTTAAGAGAACATCGAGGTTCAGGGAATTTAACTGGCTTAAGCTTAAGACCAAGGACCAAGGACTCAGCATTGCATGTTCTTACTGCAGCTCCAGGGTTCCCGCTGCTTCCATTTGATTTTTTAAAAAATATTTGAAATGTCCCTAGAATGGATCCCTATTCCTGCCTAGTCCTCCCCAGGTGTCAGCCTGAGCCACGAGGTGCCCATGTACACACATGCATGTGCACACTTATATTTACTTTCACACTGTGGGTCTGTTGGATTTCCATTCTCCTGGGGGAGCTCAGGCTGGACACAAGGGAATACTGATTGGCTGATGCCCGGGTAGGGGGGCATCGCATCTGGCACTGCCAGCACAGACTGGAGGTGCCTGGCGATGTCTCTGATCTTATCTAGTCAGGACCTCAGACTTGCTTCTTGCAGGTGGTCTCTCCCTGAGAGGACAGGCTTTGCCTCTCCCCCTTGAAATCTTGCCAGGACCTAGACAGATCTCCTTGTTCTCCTCACACAGAGCAGAAAGCCAGCTGAAGACTATGGGAGAGGAGAAAGGAAACAGGAAGGGGAGCCTCCGTAAAAGGGGAAGGAGCTAGTTCTAGGTCAAGCCAGATAATTTTTCTTTTCTGCCTGTAAAGGGATAGGTGGAGCTGTTGGGATGCTTTAAGAAGATGCAAAAGAGGAGGAAAAATTGACCTAGGATTTCATGCAGAGGCACATGCGTGCCTGTGTGTGCATGTCTTTGTGAATGCCTGCATGCTGGTTCATGCGCATGTGTGAATGTGGTGTGTGCTGTGTCTGTACTTGTAGGCATGCATGTCTGTGTGTCTTATGTGTGTGTGCGCGTGGGTGTGTCTAGCTGCAACAGTGTGGTTATATGTGTGTCTGGATGAATCTGGATGGTGGTGTATGCCTTGCAGTGCACAAGTATGTATAGATCGTGTGTGTGGCTCTGTGTGTATGCATGCATGTATTTATGTGGCTGGTGGGAAGTTAGAGGTTATGATGAGTGGACCTGAGCTGGGATCCTGCCCTGGGCTCTACATACTTGGGGTAACAGAGGAAAAAATGTAATAAGGTCAGTGACCCCAGGGCCCATCTGTGCAGCAGAGAGAGGGGCAGGACTAACTGCAGGAGGGACAAGAGAGTGGGGAGGCCTCATGGGCAGGCAGGGAATATTGGCAGGCATCTCATTGCAGATTGAAGTAGCTGGATGCTTGTTGGAACCGGTTGCTGTGGTGATGTCTGCGGTGGGGGTGGGGGAGATGGAGGCCAGGCCAAGAGGCGGGGGAAGGGTGGGAGGTAGCTCAAGGATGTGTTAATGAAAAGCAAAGGGGAGTTTCAGACCCTGTGTCAGGGCCAAAGCAGGCGGGTGGCAGAAATAGCTTGTTGGCCACACAAAGGGAACGGTGGGAGGCCGGAAGGGCACAATGCCCAGAGAGGAAGCTGATGAAGTGTGTTTGTAGCATGGAGACAGGAGCAGGGAGGAGTGGCTGTCCATTACCCCCAATTCCAGCTCATCTGCTGGCTGCCCACACAGAGCTCCAGGAATAGCGGGTGGGGAAAATGTACGGCACTCACCTCTCGTTCAACCTTGGCAAATCCCAACTGGATCTGGGGACTCTTGGTCCATGGCGAGTTGGCATAAGGGGCTTCAGCCTGCACAGCTCCTCGTGGTGCTTTGGCTGGGAGCACTGGAATCTCCCAGTTGAATTTCCTCAGGTCTGCCTACATCAGGGTTTGTGTTTGGAGAGCTGCAGATGCTTAAAGAGAAGGAAAATAGTGACAACCACGAGGAGCATTTGCACAGAATGTTACAGCTTGAAAACACACTCTTCTCCCTACAACAACCCAAGGGGAGAGACAAGGCTTTTTATTAAAGTGTTGACATTTTGAAGAGCAGAAACATGAAGTTCAGAGAGGTTAAATTACTTGCTAACAGTCACAGAGCAAGTTAGTATTCTGGTACTAGAACCCAGGTCTGCTGACTTCATATCCCTTACCTCAATCTCCCTTCTTCAAGCCAACCTCAACACCTTCAGTGCCCTCTCCCCCTTCTTTCCTTTGAGCATGGATCCCATATGACAAGCTCTTGAGATACCTTGGCAAGTGTTCAGGGTCGCTGTGGGGAAGACAGAGAAAGAAGAATACTTAATAAAGCCCTCAGCTTCCTTCTCCACCCCAACATCCAAATGACCCATCCAGTTCCAAATGACCCATCCAGTTCCAAATGACCCAGCGGCTGAGCCCGCTGAACCTGCTGAGCCCTCAAGGGCCAGCTGCTGTCCCTGGTGCTGAAACCCCTTGTCTCAAGAGAAGCAGAGGGCAAGGGTCTCCCCAAGTGTTTCCCTCAGGCACACCCCTCCGCCCCATCCTCCCTTTCCTGTTCTCTGTTTTGTATCCTTTCTTACCTCATCTCTCTCATTCTTTCTCCATCCCTCCTCTATCCTTCTCCTCCTTTTCTCCCTCCCCATCTCTTCTTCCTCCTGAAATCATAGACTTCCAGAATATAAAGATGCCTCAAGTGTCACCAAATTCAACCCTTCCTATCATCTACTTTCTAGATGTGTTATGTTGATCAAGTTATATAACCCTCTGAGCTCCATTGTTCATATTTTAAGAACAGAGATGATGATACCTACCCGGGGGGTTGTGGTGAGAATTTGTTGGAATCATGGCTGAGACATGCCTGGCACATAGTAGATACTCACTAAATAATCATGACAGTCCCGCTCACTAAACAGGACTGTCATGATTATTTATAGGACATTGGTGTTCTTCTTAAAGTTTTTACCGGCCGGGTGCGGTGGCCCATGCCTGTAATCCCAGCACTTTGGGAGTCTGAGGCGGGTGGATCACTTGAAGTCAGAAGTTTGAGGCCAGCCTGGCCAACATGGCAAAACCTTGTCTCTACTAAAAATACAAAACTTGGCTGGGTGTGGTGGCGGGCACCTGTAATCCCAGCTACTTGGGAGGCTGAGGCAGGAGACTCTCTTGAACCTGGAAGGCAGAGGTTGTAGTGAGCTGAGATCATGCCACCACACTCCAGCCTGGGTGACAAAGTGAGACGCTGTCTCAAAAGAAAAAGTTTATACCAATATTCATGCCATTTTATGAGAAAATATAGTCTCTTTGGAGGGTGTTTACTAAGTGGTGCATTATTCTTAGTATTTAGACTAGTTTTCCCTTACTTGTAGTAGACTTTTATTGATAGCTGTATTAAAGGATTTCCTTGAGCAGATCACTTTTTCTTACTGAAATTCAGTTTCCCCACCTGCAACATGTGTGAGATAATCTCTCCCCATCCTGCCTCAAGAGCTGGCATAAGTGTTTGTGACCAAGGGAAAGAGTCTTATTCCTGGAAAGAGGTGCTATGCCTGCTTGCCTGTGTATCTCAGTGTGTGCACATGTGTGTCTGTTGCCACAGGGGACTGGACTCAGTTCTGTGTGTGTCTATCTCTGACCTGGGAGTTTCTAGACCATGGGAGAAAATTGCATGTTGGGGTCCTAACAGCTGCCGGCATGGAGCTTTGCCCTGTGCAGGGGCTCAGACTGTGCTTGTGGGTTTGTGTGCACAGGGGTGATCCACACATGTGTGTGCATGTTGATTCCTCAGTGTGGCCCCTGCTCCCTACTCTCAACAATGTCTCTCACCTCTCACTGTCTCTCCTTACTGGGAGAGAAAGGGATCCATTTAAAAATAAACCTGGGCTCATTTTTTCTCTTTCCAGATGTGATCCTCAAGGTGGTGGACAACAGAAAGAAACAGGAGTTGTTGTCCTACAAAATCCCCATCAAGTACCTGCGTGTCTTCCACCCCTACCACTTTGAGCTGGTGAAGGTGAGTCAGAGGCCTGGGGAAGTGCCGGGAGAGCAGGTGGGAACCACCTTGAATGTCCCCAGCTATTCCCTCGGAGCAGCCCTGAGCATCCCACACCCACCCACAGCATGACAAGTCTAGGACCATGTGGGGCTCAGGAAACATGGCTCCTGGTACATACACAGGAATGGTGTCTACAAGAATTTGGAATTCTCCAAATTCATCTCTGTAAAAACAGCTGATTATTATAGGACAACTGCCACATTAAATGAATATACCAATTAAAGATAGATTTTGATTACAAAAATGTTAAAAGAGCGGATCTAAAAATCAAAGAAACACAATATTTACCGAGTACCCGCTGCTTGCACGCCCTGTGCTAGACATTTCACACCCCCTCTCTAATCCTCAAGGTAAATTACATTTTGCAGACATGGGACTGGGACCTGGGGAGAAAAATCTCCTCCTCCTGGGTCACAGAGCAAGTGAGCGGCAGAGTTGAGGGTGAGCCCAAGTCATGCTGTCTCCCAAGCCAGTTCCTTCTGAGCTGCCTCCACATGCTGCCTTGGCCAGAAGGCCCAGGAGAGTTGGGGGGTACATGGAATAAAGCATTCCCTGGAATGCACCCCTGGAGTGAGCAACTGGGTCCAAGCCATGGACTGAGGGGCCTGAGGCTCCTCACTCCAAGGTTGGGCCTCCCAGGCCAGACCCCTGCCTGTCCTCCCTCCTAGTGCTGAAGGGTAAGGGGTAGAATTCACTCTCTCATTGCTCAAGGACTTATGAAGCACCTACTATGTGCCAGGTAGTGAGCCAGAGATGAACAGAAGCATCACATTCCCCTCCCCACTGTGCATTCCAGACCCTGAAAGTGGTTGAGAGTAAAGAACAATGTGAAGCCAGACTGTCGGGGGTCCTAGACCAAGTTTGTTGCCTCCTAGCTGGATACCCATGGAAGCCACTTGGTCCCCAGGCCTCCATCCTCACTGGCAAAGCTGGCACAGTCGTTTTGAGGATCTCAAGCAATGATAGGCAAGGTTCCTGGCATACAGTAGGTGCTCAGTTTGGTCAGTTACCCTCCCCCATCCCTCCTCCGGGCCAGCACTGAACTTTCTTCTAAGCATTTCTTCAATCATGGCACCAGGGGGCTTTACCTTCTCTTAGGCCCCATGAGGAACCCCAATCCCAGGGCTTCAGGATGGGCCATGCAGGGAAGTAAAAGAGAGATGTGCTACTCACCCTGGGAGACTCAGCACTTGAGCTGTAATTCTGGGGGCATCACCCAGGCCCCCTGGCTGTCTGTTCACTTACAACCCAGGCCTTGTTATCACATCTTTACTGGAAAGCAGACAGGCAGTGGTCCTTGTGAGGGTGATGAAATATTCAAATGGAAAAGGGAAGATTTATTATATTGATCTCCTTGGAAGGGCTCACAGGGACCATGAGCTTTAATTATCAGCTCGGAGCCCCAGCGGAGCAATGCCAAGTGATTGTCTGCAGAGGGCTGGATTTATGGCCAGGATCTGCCCCTTAGACACTCTCCTTCCTCTGTGTCTTCTGCCCCAACCCTGTCTCCAGCCCACTGAGTCTGGGAAAGCCGATGAAGCCACTGCCAAGACCCAGTTGTACGCAACAGTCGTTCGGAAGAGCAGCTTCATACCCCGCTACATCGGCTGCAACCACATGGCTCTGGAGGTACCAGGGCTGGGGCCCTCTGGGGTGGTGGTGGGGGTGGGAAAGGGCCAAGCTTTGAGCAGGCCCCACGCCTTGCCCTTAGCCCCCTCTGGCTGACCTGAGGGTGTGGAGCAGAGATGTCAAGAATGGAAAAAGCAACCAGGCCTTTCCAAAATAGCAAAAGGAGTTGTGAAGACAAGCCCTTTGGCAGGGATGACAAGGATGAAGATGCTCAAGCCTCTTCTCCTTCCCTCTCTGTCTTGGAGGTGGCGGGGAGGGGCTCAGCCACACTGCTGCTCCTGGTGTACCGTCTCTGTGCTGCAGTGGGGACCAGAGCCTGTCTCCCCGAATCTTATGCTAGGGGCAGGGGAGAAGCCCCGTGCTCCCCCTGAGCCCACAGCCCAGCAGTTTCCTGCTCTATTCTTCCCCTCCTGGGATAGTGCCTTGGCCCCCAAGCAAAAGTTTAGGGCCTCCTTGAGCTTTCCTTCAGCACTGTGTCTAAAGAGGTTTGACTGGTCTGGCGATTAGGTATTTAGTTTATTCATTCATTTATTCATCCAGCAACTGTTTACAGAGCCTCTTCCATTAGCCAGGACAGGGCTGAGCCCACCTTGGGCCTGGCCACTGCCCCTTGACCCATCACCATCCACCCCCTAGGCCAATTAGCAGCTTTGGGAGGAACTCTTGATGCTCAAAGCAGACATGATGCAGGGACCTGGCCCCTCTCCCATTCCCCCCAACTTTCAAACTGCCCATGGGTGACAGATTCAAATTCAGCTATGGCCTGAGTATGATCAGGGTGGGAGCCACAGGACCCAAGCTCTGAGCTTCCACCTACCCAAACATGGCTGATCTGTTCCTATCCTTCCCACCCCCCTACTTCCCACCAGCACCGTGGGCCTGGCAGGGAAGGAAGCATTCTTTTGCCTTCTTTCACAGCCAGGGACACTGAGACCCAAGGGGAGTATGGTATGGGAGCCAAAACTCCTAACCCACATTTCTACTCCCCTACAGCCACCCCTCTGATGCCAGCATATCAGACCTACAGGCGCCCTCTGCTCCCCGCCACCTTCTATCACGCCCTTTCCTGAGGACAGCCAGCAATTCACACACACACAGAACAAGGAAGAGGGGCAACAGCCTGGCCTTGCTGTCCCCAGGCCGCACCCCACAGGGAGGAGGCCACATCCCCAAGACACAGGCAGAACTTTAGGGCTGCTGTGGAGCTGCCCCACCCCACCCAGCCCTCTGACTTGCCTGGTAGAGCGGTAGAGTAGGGGCCTTCTCTGGCTCACAGCACCCTGCCCACTCTCCTGCCCCAGCACAGATGCCCTCTCCATCCGTGCGACAGGTATGGCCACAGAGCAGCTGCCTGCTCCTGATGGTGAGCGCATGGCAGGAGCAGGAACTTCTGCTACTTCCCAGGCTGTCATGAGCAGGTGTACTTGGGCAGCTGTCTCATTCACACCTGATCAGAGTCCACACAGAACAGGTGCAAATTAGCTGCCACCACCCCCTTTTTAGTCTTACACCTGCTGGGGAGCCTGTGAGCAATAGGGCCTGCCAGCCTCCAGTGAAATCCCTCAGCCCCAGACCCCAGACCCATCCAAAGTGTGAAATGTACCATCAGAGATTCAATCCTTTGAATGTGATGAAGGGATTCAGTCTCCAGAGCCCTCAGTGAGAGCTGCGAGGCCCTAAGGACTATTGTACGTGCCCATCAGCTCACACCTGTGTGGGGTTAGAGGTGGGAAAACCAGCTGAGATGGGTATTGAAAGAGGAGCCTGAAAGGAGGGTGCGGAGGGAGAAAAGGGAGAATGATCCAGAACAAGCCTCACTCCTGGGCCCTCGCCAGCCACAATGGGTTGGTGGGAGCTGCAGGGAGTCTGAGTAGAGGGATCAGCATGTGCAAAGACCCTGTGGCAGAAATAAGAGGGGTAAGTGGCAGGAGTAAAAGAGTCTGGAGCAAGAAGACAGGGGCTGGGGGCCTGTCGGGAGACACGGCAGAGGGGCTTGTGGGGTGTCGGGCAGGGAATAACGTGACCCAGTTCATTTTTAACAAGAGCACTTTTGCCATCATGTGTCAAATTGCCTGGGAAAGAGGATGGATTAGGGAAAGGAACAGAAGTGGAGAGGCTAGTGAGGAGGCAGAGGAATCGAAGGAGCAAGAGGAATGAGAGCCGAGTGGGAGGTGGGTGAGGGCTGAGGGAGAGTGGGAGCCATTGGTGGATACAGGGTGAGGGTCAGGGTCCGGGAGATCAGGGCCTCTTAGGCTGGCAGCAGAGGCGCATGGGGACAGACTCCCTGTCTCCCCTGTCTGCCTTCCAGTGTCCCCCAGGCCCAGACTGAGCAGGGGGTCAGTGAGGGTTGGAGCAAGGTGACGCTGTCCACTCCTGCTTTGTAACCTCCTGCTGGGACCCCGCTCGGCTCTCTGAAAGCTGCGCCAATAGAAGCCTGGAGTAGAGGAGAGGGCAGTCAGGACTGGGAGGCAGGGAAGCCTTTAGGGGGTGACAGAGGACTGAGGAGGGAACAACCAAGGGCGGTCAGGGGAGTGACAACCGGGATCTGATGAAGAAAGAGGAGCCCAGAGATGCGGATGCTATGATCCTGTTCCAAACCAGTACTTCCTGGGGAAACCAGCAAGGCAGGAGAGCAGGCACCAGGGTGAGCAGTGGAGCAGGCACCAGGGTGATGGGCACGAGGGAGGCAAGGGGAGCCTGGCTGTGGCCGCTGATCTCAGGAAGTTCAGCATGGTCGGAGAAACCAGACCTGGGCTTCCTGTCTTCAGTTTATAAAGTGCTCTCTCACAAACGATCTAATCAGAGACCCCTCACAGCCCTGGGAGGAGCCTCATTTGACTGACAGAAACCAAGGAGCTGGAACACCTAGCCCTACCCCTAGCCCAACCCCTCCCCAGGAGCCAGTGGAGGGGCCGAGGTTAGAACACAACCTCCCTTCCCAGGACCCAACTCTCATCGTACCCTTTCTCCCCAAAGAAACTAGTGTAAGAGATCCATTGGTAAATCCCAGGACAGAAAGCGGGAGCAGTTGCCTCAGCTCGGCAGAGAAGGCTTCCTGAGGGAGGGCAGCCTGGTGCAAAGCAAGAACCGAGTAAGGCAGGGAACAGGGAGAAGCAGGTGTCAAGTGTGGAGGCAGCCATGAGCTCACGGATGGGGAAAAAGAGGGTAGGCAGTCTGGCTGGCTGTCTCTGGAAGGTCCCAAGGCCACATGGTGTTCACCTGCCTCCTCTCCTCTCCTCTCCAGATCTTTCTCCGGGGAGTCAACGAGCCCCTGGCCAACAACCCCAACCCCATAGTGGTGATTGCCCGGGTCGTTCCCAACTACAAGGAATTTAAGTGAGTGGGGCCCAGGTGGACCTGGGTGAGGAGGGCAGAGCAGAGGGCAGAGGAGGGGGTGAGGCTGTCATTGCTGCCATGGGCTGATTCCAGGACCTCCGGCAACCCCTCTACCCCTAAGGCCCTTCAAGCCTCTCCATTGGGTCTGAGGTCCCAGTAAGCTTCCTGCAGCAGACCATGCCTTTCTTTCCCCAGGGAGAGCCCAGGCCCCTGGAAAGGGGCAGCTCAGTCCTCTCCTGAGAGCAAGCTGGAGGGCAGGTGGTGGGGATGAGTGCCGATACCAGGCCTAACAGCTAGAGAGTGTGGGGAGGACAACAAGAGGGGTCCTCATTCCCTGCTCAGGGAACCTCAGCCCCTCCAACCTGCCTCCCTGCCTCACACCCACCACCTCCCCACTCCCCCTCCCACTCTAGCTCAGGGCCACAGGCTCCAGCCAGTGGTTGGCCCCAAAGGCCATCTTGGAACTTCACAGCCTTTAGCCCTGCCGGGCGGAGTCTCCTCCCTCCTCATCCTGGAGGTCTCCCTGGTCCCAGCCACAACTCATCCCCTCCTCCCCTAGACCTCCTTTTGAGTCTGTTGGAGTCACAGTCCTCAAGAGGAGATTCATACTTTGCCACACAGTGGGAAATTCCCCTATGAACGTGTGCTCTCTGCCACAGCACCGACTCCTGGGAGTCAGGGTCTGTCTTGGTCACTTCCAACTGGCCCTGATGGCCCAAGATGACTCCCCTACTTCTCTGTATCTCCTGTTGAGTTTTTATGACTTATGAAGCCCCCTTGCTTGTTGGAGGAAGGAAGATGATTGATGCACGCCCAGCCCAGTGGTCCCCACTTGTCGTGAGGTCCAGGCCCGAACTCGGCGGGATCCCTGCAACTCCCTTCTCTTGCATCAACCCAGAGTCTAAGCGGGGGGCCCTGGGCTGCCAGGCTCAGGTGCAGAGCCCAGAGCACTGACCCTGTCTCCCTGCCTCCCCAGGGTCAGCCAGGCTAACAGGGACCTGGCCTCTGTGGGGCTGCCCATCACCCCACTGTCCTTCCCTATCCCGTCCATGATGAACTTTGACGTGCCTCGCGTCAGCCAGAACGGATGCCCTCAGGTATGTCTCCTCCCCAGTGGTTCCAGCTTCCTGTAACTACCCCACACATTCACTGTTCACTCACTCAGTGAGTCAGTCAGCAGTTCCCTTGACTATCGAGTAAGAGTTGACTGAATCCCACGGCATACCCAGTGCTGTGCTCGCCTGTGCGGCAGAGAAACTGCCCTCCAGGAACTCTTGGTCTGGTGAAGATGGGAGTCACGTGGGTGAAAAAGTTGAACATCAACACAAGATAATGTATAATCTAATAACAAACTGGGAGGGCCTGTCAGGGCTATCACATCAGAGGAGAAGATACAAAAGGACAAATATATGATTCCACTTATATGGGATACCTAGAATAGGAAAATTCAGAGTCAGAATGTAGAACAGTGGCTACAGGGGCTGGGGAAAGGGAAGAATGGGGAGTTACAGGTCATAAGTACCTAGTTTCCGTTTCAAGTGATGAAAAGTCCTGGAAATAGATAGTGGTGATGGTTACACAACAATACGAACAAATGAATGCATTTAACATTACCGAACTGTACATTAAAAATGGCTACAATGGTGAATGTTGTGTTACGTATATTTTAACCCAGTAAAAAAATTTTTTTTGAGACAGAGCCTCGCTCTTGTCTCCCAGGCTGGAGTGCAGTGGCGCAGTCTTGGCTCACTGCAACCTCTGCCTCCCGGGTTCAAGCAATTCTCCTGCCTCAGCCTCTCGAGTAGCTGGGCTTATAGGCACATGCCACCATGCCTGGCTAATTTTTATCCTTTTAGTAGAGACAGGGTTTCACCATGTCGGCCAGGCTGGTCTCGAACTCCTGACCTCAGGTGATCCACCCGCTTTGGCCTCCCAAAAGGCTGGGATTACAGGCATGAGTCACTGCGCCCAGCGAAAAATTTTTTTTAATCAGAGGAGAGGGATGTAAAGCCTGGATTAGGGAAGGCAGTCTTGAATTTTTTTTTTTTTTTTTGAGACAGAGTCTTGCTCTTGTTGCCCAGGCTGGAGTGCAGTGGCACCATCTTGGCTCACTAGCAACCTCCGCCTCCCAGGTTCAAGCAATTCTCCTGCCTCAGCCTCCCAGGTAGCTGGGATTACTGGCACCCGCCACCATGCCCGGCTAATTTTTGTATTTTCAGTAGAGATGGAGTTTCACCATGTTGGCCAGGCTGGTCTCAAACTCCTGACCTTGTGACCTGTCCACCTCGGCCTCCCAAAGTGCTGGAATTACAGGCATGAGCCACTGCACTCAGCCGGCAGTCTTGAATTTTTAACAGAGGAAGGGTTGGTACAGGTTGGACACAGCAATAGCACAAGTGTGAGGTGGAGACAGGCAGGCTATGACCCATGTCAGGGCAGACAGGAGGGCTGTGTGTTTGAGTATGAGGTTGGGGGCGGGTGCACGCACAGAACATGGCTGGGTTCAGGGGAATAGCCAGATTGGTCTCTTCTCATGATCTGCGCTTCACTGCCAGCTTGCCCTACACGATGGTCCCAACATTCCTAGGGGCCTTGGGGGACAGAGGGATTTTTGGAGGTCCCTCCTATTGTCTGCCCACCAGTGCTTATGTCTGGCATAGCAAAAATAGAACAAGACACCCCTTTGGAGCCCAGGCTTCATTTAAAGGCAAAGACATTTGAAGAAGGCTCAGACATGGGGTAGAGTGATGGTGGTGGGGAGGAGTGGGACAAAGGGGGACCCTGGGGACAGAGGCTTCAAACCCAAACCAATCCTTTGCCTGATTTCCCTAGAGTTACCTCACACATGGCCCTGCATTTGCCCAGAAAATTAAGAACCAATCAGCAGGCTGTCCCAAGGGGCAAGAGGCACTGCCTGCTTTAATGAGTGTGCCCCCTCCCACCCCCAGGCTTTCTCTGGCTGCCTTTGCTGCCTAACTAGTCTGGGTAGGAGAGGTGCCACTCACTACAGAGACTTGTTCCCAGTGCCTTTTGCATGTGTGGGACCCGGTCCAGCAATGGCAGGACACCTGTTGAACATCACCCAACCCCATGGCAGCTGGGCCAGGTTGGGAATTTGCTGGCAGCTGGCACAGAGGTGCCCAGGTGCAGCAGTGAGAGAACAGGAGCAGGCTGCTGTGGTAAGGAGGGGTGGGGATTGCCCGGGCAGAGCCATACCTGGAGGGGCACCAGTCAGCAGCGTGAGCTCAGTCTTCACACAGACCCCTGCCCTGTTCCCTTTGAGCGTCAGTCCCCTCATCTCTACACTTGAGGGGGTGGGATTGGACTTGGTAATTTTAGGGCCTGCCCTCTCTGACATCTTGGGGGGCTGTGATTTCTCACCAACTGTCACTGTGCAAAAGCACTGTTTGACCTGGGTTTGACCCCAGCTCTGTAACTTACTGGCTGCATGACCTTTGGTAAGCTGCTCCTTTCTCCAGACTCATTGATTCCAATCTGTTAGGAGAACTCAAAGGATAATCTTTGCAAAGTGTCCAGGCCCAGGGTCCAAGGTAAATGGGTTCCACTCTTAACAGAGCTGTACCTCCCCTAGTGCCAGTGTCCCCTCTGAGGCCAGCCTCACCACTGCCCTTTTCACATCTGGCTCCAAGTAACAGAAACCCCAACTTGGATCGGCTTAAATACTAAGGATATTTATTGTCACACACCACATCAACTCACGACATAGAATGCTGCCAGAATTGGTGGATGCTCAGGCTCAGAAGCATCCTCGAGGTCTCAGGATCTTTCCAACACCCCGAATTACCATCTTCAGCTGGCTAACGGCTCATGGGGGCACTTCATCCAAATAGAATGAAAGACCAGCAGATAAGAGGCAGCCTCTCTTTTTTTTTTTGCGACCAAGTCTCTGTCCCCCAGGCTGGAGTGCAGTGGCGCAATCCTGGCTCACACTGCAACCTCTGCCTCCTGGGTTCAAGCAATTCTCCTGCCTCAGCCTCCCGAGTATCTGGGATTACAGGCGAGCGCCACCATGCCCAGCTAATTTTGTATATTTAGTAGAGATAGGGTTCAACCATGTTAACCAGGCTGATCTTGAACTCCCGACCTCTGGCGATACGCCCACCTTGGCCTCCCAAAGTGCTGGAATTACAGGCCTGAGGCACCGCACCCAGCAGCACCCTCTCTTCTTGTAGGTGGTTTTAAAGAGCAACTGGAAACCAACCTTACCCAGCCATCCCTCAGCAGACCTCCTTCCTGTCTGATTAGCCAGGATTGGGTTACATGCACTTCCCTGAGCCAATCACTAAGGAGGGGTGTGGCTCTGCCTTGCTGGTATAAATGTGGAAGGTTATGGAGGCGGAGCCACCCGAACCCAAGGGCCATCTGCTGGTGATGAGGCAAGGAGGGGCATGGTGGTGGGCTAGGTGGCCCTCAGTGGAGCCTGGTGATGATGGCAAAGGCTGAACTGGTGAGTTAAGGGGTAGATGGCCTGTCGGACTTCACCTGGTCCAGCCTGCTGGAACCAACATAGGGTGGGCCGTGTAAGTTACTCCTACCCCGGCACCTTGGAAGGGGCCCATTGCCCAACAGGCTGCTCCTGTTGTTCTGGTCTCCTACAGAGCTGGAGTGGAGCTCCGGGAAGCCATGTGTGCCCACCACCATCCCCTCCTCTCTCAGCCCCACAGCTGGCCTGTCCCCAAGCTCTCCTGGGGCCCCTTCCATCCCCACAGACCCTGCCCTAGTGCTAGCCTCCCCTCAGGCCCCTGCCATCCATTCTCTGAGGAGCAGCCAGGGCATCCCCTGCCTAGCCCTTCCCCTGGGCCCCCTGTTACTATCACGACAAGGCAAATCCCACTCTCAGCCAGGTCCACAGGCCCTGTGCCCTCCAGCCTCCTGGCTTATGGCTCCAGCTCATACAGGCATTCTGCAGCCCCACTGGACAGCTTGCTGTTCTCCACACCCACACTGCCCCTTCCCACCTCCAGCCTCCACCTCTGCTGCACTCGCAGTCTGGAATGGCCTTCCTCTTCCTTACCTACTGCCCTTGTCCTTCAGGTCCTCCCTGAGGAATGGGGTCAGAAGTCATGGCTTTCTCCTCGCACACCCCAGCTCCCACAACCACAGCTTGCTTAGGACTCTACATGTTTGTGTGTGTGTGTCTGTCTGTCTGTCTGTCTGTCTGTCCCCTATCCTCCTGGATGATGGTGGGCTACAGGGTCGGGGGCAGAGTCTGGCTCTACAGCACCCCACAGGCATCTGGAATGGAGAAGCCCCCCAGAGTCAACATTTGCTGAGTTCAGTGAAGTTGAACTTACATCTTAATAGCAAAACATCCATTGTCTCCTTTAACCTTACAACAGGCTTTCAAAGTGAGGAGTTTGAGGCATATCCCCATGGGATGATGGGAAAAGTAGGTCCCAAAGAGGAGAAGGGACTTGAAGGCCACACAGCAAGGTTGAGGCAGACCCAGACCCAGAGCCAAGGGGTCCTAGATCCCTAGAGACCCCAGCCCAGCATCTGCTCCCAGCAGCTACTCCTCCAGATGGCGGCCACTATGCCTGGGCAGAGCAGGCAGAGGTGGATGTGGGTGGGCCCAGGGGAAATAAGGCGGTGGGCGTGGAGGGGCCATGGAATGAAGGCTCTGTCCCCAGGGGAAGCAGGTCTGCCTCCATGGCTGGGGGTTAATGGCTTTTCTGAAGATCACAGCTGAGGGTTAATGACATTCCATAATTCCACTACCGCTGTGGCCCTTCCATTAGCATCTGCAGGCGATGCCTGCCTCTCCCCGCCCCCATCCTGCACACACATCAGCCACAGTACCCTCACCAGGGCTCTGGCGTCAGACTGCAGGTCTTCTAACTTTGAGTTCCCACCACTCCTGCCTGCACATGCACAAGACAGGCTGACCCTCCCTCCCCAGTCCTAGGTCTGAAGTGATCTTTCCTAAGTGACTTGCCCTGGGAAACTAC
Organism: Homo sapiens; assembly: GCF_000001405.40. NCBI lineage: Eukaryota > Metazoa > Chordata > Mammalia > Primates > Hominidae > Homo > Homo sapiens. The sequence continues at coordinate 107,033 of NW_021160016.1, forward strand.
TCAGGGAAAGGGCTGTTCCTTATTGGGCCGGCAGCCACTCACCACCTCTGGCTTCATAGGCTCCATTTAGACACATGAATAGGTCCCAGAAAGGGCAGCTAGCGTCTACTAAATAACCCTCTTCCAGGGTAGGAGCAAGGTATGGACGGCAGGGGACTGAGTCACAGGTGCCCCAATGCCTGGCAGACAGTCCCAGCCATGTGGACCCTCCTGCACCCAGGAGAATGGGGTGACTCTGGGAGGGACATGGTTTGGGGATCAATCTTGAAAGATCACTCCCAAGCCCCACAGAAGTCAGAACCAACTTCTCTCACCGGACCTGTTGGCCAAGCTCCCATAAGAAGTGGGATGTTCCCATCATTGCAGTCTCTGTTCAGGTGTCCAGGGCACCCTAGCCCTGCAGTGACTGCAACCCATCTCCCCAGGGGCAGGGGCAGACACAGCTGAGCCTTGGGCTGGGCCTGGACAAACCAGGCCCATTAGTGTGACCGTCATCAGCACCCTGCCACTGTGGGGAAGTGGACCTACACTGATATTTCATGATCCTGCATCAATAACTCCTGGAGCCGCAGTGCATTTGTGCTGACCTTTTCGAGCAATGACTGATTCCTGTGGGGGAGCAGGAGGTGGGAGCGGCTGCTACTGTTGCTGACAGCCCCTGGCTGGGGAACAGAGGCAAGGCAGCCACTTGGTGGGTCTGTAGCAACGACCCGCAGCCCCGCCCTGTGCTGGGACCCTGCAGGGCTGCCTGCTGGGAGTTATGGGCCGATGGCCATCTCCCATCTCCCACCTTCTGGCCTTGGCAGATGCTGGGCCTCCCCCTGGAGTCTCTCCTCATTTCAGGCGTCCTCTGCACAGGGTGTGCTCAGTGCCACTCCACATTTTTGATTGTGCTGTTTTCCCATCCTGAAGACCTTTATCCCTCTCTTCACCCAGCCAGACCTTCCTTCAGAGCCTTTCTCTGGTTCTGCTTCCTTTAAGGAGGCTTTTCTGACCACCCATGGGAATATTTCATATAGCTCTCTTATTGGGCAGTGCTACAGTTAATACTGTCTTGTTTCATTGTTTAAATCATACCCATGTGTGTGCCCTAACTGCTGACCTAGGGTGCCATCAAGTCCCCCGAGTGCCCACTGGCCCACACTGCGGGCACACGGAGCCTCTGTAGTCTGCAGAGATGTCTTGGCCTCTGCAAGGGGCTGGGGAAACTGTGTGGGAAAGAGAGGGGCTGGTGACACAGACAGAGGTCATGTCTAACTTGGCATCTGTGACACCACCAGCCATGGGTGTGAACACAGATACAACACTTTAGGAAAACAGTTTACCAATAATGAATGAGGTGTCCTAAAATACACATGTCCTATAACCCAGCAATTCCATTTTAGGTAGTTGTACTAAGGAAGTAATTTGCGACATGAAGATATGTAGCAGAGAACGTTCAATGCAGTGTTATTACAGGGAAAAATGGGAAGGAAGAAATCAGGGCACTTGGACATGAACTTCATATCCTGAAGTTACTCAAGTCATGGGTAATGAGCTTTCTGTGACTTTGGATCTGCTTAGGTTTTACTGGCAAATGAAAAATGCAGGATGCTAGAATGGTGATTATACACAAAATATACACAGAAAAAAACTAGGAAGAAGCACAGTTTTATGAATTATTGTGTTTATCATAGGAACACAGGAGCTGTTTTTCTTCTTCCTATTTTTCTGCATTTTCCTAAATGTATTTATTAGGTGTGTGCTGCATTTATTTGTTTATTTATTTATTTATTTATTTTATTTATTTAGAGACGGAGTTTCGCTCTGTCACCCAGGCTGGAGTACAGTGGCGCAATCTCATCTCAGGGCAACCTCTGCCCCCCCGGGTTCAAGCAGTTCTCCTGCCTCAGCCTCCTGGGTAGCTGGGATTACAGGAGTCCCCCACCACACCTAGCTAATTTTTGTATTTTTAGTAGAGACAGGGTTTTGCCATGTTGGCCAGGCTGGTCTTGAACTCCTGACCTCAAGTGATCCACTTGCCTTGGCCTCCCGAAGTGCTGGAATTACAGGCGTGAGCCACTGTGCCCAGCCAGCTTGCTTTTATAGTTGGGAGAAACATTTGTGACAAATCTAGATACACAAAACCAAATATCTGTGTATGCCTTGATTTGGGAGAAGCTGTGGCCCCCACCACCTGCTCCTACCCTCTCCCTCCAGCTGTCCAAGCCTGGGGGACCCCCAGAGCAGCCCCTGTGGAATCAGTCCTTCCTCTTCCAAGGCCGAGATGGAGCTACCAGCTTCTCAGAAGACACAGCCCTGGTGCTGGAGTACTACTCCTCAACTTCAAGTACGTGACCCCTGGTGCCTCGCCAGGGCAGCCATGCCTCAGGAGATCTGTATTATGAAAGGGTGTTCAGACCATCCCACCTCTGCCTCCCACAGGGATGGATGGTTCCCAGGTGTCCAGGCGGCTTCCTAATGCAGGCAGAGGAGAGCTGGCTGCGTTCCTTGTCCACAGGCCAGGACACGTGGGCCTGTCCCATACTAGGTCTTGGCCCCAAGCTTTGTTTTATTGCACCCATCAGTGATGGGGGAGGGCTGGAGCCCTCGGAACTCACAGAGAGGGGTGAGGGAGATGGGCTTCAGAGACCAGCTGATCCACAGTTTTCTGCACTGTGGGATTGAAGCCCCCAAAGGGTAGAGATGAGGCTGATGTATATAAATTCCCAGACACACAGAGTATGTTTAGAGTTGGCTTTGAGTTCACAAAGCCCTGAAGATGAGAAGAGGATGTATGTGCAGGGAAAGGCCAGGAGGCAGGAAAGCAGGCAGCGGGAGACAGGAGGACTGGATGTCAGGTATTAAAGGATGGGGCCGAGGTGGGGGCTTTGGCAGGAGCCCTAGTTGATCCTTCCCCCACAGTGAAAGGCAGCCAGCCGTGGACCCTCAACCAGCCCCTGGGCATCTCTGTGTTGCCGCTAAAGAGCCGTTTGTACCAGAAGATGCTGACAGGGAAAGGCTTGGACGGGCTTCACGTGGAGCGGCTCCCCATCATGGTGAGCCCCCTGCCCTGAACTGGGCCCCTAGCGTGCCCACCTGGCCCCACCCTGCCTCACCCTGCCCCACCTCACCACACCTCCATAGGAGAATTTGGCTTCTCCAGAAGCTTCTGTCAAGGCACCCACCAGGGAAGTCACCCAGTCTAGAAGTGAGGAGCTCCCTGGAACCCCAGAAGCCAGTCTTGCCTCTGGGACTATGACGAACCAAGCCAGAGAAATTGCCCCTGAGCAACTTGGGAGACAAGTACAGGGTGACCCTGTGAGACAGTGCAAGAGTTCAGGCTTTCAGCCAGCCAGACCCTGATTTGAACCACAGTTCAAATCCTCACTGTGGAAATTCAGGCACATTACTGAACCACAAGAGTCCTCGTCTGTAACACAGGAGAAGCATGCCAAGTACACAATCTCTGTGTATAACAAGAGAGTTCAGAGCTCAGGCTCTAGAGCCAGACTGTCTGGGTCCAAATTCTGGTTCCACCACATACCAGCTAACATGACCATGGGAAAACTACTGAAAGTGTCAATGCCTCAGTTTCCTTGCCTATAAAATGGGTACATGGCAATAGCACTTTTTTCATAGGGTTGCTGTGAGATTTCATGAGAAAACCCATGGAAAGCACTTAGAGTAAGTTCTCAACAAGAATGAATAATATCGTTACCATCATTCTCTATTCCTATGCCACCATTTCCCCTAAAATACTTCTGGCCATCCTGACATAATAGACCTCAATGAATGAGAATCTCTCTGTCAGATGAGCCTGGTAGTGCCAGACAGGTCTCTAGAGGGGTTTAGAAGGGGTGGTGTGGAGGCAGTTTGCGAGGGCAAAAGCAGGAGGCCAGCTCCCACCTCCCTCCCACCCTCCTGGGTGCAGCCCGCAGGTGACACCTTCCAGAGAAATCTAGAACAGTAGGTGGGGCAGAGGCGGAAGCTGCCCTGGCCAGCATGGTCTGAGTGCTCCCTTTTCCTCCCCAGGACACCAGCCTGAAAACTATCAATGATGAGGCCCCCACAGTGGCTCTCTCCTTCCAGCTGCTTTCCTCTGAGGTAAGGCTGTGGGCCAGGGGAGGGTCAGGGCCAGCAGGCACATGTCAGTGAGATCCAACTTCCTTCACAATTGCTGGCTTTGTTCAGGGACTTCTGGGAGGATGGGACTACTACTTTGGATAGAAACGTCTAAGGGTGATTTGAGACTCCAGACAAACGTAGAGAGAGCTGGGATTAGGAAGAGGAGAGTTGTGAGCAGAGGGCCACCCAGACCTTGGAGTCAGCCTCTGACCAAGCCCAAGCCAAGTCTGGCTCACTGGGATCGAGGTTCTGCAAGGGTGAGCTAGGATATCAGTTTTCTATTGCTTTATAACCAAATTAGCAGCTTAAAACAATGCCCATTTATTAGCTGACACTTCTATATGTAGGTCCCATGACACAGGGTGGCTGGAATCAAGATGTTGGCAGGGTCACATTCCTTTCTGGGGATTATGGGGAGGAATCTGCTTCCAAATTCATTCAGGTGGCTGCCACAATCCAGTTCCCTGCAGTGCCGGACTCACATCCCGGTCTCCTTGCAGGCTGTCAGCCGGGGCAGCTCTCAGCTCCTGAAGGACGCCCACATGCCCCCTCACAATGGCCCCGTTCATCTTAAGCCAGCAGGCATGTCCAGTCCCTGTCACACCTCAAAACTCTGACTTCCTCTTCTGTCAGCAGCCACAGAAAACTTTTAGAGGTGCTTTTAGAGGGATTTTAGAGGGGCTGGTGTGATAAGGTCAGGCCATTCTAATCATCTTCCTATCTTAAAGTCAACGGTGCCATGTAACAAACATAATCCCAGGAGTGATCAGTCATCATATTCACGGGTTCCAAGAATGAGGGTGTAAAATCTTGGAGGCCCGTTTTTGGAATTCTGTCTACCACAGCTGGGTTGGTCCAAATGTGAAGACACCCAGGGCTAAGCCCTGCCTGCTGGATGAGCCTCGATCCCTCTCGCTAGCTACACCTGGTCTCAGCCCAGCTTAGACCCTGCTCATTTGGCTGCAGTGCACATGCCAGGCACCCGCTGGACTTTCCCTCTTTCCTCTCAGTGGTGCTGGGATGTGAGTAGTTTAGGACCATGAACCCAGAAAGTGTTTGCAGGGACTAATGTCCGCGCCAACCCACTCCTGCCTTCTTCCCACGCAGGAAAAATATCCACCAGCTCTGGGGTAGCACTTGGCTCTGTGACCTCACTCATGAAGAACACAGGGAATCCTATGGTGTGGGGTATGAGGAGTATATCTGGGTTGGTACCAGCCTGAAAGTGCCTTTACAAGGCCTCTGGAGAGGGCCTGAGACCCCATTAGCACTCCCTGCTATAGGTGTTCAGGATTGCCCTCTCAAGGGTAGAAGCAACAAACCCCAAGAAAGAGGCACCAGAATCTTGGAGAAAAAGGTCACAAACTTCCCAGTTTGGAGCCCAACCCTCCGGGGCCTCTTCCCAAGGTATAGAGTCTGCCTGTGGCCACTGGCCACTGCCAGCCCCTCCCCACCTCCCTCTGTCTCCTGCCCCTTCCACTGGGCATGTGTATCCTGGGACTAAAAGGAGCGTCAGGTGCCCCTGGTCAGGGGACTGACTAGTGGGCCCAGGCAGGCAACAGGCAGGTGGGCAGAACAGTTTCCCCATTGCCCAGGGGCTGGGCACAAAGGTCTCCAGTAATGAATTATTCACCGGAGCTGTGCTAAGTGCAGAATTAATCCCTTTCCTTCCAGCTGGCGGCCTCACTAAATTATCCCTCCAAGTCATGCGGGAAAATGCTGCCGAATTCATTTAGCTGCTGAGTGTTTTGATCTGGGCCTTGTGATTTTAGCGTCTCCTTCCCCCAACCCCCTCCCCCTGGAGGCGGGTAAAAAACCTTTTAGTAATGGATTTCTGAGAAGAAAGGAAAAGAAAGGGGATCAGGATTGGGTGTGTACCAAGAAAATAGTACTAGCAGAAATTCAGATTCTGCAGCCAAGAATTCACACACACACACACACACACACACCCCCTCTACATATACACTCTCAATCACGTGTGAATATCTACACACAGTCACAGACACACAGATGTGTGCGCACATACCTTGGCAAGAAGGATGCACACTCTTAACACATATGTACACGCTCTCACATACATGCAAACTGACACACAGATGTTTTCACACCTGCAGTGGCACACACGGAAGCTAAATCTCTTTGTAGTGGAACTATTTCTTGGTAAACTATCTGAGAATTGGCCAATAACTGACTCCCTTTGATTCTAGAATCTTGAAGACCAATTTAGGAGCCTAAGTATAAAGTGCTAATGTGGTTAAATTCACCATGAAGTCCTTGCAGCTGCAGCACCCATTCATTTATTCTTTTATTCCATGTATATTTGATGAGGAGTCACTGCATGTCAGGTAGCATGCAAGGCAAGAAGTAGAATTTTGGCTGCCATTGTGGATTGAAATGGGGAGAAGGAGGGGTTGGCAGCCATGGACCTCATTTTGATTTGAGCTCACACCTTCATTGGGCTTGGACATGGCTCTCTAGTGTCTGAGACCTTTTGGCATCCTTCTCCCTAAGGGATGGCAGGAAAGTGTTGAGAATTCATGAACAGGTCAGATGGCATTGCAGCTAAATCTAAAGGGGCCCATCCCCTTCTCCATCCCTCATCACCACCTTCACTGCAATACCATCATTGTTCTCTATGCAACTGCAAACATTTCTGAAGCACCCACATGAGCAATTGCTGTTCTGGATTTTAGGAATATTACACTGAAGAAGAAGAAGAAAAAAAAACAATCAGGCCCTGTCTTTCTAAAGCTTGCATTCTTAGCAGGGAGTATGGAACAGACAATAAAAAAATAATTCATGTCAGCTAATGATAAAGGGTCTGAGGAAACTCAAACAAGGTGACATGATACGGAGTCCTTGAAGGGGCTATTTGGACTCCTCATGGTAGCTGAGTACGGTGATGAGCTAAGCTGCTATAACAAAGAGATCAGGTTCCTGCCCCCTTATTGTTGCGCCTAAGGTGTTGCCTGCAACTTCATCATGGAAGGTACCTGGTATTCATCTCTGCATCCTAGACTTTGGGAAGGCAGCAGCAGGGCTGGGGCCATCAACTCTTCCACCCTTTAAATCAAATATTGCATAATGGGTCCAGAAGCCACCACCTGACACCTGGAGGTCTTAGAGTCCTGTGGACACTCCAGCTGCCGAGGCTTGTGATATTGGGCCTCTCAGGCCCCTCGTTCACATGGTCAACAACTCCATCCTAGGGGTAGCTCTTTGCATGTGGTCAGACATGGTCAGTGCTGTCACAGAGCGGAAATGCTTCAGGAGAAATGAATGCGCGTGCCGTATTTGGGCCCAGCCCCAGTCTGAGGACATAGGCTCTTTCCATGAGCCTCCATGTCCAGGAGTTTTGGGCACAGGCTGTCCTGGATAATTGGACATTTTGGTGAACACAGCTTCCCCACACCCGCCACTACCACGTCACCCATTCTCAGAGCTTTCAGAAGCAGCATGGTGAAATTTGCAAATAGGCAGAGACAGCAGTGGCCTCTCTCAACAGCCCACACTGGACAGCAATCTCCCTGGCAGCACGTGGTCATCCCAGTCTCTCCTCCTGTGCTGCCATGACAGACAGCTCACTACCTCCAGAAGCAGGCCTTCCTATGGCTGAGTGATAGAAATGGCCACCCCACATGATCTCAACCTGCCTCCTGGGGACCTCCCTCTGCCCCAAGCTCCTGGCTTTGCCCCCGAGGCTGCAGGGCGACCTCAGCAAGCCTCCTACATAGATCACATAGTCAGCCAACACTTTTGAGGGCAGACTAGATAACAAAGCCTGCAGACTCAGTGAATGGCAAGAGGTGGTGGTCTCTGGTTTGGAATATTGCACTTGAAGGTGGTTGGTTGGTGATGGGTTCGTTTTTCACCCTCTGGTAGGACTTCTCTAGTCATTTGCTGCTTAAAGTGATCTGCATTAAGATGGCTTGTGTGTGTAGGTGAGTACGTATATGAACACACACAGATCACACAAAAACTAGAAAAACATGTACACTCATATACAAAAACACATACACAGAAAACTTCCCTTTATTGCACATTCAGTGGGGACTGGCCTTTGAGGTCCATTAGGCTCTAAAAATCCATGAGTCTGGCTGGGTGCGGTGGCTCACGCCTGTAATCCCAAGACTTTAGGAGTCTGAGGCGGGCGGATCATGAGGTCAGGAATTCAAGACCAGCCTGGCCAACATGGTGAAACCCTGTCTCTACTAAAAATGCAAAAATTAGTTGGGTGTGGTGGTGGGTGCCTGTAATCCCAGCTACTTGGGAGGCTGAGGCAGGAGAATAACTTGAACCTGGGAGGTAGAGGTTGCAGTGAGCCAAGATCATGCCACTGCACTCCAGCCTGGACAACAGAGCAAGACTGTGTCTCAAAAACAAAAACAAACAAACAAAAAAACTCCATGAGCCTATGGCTACTCCACATACACACACACACAGAAACCTTTGGTCTCCTCCATTCCTCCTCTGATCTCAGCCTCTTCTCTTTGAAGAGTGTGATGTGGTCTCTGGGGAGTCTACACTTCCCCAGGCAAAGCAGCTTGGCTCTCTTAATGAACTGGTTTCGAGATCCCACAGCATCCTGGGTGCCCTCCAGCTTGCAGCCAGCCTCTTTGAAGTGAGGCCCACACTGCCCAGGTTTCCTGGGCTGACCTTGTGGATTGGAGCCTGGCATGCACACAGTAGGTGCTCACTGCATCAGTTCCTGCCTCTCTGCCTGGAAATGCACCTCCCCATGAGGTGGGACAAGTTCATGCCGTCATCTGGGTATACAGCAACATTTCTCCTCTTGCATTTAAGATTTGGGATCCATCACCTTGCCCAGATAGGGCACCAGGCAGAAGTAGGGCCTCTCAGATGGGTGGCCACACCCTCCTCAGCCCACAGCCCACAGACATGCTGGGATGACGTGAAACCCCCTGGCTTCCTGGGAGTATAGAGAGGGTGCATTTGAGGAGAGGTGGCAGTGGCACCTGCTGCCACCACTGAGGGGAGGGGCAGGTGCCATGGTCCCATCTGACCTTCCCCCTCCCTCTTCCCCTCATAGGGAGAGAGGGGGGCAAGTCTTTGATGCTACTCTGGTGGCTTCTTTTCAGACTAGTTACAAAGATCTCTCTGGAGACCAGCCCAGAGTGAGGACAAGTGGCCACTTAGCAAATATAGAGGAAAGGGCAGGGGACAGGCAGCATCATGCTGGCTTTTGAAGAATTTTTATGGATTTTTTGTAAGCCACACCTGACACCCCTGAGATGGTCCTTAGAGAAACTGCAACACAAACCTCCCTCCATTTCTTCCCCAAGCACAGCGGCCTGAATGGGCCAGTGCCCAGGGCAGCACAGCAGTCTCCTCCACTGGTTCTGCCCTCTGAAGGCTCTGTTCCCACCCCCAAGACTCCATCTGTGAAAACACTACCATAAGGATGGATCCAGAGAGAGAGACCCTTTCCCTGCCACTATCTCACACCATCCCTCACTGCCCTCCTTTCCACACCCAAAGCCTCTGCCCTCCTATCCTCTCATTGCCTCAGGTCATTTGGCAGGAGGCAGAGGAGACAGATCCACCCCTTACCCACAGGTGCCCTTTCCCTCACCTGCTCAGGTTCTAGGTCCAGTGTAGAGCTCTTCCCATCCCATCCAAAGAAAACTTAGAGCTGGGCGTGGTGGCTCTGGAGAGATTAAATCTGTATACCTGTAATCCCAGCACTTTGGGAGGCCGAGGTGGGCAGATCACCTGAGGTCAGGAGTTTGAGACCAGCCTGGCCAACATGGAGAAACCCCGTCTTTACTAAAAATACAAAAATTAGCTGGGCTTGGTGGCAGGAGCCTGTAATCCCAGCTACTGGGAGGCGGAGGTTGCAGTGAGCCGAGATCACACCACTGCACTCCAGCCTGGGCGACAGAGCAAGACTGTCTCTAAAAACAGAAAACAAACAAATCAAAGGAAGCTTAGGATGGGGCAGGAGAGACATGAGAGTCTGTGCTTTCACAAGGCCAACCTGGCCCCCAGGTCACAGACTCTGTGTCGGAGCAGGGCTGGCCATCCCACCTCTCCTCCTGCGCTGCCATGACGGAGGCTCCTACCTGCTTTCCACAATGCCTGAATCCCCCTATAGTGTTCCCTGCCTTGGGGACAATATTGGCCTCCCTTGGTGATCATGCAACTCCCATGCTGCCCACTTCAGAGAGAAGGAACTGAACAGTCCCTCCAGAACACACACAGAGTTTGACAGACTCTACTTGGTCATTTCCCGACAGAGAGTTCATTACCACCCAGGATGCCCTCTCCATCCTCTACTAGCTCCCTTCTAAACTTCCTTCTGTCTCTCTTCAATTTCCTCCCCCTGGCCCTGCCTTTTCCTCCCAGAGGCCAACTCCAGAGAAGTCAGGGCCTGTCAGCCCTACTGACATTTGCAAACTATTTATGGCATCTCCAGCCTGAACCCACTCTCATTCCTCTTCCTCTTTGTAGCACTTGGTTTCTGATTCTTGTCCTGCTGATTGTCTCCTCTTGACAACATTCCTGTTAAAGTATCCCCCAAAACTGTGGGGCCCAATCAGCATTAGAGGTAGAGTAGGAACATCACTCCCTCTCTCTGAATACATTCTCCCCTTTGGTGCAGCTGAAGCCTAGCTTTGGTTCTATTTTAGTATTTATCAAAGCAGTGAGGGTCTGTTTAGAGCCAGAGTCCAACTCTGGCACATCAGTAAGCAGCATGTCTGCATCTTGCCTCCCTGCTGTTCTATACTGAACTTAGACAGGGTTTCTCTCCCCTGTGGTATTTCACCTTTTTTATCTCAGCCCATCTTCTAAGCTTGAGATCATTCTGGACCCTGATTTTATCATGCAACACACTCACAGCCCCATCTGTACCCCCAACCCCAAGCTCCAGGTCATCTGTGGAGGTGGCCAAGACACTTGAAGTGCTGCAATGTCCACCTTGTAAGCCTGTAGACCTGGGCTTGAATCTGGATCTTCCATTTGATCTTAGCCATCCTGAGTTTCACTGTTCTCATCCATAAAAGGGGATTGTAATCCCTACCAGCCAGGAACATAGTGAAGATTGAATGAGGAAGCATGTGCAGGTAACCTAGCACAGTGTCCTGCAGATGCTCGGTAAAGGGATCTCTTAGTGTCTTTCACCCAGGTTTCTGACAAACATGCTGAACTCATCAGGGATGAGGACAGGGCTCCTGGGGGAGGGGAGTTGGTGGAGCCCTGCGAACCCATCACTCGGTGCCCGCCCCTCATGACAGCTGCTCCACCAGCTTCGCATCCATAAGGACATCAGGAGGCCTTGTCAGGTGCTGAAGATAAACATCGCCAGCACCACATTTGGTCTCGCTGCAATTTTCTGAGAATGAAATGGGGGAAGAGACAGACAACCATCTCTCCAGAAGCCAGACTTGCTGAAGTCCTCAATGTACCCTGCCCTGAGTTGGGGGCTGTGGAGCCTAGGAGCTCCCAGGCCAGAATGGGAAGGGCTGGATGGAGAGGCATACTGCTTCCAATTGCTAGTCATTCAGAAGACCTGCTTTAGCTCATCTCAAATGTCTCACCAGGCTGGGCCTAGTGGCTCATGCCCATAATCCCAACACTTTGGGAGGCCAAGGTGGACAGATCACTTGAGCTCAGGAGTTCGAGACCAGCCCGGGCAACATGGCAAAACCCCATCTCCACTAAAAATGCAAAAATTAGCCAGGCATCGTGTTGTGCACCTGTAGTCCTAGCTACTTGGGGGCGTTGAGGCAGGAGGATTGCTTGAACCTGGGAGGTTGAGGCTGCAATGAGCTGAGATGGTGCCACTTGGGGGTGCTGGGGCAGGAGGATTGCTTGAACTTGGGAGATTGAGTCTACAGTGAGCTGAGATGGTGCCACTACACCCCAGCCTGGGCAACAGAGTGAGAACCTTTGTCTATTTATTTTTTTAAATGCCTCACCAACCACAGAACCTAGTGTTGCCTTGAGAATGTGAGCCTACAACTCCCAGCTGCAGATGGTGTGTATTAAGTCAGAATGCAGAGATGACTGAGAAAACTGGACATTGAACACTCCCTTCCCTTGCTCTGCTCTCCCTGTGAGCCCAGTGCATAATTGGTAGATTGAAGAAGGGGGAGGGAAGGAATAGAGAGAGACATGGCAGAAGCTTCTAGACAAAACTTCTCAGAAAATGGGAGTTGGTCTTGGGATTTCCCCCCTTCTGAAAACCCAACCACCTTAGTATAGACCTCCCTTCAGTGCTTTCAGCCAAGATGTATCTCTGGCCCAGCCAAGGTCATTCATTCATTAACCATTTGTTAGGTTTCTTTTCCTTTTTTTTTTTTTGAGATGGAGTCCTGACCTGTTGCCCAGGCTGGAGCACAATAGCATGATCTCGGCTCACTTCAACCTCCGCCTCCTGGGTTCAAACGATTCTCCTGCCTTAGTCTCCCCAGTAGCTGGGATTACAGGTGCCCGCCACCATGCCCAGCTAACTGTTGTATTTTTAGTAGAGATGGGGTTTCACCATGTTGGCCAGGCTGGTCTCAAACTCCTGACCTCACGATCCACCTGCCTTGGCTTCCCAAAGCCATTTATTAGATTTCTAACCTGTGCCAAGCAGTAAAGCACCCCAACAGATCACTATCACCCATCTTACTAAGGGTCCTGGTTGAGATTGGTGCATTGAATATACAGAGGTCAGGGCAAGCATCACAGAAAGGCATGGTTTGAGCTCTGTTCCAAATAGTGGGTTGGAAATTGGCAAAGCAAGGGTGCTTCAGGCAAAGGGACCCCCATGTGCAAAGGCATGGAGGCATGACAGTGTCTGGAGCACATGACATATGAGAACTGTAATGGGCAGTGAGACTAGAAAGCTAGAAGAAGTCTAGATTGTAGAGGACCTGGGTGCTAGGGTGCAGGGTGAGGGCTTTATCATAAAGTGGTAGGAAACTAAGAAAGGTCTTGGAGCAGCAGTAGGATGTGATTTCATCTGTGTTGGAAAGGTCTGTCTGCATGAGAATAGGGGAAACCCAAGGGAAAAAAATAAATTCAGAAAGCCAGGTTTCAGGGTAACAAGAGTGAGCCCACAGTCAAACCACTGAGCCACAGGCAGGACTTTCATACTAAAATCCCCAACAGAATTTTTAAAAATTCTTATCAGTGGCACCCCTCCTCTGGCCTCAAAATGTGCTTTGGGATTAACCCTCTAACACCACTTCTGGCAAATGAATCATGGCCCCACCAAGGATTAACACTGGGGCCCTTCTTGGCTGGGAGACAGACCCGGAGCTTCAAACCCCACTGCAGCTGCAAGAGCACGCAGGATGCCATAAATGAGGCTCGCTGTATGCAGGGGAGGCAGCAAGCCCTCTTGGAGGGGCCTGTTGTCTGAGCTTCGCCTACAGCTGAAGAGATAAGAACCTACAACTGCAGCCACAGGAAATGACAAAGCAGTGACTGATCGGGGAACTGCTGCACAGGGCTCATTATGGCGCTTGCCAGTGGGCGAGACACCCTTATCAGGGAGAAAATTGCATCAGGCCTCCTGAATTACTAGCGATTGGAAGCAGATTTCTTGGGACTCACTTTGTTAGATACCTAATGAGCGGGATACAGGCGGGCAGAGCCCAAAGCCAGCGGGGCGAGGGACAAATGTCTTTGTTAAACAGAATTTGTCAGTTTCCGCTTCAGGCCCCCTGGGGAGGGTTCAGGGCCAGCTAATTGAATTAAGAGCATGTGCGCTCCAGCAAGAAGGCTCAGGGCGGGGCGAGAGGCAGGCAGGCCGGAAGGCGGGCACTTTCAGCACCAAGGACAGCAGCTGCAGCCTGGCTAGTCAGTAATTGTGGGGCAGGCTGGAACTGCTGCATTTTGCATGATTGGGGATCTAGGGGATGGAATGGGTAGGAGGAAGGCAGAGGATGTTGTGGGGAGGAGGGAGACAGGTGACCTAAGAAGCCTCAAGCCTGTGATGCCATTGGCCTGGTCTGTCTCAACAGACCCAACTCTGCTAACAACAGTGAGTGCTGGGAGGAGTGAGGAAGGGATGTCTTCTCCCCAACCATGGCACTCACATGTGGTGTGGGCAGCTGCAACAACACAGGGAGCAGTGAGCTGAATGCTGGGTCTGAGCTAGTGCGTGGCCATGCATCTCTTTGAGCTTTCAAAGTCAATCTCCAATTATAGTCTTAATGAACCAGGATGTGCTGCAGCCACGAAGCCATGGGGACAGGGGCCACTTGTCAGCCCCAAGCTGCCCCAGCAGGCAGAGCAAGGCTTGTCAAATACAGAAGCAAATAAGTAGGCTTGTGGGGTGGGCCAGCAGCCCCCACCTTACCTGGAGGAAAGGAGAGCGAGGCAAGGCTGGGCTTGATTAGGAGGAGTTAGTCTTGGGAGGAGTTAGTCTCCAAGGCTCTTCCCATCCTCCACCCTGACTCACCATCTCCTATGGGTTGGCTCTTTCTATGGTCTCGAGCAGCCTGGCCCTCTCTATGGTCTCAGGCAAGCTCCCTTCCTTGAGAAGCAAGGGGCTGAGGGCATAATTTCCTTCCCCAAATGTGAGCTGATTGAAGCTGTGGAGTCTGGAGAGGCAATGCTGACCCTAAAGAAGGAGAACTATTAGGGAGAATTTAGACATGATGGATCTCTTGGTGCCCGTCACCTCACATGACAAAAGCAACTCCCTCTGATGTGCCCTGCGGGATCTGTGCTGTTTGGAGGTCTAAAGATTTCACTATAAAATTCACCTCTCCACCTTGCCTCCAAATCCCAGGCCAGGATGGATCCTGGCAAAGTTGAATGGGACAGGGGAATGGGAATGTGGGCAGAGACCTGCAGGCTGGGGAGGTACAGGCATGGAGCAGCCATGGGAGCAGATCCTGGCCAGGGCCAGCCCCAGGGTAGGGCAGGACAGAATCATTGAGTCTGGCAGGCACTACAGGAAGGGTGGCTGGAGCAGGAATGGGCAGGATAGACTTAAAGTCCATAGGTACTCTGCCTTGCCTGCCCTCCTTCCCCGAGCCCACCCCCACCTCACCCCATAAGAGACTGATGGGGTAAAGGCACTGGTCTGGACTGAGGGGTTGTTCCCACCTTTATTTTAGCTTTGTGATGAAATTAAATGGATTATACATGGTAAATTTCAGAATCCACATACAAGTACCTGGTGAGTGCCCAGCTCTGACCAGGGGCTCAGTAAATGTCAGCTCTGGGTTATTGCATTGACCCATCTGGTGCTGGGGCCACACTGAGTGGATGTCAGGGAGACAGGCTATGGGGGAGGGAACTCCTTTGCAATTGTCCCTGCTTTCAGTACTGATGGGGGCACCTCTGGAGACCTCTCCCTTGATTTCATTACTTCTACTTCCTCTCCTAACTGGATTAGATGGCAGTCTATGAAATCCAGGGCATAGAGATTGGCTTTCTGCCTGGAAATGAGCAGAAATGTCATTATAGGTCCTGAATCAGCATCTCACCACAGCCCCAGGGGCCACCTGGTCAATGGGAAGGTGGTCTTTGCCCTGTATTTATGCTTTCCTTCATTCTCTCCTGCATTCATCCATCCATTCATCCACCCACTCATTCATCCATCCATCCAATATGCATTTTGTAGCTCTTCCTCTGCAGTCAATCTAGTGTTCAGCTGTTCCGAGAAAGAGACAGATGTGGTACTTTTTCCTATCTAAAACACATGGCCAGAAAACCCTAAACCATCTGACTCAGATGCTACCCTGGGTGTCTTCACGTCAGTGGGGAGCCTCCAAGTGAAGCCTGCCCTCTGTGAGCCATAGCTACTGAGAGGACCAGGTGGGAGAGAGAGCCAGGCCTGATGCCCACAGACAAAACAGGCCCAGGAGTCTTGGTCATGAAGTGCAGTAGGTGGCCTGCCAAAGTCAGCCTCGGGGTCCCCCAGTGTCCCACTCTTCCCATTCCAAGAGTCTTATTATAGCTGCTTTCTCTTTGGCGTTGTCTATTTTGCACCCATTTGATGGGGAGTTGGGGGACATAGAGCCCAGACTTAGCCAAATGCCTCTGTGTACTTATGTGACTGTCCCTTACTCTATAGACATGGCCAGAAACATCTTCACATTAATGAATTTCTGCACAGCAAATTTTATTTGAAAGGGGCATAAAAGAATAATTACTTAAAGAATTTCAGTGGTAAAGTGAAGGGTCCTTGTCTCAATTCATTGAATTAGTATGCATGGACTTTCCTATAGAAGAACCACTTTAAAAGAGGCCCACCTGCATTCATTCCCTCTCTGGTTGTTCAGGGTCAAACACCTGGGCACCTCTAACTCTGAGCGCATCTGTACTGGTTGGCAGTGTGCCCATTGCTCTATTTATTTCTAGCACAAGACTCCAGACAGTGGAATAATTTGTCTGCTATGCAGCCAAGAGAGGATTCCAACAGCTGGTGCAGGGTGGAACTGGCTCACTTTTGAGGTCCCTGAAAACCCTAGGACTGCATGATTCTTTGAACAATGAGTATGTTTTAGAGATAACCATGAATTTCCAACAGGGCTTTAAAGTAACCCTTCCCCAAAGGGAGCACAGACATGTCCCTAAGCCCAAGGAACTTAAAATTTTATTTAAAAAAAAAAAACAAAAAAAAAGCAGCCAGGCACAGTGGCTCACGCCTGTAATCCCAGCACTTTGGGAGGCCAAGGTGGGCAGATCACAAGGTCAAGAGTTCGAGACCAGCCTGGCCAATATGGTGAAACCCCATCTCTACTAAAAATACACAAAATTAGCCAGGTGTGGTGGCGGATGCCTGTAGTCCCAGCTACTCAGGAGGCTAAGGCAGGAGAATTACTTGAACTCAGGAGGTGGAGGTTGCAGTGAGCCGATATCATGGCACTGCACTCCAGCCCGGGCAAGAGAGCAAGACTCTGTCTCAAAAAAAAAAAAAAGAAAAAAAAATAGCAGGCAAGTCTGGAATTAGCAACATGAAAGCACAGACAGCCAACTGCTAGACCAGAAGAACCCAGAAAACCTACAAGTCAGTGTGAGCTGAGACATCAAGTCATCCTTGGGCGGTGGGGGTGCTGGTATTTGAGTGGCATCAGACTTTAGACATATGACAGTGATAATCCTGCCAAGGGAGAAGGAGGAGAACGGGAAAAGAACATGGAGGGAGACGAAGGCTCATCAGAATATACAGAGAGGAGAGACTGTCTGCTTAATGGGTGGTAAGATTGAAGGATGATAGAGGAGATGAAATGGAAAATAGGTCTACATAGCAAAGGGTGTCAAAAGAGTGTAGGATTTTAGAAGCTGTTGTTACTGCACCAAGTGTGGGTGCCAGAGATGGCATAATTCATTTATTCTTCCACCAAAAATGTATTGAGTGCCTACAATGAGCCAGAGACTAGGGATAGACAAGGTTCCTTGCTGACATGGGACTCACATCCTAGCATGGGCATTTGCAGAAGGAAGGCAGTTAAGAAGTAAATGCATTTTTAAATTTTCTGGTAGAGTAGGTGCTATGAACACAGTAAAATGGGATAAATGAATAGAGAGTATATTGGAAGTGGGATTACTTTAGATAGAGTGGGCCTCTATCTCAAAGTGTAGGGACCCTCTGAGCAGATCACATCTGGGCTGAGACTTGAATGATAAGAAGGAGACAGCTGCGTAAGGATCCCTGAGGACCTCCAGGAAGAGAACAGCAAATGCAAAGGCCCTGAGGCAGGAGCGAGCTTGGCTTGTTGGAGGAACAGCAAGGGCCATGTATTTGGGACCCGGTGAGCAAGGGGCAGATGGTAGGAGGTGTGCACGGGCCAGCCATGCAGGGCCTCCTGAGCCATGAGGAGGAGAGGCTTGGGGTGTAGATGGTGTGCTTATGGTAGATGGGCACAGAGAAGGGGCCTGTCCTGAAGTTTCTCTGCACCTTCTCTTCTCAGAGACCAGAAAACTTCTTGACACCAAACAACAGCAAGGCTCTTCCTACCTTGGACCCCAAGATCCTGGATAAGAAGCTGAGAACCATCCAAGAGTCCTGGTCCAAGGACACAGTGAGCTCCACAATGGACTTGAGCACGTCCACTCCACGAGAAGCAGAGGAGGAACCTCTGGTGCCTGAGATGTCCCATGACACAGTGAGTGTCTCTCCCCAGGTGGGAAGGGCCGGGGCAGTGATGAGGCCATGGGAAGGGGACTTGACTGCCATCTGCAGGACTGCTTCATGCCTCAGGTGGCCAGTAGACCTCCCTCCCCTTAGGCACACTCTGCATGTGAGTTACCCCAAAGTCAAACTGCTGGGCGCTGTGGCTTCTTCGTTTGCAGGGTCTCTTCACCTTTTGAGTGGAACTCCCGTGTAATTTCTTTCAAAACAAACCCATGCAACACTTGTAAGCCAGGGTTCCATTTATGTGTGTAGGCATCAACTCAGAACTTCCTGAGGTGCATGGCCACTGGGTAGTGGGAAACACCTTTAAGAGATTCATTTTAGCTTATAACAGGAGAAACTGGGGCTCAAAAAAAGAGGACACCAGCTGGGCACGGTGGCTCACACCTGTAATCTCAGCACTTTGGGAGGCCAAGGCGGGCGGGTCACCCGAGGTCGGGAGTTCGAGACCAGCCTGACCTACATGGAAAAACCCCGTCTCTACTAAAAAAATACAAAATTAGCCAGACGTGGTGGTGCATGGCTGTAATTCCAGCTACTCGGGAGGCTGAGGCGGGAGAATCACTTGAACCTGGGAGGTGGAGGTTGCGGTGAGCCAAGATTGTGCCATTGCACTCCAGCCTGGGCAACAAGAGTGAAACTCCATCTCAAAAAATAATAATAATAATAATAAAAGAGGACACCAATTCTGGTGACATAGTCTGTGTCCTTGATCATGGGAGCTGCTGTGTTTTCCTGTTGCTGGTTGAGCAGATGCTCAGGAAGGGCTGGTGGAGGTGGCCAAAGTGACATCCTAATTTGCTGAGGAGTCAGTGCTGGGTTTCAGCCCTCGATGCAGAGAGCTAAAGAATGGGCTACCAAAGAGACAGTCCAGGGAGGTGCTACCCAGTAACCATGGCTGAATTATTGGGTAGCTTCCTCCCTTCTTCCACAGCGGGTCCCATGGGGAACGCTGCTCTGGAAGATCTTGAGAAAAGGCCCCAGACAAGGCCACCAGTCCACAGGGAAGTCCAAGCCATCCTCCTCCCAGGACCTGACCTCCTCCACCAACAGCCTCCTCATCTTCCCCTGGCACTTCTGCACCTTTCTGGAACATGTCCCATCAGACGAATAGGAAGGCTGGCTGTCTGCTGGGCATGCCCAGGGTTCTTCCACATGAGCACCCCTGCCCACCCTGGAGCAGGGCCATCCTGCTCAGGCACCACAGCACTTATGGGCCATCTTTACAATTTTCTCCCGTCACCTCTGGCCCTTGGGGAAAGAGCCCTTGGGATTAACATCCAGCTCAGTCATAAACTGCATTGAAAATAAAGAAACCCTGTCTTTGGAGATTTGGGGCAGCATGAATAAACCACTTGCTCCTGCCCTCTCCACATCCTGGCCTCGTGGTTCCCCCTTCTTGTGCCTCTAAGCAGAGGTAGTAAAGGAAAGAGAGGCCAGGTGCATGGCCTGCATCTGTAATCTCACTACTTGGGCAGGCCGAGGTGGGAGGATCGCTTGAGCCCAGAAGTTTGAGACCAGCCCTGGCAACATAATGAGATCCTATCTCTACAAAAAATTCAAAAAATTAGCTGGACTTGTTGGTGCACGTCTGTAGTCTCAGCTACTCAGGAACCTGAGGCAGGAGGATCACTTGAGCCTGGGAGGTCAAGGTTGCAGTGAGCTATGATCGTGCTACTGTACTCCAGCTTGGGTGACAGAGCAACACCCTGTCTCAAGAGAAAAACAAAATAAAAGAAAAAACAGGCCAGGAAAGAAAGAAGAGGGAAGGTGCCATCATGGGGAAAGGCACATGGGAAGGGAAGAGAAAGAAGGCATCCCTCCCTGGTCTCAGCCCTGTGGAGGGCTCAGAGCAACCTCTCCTGCTCAGCTGCCCCGGAGGGGCCAACCAGCCAACCCTCTGCCCTCCCCAAGCTAAGCCTCCACCTTCCCCCAAGGATGCAGACCTCAGCCCCTGACTCACACCACCTCTAGAAGCAGGAACCACAAGCACCTCCTGGCTGGACAAGCCTCTCACATCAGCCATCTGGGCACTGACATAGCACAACCAAGGAGGGGGAAGTACCCAGCCCTGCTCCTAGTACTGGGCATGGCAGGCAGTCCTTCGTTTGGAGTCTGCTGGGTAAAGCATCCAAGGTCTGAACTGAGGTCATTAGGTCTGAGAGTCTTTGAGAGAAACCAGATACAGATGTCTTAATACCATGGATTTGTCTGTGGGAAGTGAGACACAAATTGCTGGGGTGGGTTGGGTTGGAGTCTGCACTGTACTTATAAAACTTGATGATGATGATGATGGTGGTGGTGATGATGGTGATGATGATGGTGGAGGAGGAGCAGAGAGGAAAAAATAGAGTGGAGGAAGAAATGGCCTTTAAATATAGAATGGATCTGAGAGGTAGGCAATATAAACAATGTTTTCAACATCTGAAAGAATATTAGAATAACATGGGTAGAGGGCCAGTCTTGATTTTCTCTTAAGAATTAAACCAAAAGAGATGGGACCAGATTGCAGCTTGAGAAGTCAAGGTTAGCCATTAGGAGGAAGTGTTTTTTGGTTTTTTGTTTGTTTGTTTGTTTTCGAGATGGAGTTTCGCTCTTGTTATCCAGGCTGGAGTGCAATGGTGCGATCTCAGCTCACCACAACATCCGCCTCCCGGGTTCAAGAGATTCTCCTGCCTCAGTCTCTCAAGTAGCTGGGATTACAGGCATTCGACACCCTGGCTAATTCTGCCTTTTTTTTTTTTTTTTTTTTTTGAGACTGAGTCTCACTCTGTCACCAGCCTGGAGTGCAGTGGTACCATCTCAGCTCATTGCAACCTCCGCCTCCCGGGTTCAAGCGATTCTCCTTCCTCAGCCTCTTGAGTAGCTGGGATTACAGGCGGGCGCCACCACGCCCGGCTAATTTTTGTATTTTTAGTAGAGACGGGCTTTCACTATGTTGGCCAGGATAGTCCCAAGCTCTTAACCTTGTGATCTGCCCGCCTTGGCCTCCCAAAGTGCTGAGATTACAGACCTGAGCCACCACACCCAGCCAGGAGGAGGTGTTTTTGAGCAACAGTAACCATTGTGAGCGACAGAGGAGTAGGCAGAGAAAGAAGCAGCCTGAGCATGCTAGGCCGGGATTCTGGGAGGCTCTGAGTGATACCCCATACCCACAGACTGCAGAGGTGTTGTGAGCTGGGTCTGATGGAGAACTCACTCAAGCATGCCCACCCTGGGCATCACCCTCAGCACTCCCATCAGTGGCTCATTCACCCGGAGAGAGTGTTCCTGGTCCCTCTACCCTCCCTCTTGCTGGACACCTGGTGAGGCCTTAAGGACTGGCTGCTAGCCCTGGTTTGCTATCGGGTTAGGGCCACTCAGCCACCACCATCCAGTCCTTGAACTAAAGAACACACTGACTTACTCGCCTCTGGGCTCCAGAGCCCTGCCCAGGCCTGGTCCAAGACAGATGTTGGTAAATGCTTTTTGGGCAATGGAATAGAGAACCCCTGGCTGGACAGCAAGAGAATCAGAAAGAACCTTAGAAAGTATCTAGACTGATCCTCTCATTTTACAAAGGGTGGCAATGAGGTGGCCCAGGGATGGGCAGGAATGGGCCTGCCCAAAGCTTCCTGACATGGCAATCTCATGCCACCTTGCATCCAGCCAAGGAAATACTGGACACTACAGAGGCCTGTATGCTCAGTCAACCTGGCACCATCGGGTCCCCCAGAGACTCATAGAGTATCCAGGGCAGTGGGTATGCCCCTCTCCCTTACCCATCCCACTCTGTTCCAGGCACGCCATCCCTCCTTGTTCCTGACTCTTGACTACGTCCTTGTTTATCCTCTCACCTCTGGTTCGGTCTCCCAACTCATCATTTCTCTCTCTCACTCCCTCTCTCACTCACCTTCTCGCTCTCACTCTCTCGCTCTCCTCAGATTTACCAGGCTGGCTATTTCTACTTCTGACACTTTGCCCTAGTTGGGGCCTAGAGACCCAGCCCCCAGCCCCAGCTCCTACCCACTGGCCAGTGCCCAGAAGGATCATGGCAGGACCCAGACACACATGTTCACGTGGCCAGTAGATCCCAGTTACAGGCAGTAGAACGTGGGTGAGTAGCAACAGTGTACGGCTCCATGACAAGCACAGGTAGCCTAGCTGTGTAGCAATGGGTCACTCTTCCATAGCAACCAAACAAAATTACATAGCAATGGATGAACTCAAGCGACCATGAGGCACAGTGACAAGCAATCGAACGTGGCCGCGGAGCAGTGGAGTGTCGTTGCATAACAATAGACCCAGCCGTAGAAGCATGTCACACAGCCCTGCACCGCAGGAGGGTGCAATCACGGGAATGAGTACGGAGCACAGTGTGGAAGACGTGGGCAGACATACAGAGTAGTAGCACTGGGACACAACTGAGTAGCAATGGCACGGTCACAGTGTGTGTGGCTCCTGGACATGCGGCCAGGGAGCGGTGGCCGGCAGCAGGTCCCAGGGCTGGAGCAGCAGGCGCCAGCGACATGGCAGTGGTTGAGTTGTAGTCAAATGAAGAACCGCCTCCCTCACGCTGGGCCGTTGTCTCCGGCTGAGCCTCTTGGCCTCCCCTGATTTCAGGAGTGTGTTTGTCTATATCCAGTCTCATCATGCATTCCCCGGAGCCCAAAAAACAATTTTATCTCTGATTCCCTTCAGATCCGACTTCAGCTTAATAGGAAATTGAACATTTTCTGGAGAGAAAAGCGCTCTGGGAATAGATGAGAGTGGAGAAGAGGAGGTCTATGCCTCTCTGTGCAATGCTGCCTGCTGCCCCTGGCCCTGCCTGTCCCATCCCCATGGCTCACTAAGCCCACTGTGGCTCCCTGTCCCTGGATGTGCCCTTGATCTACCTCATTCCCAGACTGCAACCCAACCATTTCTTCTCACCTTGGAACACTTCGTTTTGATGCAGGCCTTTCAAGTTCCATTTGGTCAACATGGTACAAAACTCTGGTCCTGGGTGGGCCCATCAAGGTCAAGGTCCCATGGGTATGGTCTTGGGTCAAGTGTAGGGCCTCAGGCAGAGGTAGAGGAAGCCTTATCTCCCGTCTGAGTAGCTCAGGAAGCCATTGGGAAGAGGTGAGCCTTTAAGTGAGTGTGAAGAGTGAGGTGTTAAGGTTCATCCTGAACATGGCAACTCCCCAAATAGTCAACAGCCTGCAAGCATCTGCCCTCCACTCTCTGGGCACCCTGAGCCCATCTCACACGGAGCCAGGCCATGCCTCCTGACGCCAGGAGGGGAGCAGGTAAGGCGAGGGGGCTCTATGCCACCTCTAGATGGACCGACTTCCTCCACAAAGGGCTTCTGAAACACCTGCCATGTGCCTGGACTCCCCATTCCTCCAGCCTGTCAGAAAACCAGAACTCTCCACCCTGCCATGTGCCCAGCCCTGTGTCCAGCTGGGGCAGGGACATGGGGACAAAGAGGCCAAGGACCTCAGCTCTGAGAATTCCCCAGTGGACAGGAGCAAGCCATACCCGGGGAGACGATTAGTGGCACAGAGTAGGCACACAGTAAATATTTGGTGGGGGATGAACAGGCAAAGGAGGGGCATGGTTGGGACAATGTAGCTTTTTAACTGCCACACTTACCCAGCACTCCTGGACACACCTAGTGAGCCCTTAGTGAATGAGAGAGAGCTGGGGAGGTGGTGGATAGGGGGAGAGGCAGGCAAGGAAGTCTTCCTGGAGGAGGCAGACTATGCTTTGGATAAAGAAAGGCAGATGTGCTCATTTACTATGGAAGAATTGTGTATTCAGTGTTGTTTCCAGCACAGAAATTCAAGCACAGGGTTGCTTCCCTCCTCTTCCTGTCTCTCTCCCTGTCTCTCCTGCTCTCTCTCGCTCTCTCTCTTTTTCTCCCTCCCCCCTCTCTCTCTCCACCTCTCTCTCCTTCTCTCTCTCTCTGCCTCCTCTGTTTCCCTCCCTCCTTCTGCCTTGCTCAGAGGAGATTTGTGGCAGACCAGAGGGCCCTCATACCAGGAGATGAATAATTGACAAGGGTTGTTAAAAGATTCAGTGGAGTTTTTCCAACCTCCTTACACTGGAATAACTCATTTCTTTCATTCTGTTTTTGAAAGCCTTTCCCCCTCCCTCCACCTGTCTCCTCCACATCCCCGCCCCCTCTGAGCATACCGCTTTTGTTTCTCTTCCTTTCTTGAGTCTGCTGGACCCTAGAATGATTCGGCCTTAATCCCTCGGTTTCTCTAAATCCCCTTCCCCAGCTGTCCCCACCCCACTTGCCGTGCTCCGGAGGTGTAGGTTGACTTCAGCAGAGACAGCCCCAGATCATGAGTGCAGAGAGGAAGGAGGACCAGGGAAGCTGTGGCCTCTCCCAAGTCCCAGTGTGCCAGAGGTGGGCTCGGTCCTCAGAAAGGCAAGCCTCCCAGCACAGGGACCCCTTTCCTCGCAGGCAGGCGGAGGGGTGCTCTGGGGACGCTGGGTGACCATGTGCCTTGGTTTCTCCATCTTAGCATGCTGCTTACCCTACCCTACCTGCCTCTCAGGATCAGATGGGAGAGGTGAGGCCCCCCAGAAAGGGCGGCTGGCCGTGTAGCAGAGACACCCTGAGCCTAGTCCTTTCTGTCCGGCTGGCATGGCCCTGGGGTGACCACCCATCCCTGTCTGTCCAGGACTGACGGGTTTCCAGACTATGAGGTGTTCAGTGCTTAAACCAAGACAGTCCTAGGCAAACCTGGATGGGGGCCACCCTACATGGCACAGAAACCTCCCCTGTCCCAGGTCTGCCCCACTGGAGGTTGCCACACTCTCTACCCTGTCAGCCTCCCTCATCCACAGGGCATACTCCCCCTGCCCAGTCTGGCCCAGCTCCGTGCTGTCCATGCACTCATAGTGCTCCCACTGCTCCTGCAAGTGACCTTGACCTTCCTTCCCTTCTCTGGGCCCCAGTTCCTGCCTCTGACAGCACAGGCGGTTGGAGCAGATGTTCCTGAGTGCCCTGAGGCTCCTGCACTGTGGCTGCAGCCTTGGTCCTGCCCCCAGACCCACACCCAGGATGGGGTCTGCAGCCTGGTGAGGCCGACAGCAGAGCAGTCAGACCCGGCCTCCACTCCTCAGCACCACCTGGTGGCAGGTGATTAACTCTGAGCAGGAGTCTTTTGAGGCTGCCAGCAGCAGTCACCAGGGAAGGGACTTGGAGCACCCCTGCACACTACCCACTTTGGTGGCAACAAGCAGCAGGAACGTCAGCCTAGGGTGGTGACATTGCAAAGCCCCGGGAGCCTGGGATTGGCCCCCAGGAGCAGGAATAAGCAGCCCCCCCAGGGCCACTAGTTCAGGCACCAAGCCCAGCCTGGGAGCAGGGTCACCCAGGGTCTGGGAGTACGAGAGGGCCCAGGCCCCAGGTCCTTTGGAACCAAGAGAGGCTGAGGAACTACAAGAGAAACAGGGAGTGAGACAGAGACAGAGAGCAGAGCCAACCAGGGCCCACCCAACGGCCTCCAAACAGATGCCCTTGACTCAGTGTCCCCTTCAGGCCATCCCACACCAGCCACAAGACACGTTCCCAAAACACTGGCCACCCCAGCCTTCCTGCTGTGTCCCCTCAGTCTCCGTAGCCCCTGACTCTACTGCCCAGCGTGATTGCCCCATTTGCTGGGTTTGTGCTCTCTCCCAGTCACCTCTCCAAGCATCCCTGTTCTGTGCAGCACACACTCACGAGCTCCCGCCCAGGCCCAGCTCCCCGAAGGCAGGAAGGCTTCTCAGGGCCCCAGCCCTCCTCAGCTCCTCCCCTGCACTCCTGCAGGCCCCGAGCTGGGAGCACCGCCTGCTGACAGGGGCTGGAGGGGGTCCTACAATTAAATACTTAAGACAAGGCAACCGACCTAAGCCATGGCTGAGAACACTCGCCAGCTCTTTTCCCTTTCCTGTCCCTCCCCCAACTCTGACCTTTTTCTCTCCAATTCCTAAACACAATCACACACAGTGCTTACCAAGCATTTTAGCGAGGAAGGGAGGGAGGGAGAGGAGAAGGGTAGAAAGGAAGAAATAAGGATCACATCCCACATGTGTCTGTTACTTCCCTCTGCAGACCCCTCCTCTCACCTGCATAGCTCTTGCAGGTTTGTGTTCCATCTCCACCACTCCGAAGCTGTGTGACCTTGGATAAATCACTCCACCTCTCTGCTCCTGTCTCCTCATTGTTAAGTAGAGGGAACACTGTCACCCTGTCCACCTCTTGAGACTATGGGGAGGATTAACAAGAGAATGAGGGGCAATGTGTTGGAAACTGTAAAGGGCTGTCCACTTTGCAGGAGACTTAATAGTCACTGTGTTCCTGGGGCCCTGCGATCAAGGCGGAGAATAAAAAGGAAGCAAAAATCCCCCAGGCCTCTCCCTCTGACCCTTTCTCCGGCAGGGCTGTTCCCAGACCCCTGACCCACTTCTCCTCCCTCCTTCCCCCATCCCTCCGAGTCTCAGCGGGCCATTCTCCTCCTCCATCCATCACCTGAGACTAAAGAGATTAATAAACGAGACTCATAACTCAGCTGCTGGGATGCAGCAGATATTTACGGCTCCGTTTCAATTTGCAGAGAGATTAAGTGTTTGTCGATTTATTGTCTCTTGGTGTGTGCAAGCGGCTGAGCAAGGCCCCCTGCAGGCCAGTCCCCTCCCCCACTCCACACGCCCTGCACATGTGTGTGGGTGCCTCGCCTCCCACCCCCAGCCCCCAGCCCTGGAGCTGGCGGGGAGCCTGGTGCTGCTCTGCCAGGCAAAGCTATGAGCCAGTCCGGTGGGCCTGTCTTCCTGACCGACTTGGCCAGGTACCTAAGCTGATTTAGAGGGCCCACTCACACTCCTCCAGCCTTGTCCCTCCCCACCTGGCTAGGTAAATGTGCCCCAGATCCCAAGCTCCACGCTTCTAGAACACTCTGTCGGTACCCAAGACCCCCGAATGGGCCTGAACCTGCTTCTGCTTCTTCTTCTTCTTTTTTTTTTTTTAGACAGAGTCTTGCTCTGTCACCCAGGAGGGAGTAGTGCAATGGCGTGATCTCAACTCACTGCAACCTCCGCCTCCCAGGTTCAAGTGATTCTTCTGTTTCAGCCTCCCAAGTAGCTGGGATTACAGACACCTGCCACCATGCCCAGCTAACTTTTGTATTTTTAGTAGAGACAAGGTTTCACCATGTTGGTGAGGCTGGTCTCAAACTCCTGACCTCAAGTGATCCACCCGCCTCGCCCTCCCAAAGTGCTGGGATTACAGGCGTGAGCCACCACGCCTGGCCTAAACCTGCTTCTGAGGACTATGCAAGCTTAAATCTACACTTCTAAGGGTTGAATACTTTTGCAAGGGTGCACCCTGAGACCCAAGAAGCAACGGCTGTTTGCAGAGGGCACATGCTGGAAGCCTCCATTTCTGTTCTTGTACTGGGCACTACAGATATTAGGGGTGGGCCTGGAGAGGGGAGGCTTCCATAGAGAAAGCCCCCCAGCCTAACTGGGGAGAAGTCTGCAAAGGCCAAGGGAAGTGAGACAGCATGAAAAGGAGCATCACCCAGGGGCTAAGGGGGAAGTACTCAAACCCCAAGGATGAGCAGTGCTTCAGGAGCCAAGAAGGGGCCACATGAGCACAGGGAGCAAAAGTGTCTGGTGCCCCCAACCTCCTCAGACCCCCAGCTGTCTCTCCTTTCCCTGTTGACTTTGTATTCTGGCACAGGCACCTACTCATTCATTCATTTCTGGTACATGCACCTACTCATTCATTCATGCATTCATTCATTTGTTCGACCAGGGTTTTGAGCATCTACTCTGTGCCAAGTCTGGTTATCTCGCCCCACAGATTCCTCCACTCATTTGTGCAGCCCCAGCAGGTATGAGTTCCATTTCCACCTCCCAAGAGCTGTGTGGCCTTGAAAAAATCACTCAACCTCTCTGATCCTGTCTCTTCATTGTTAAGTAGAGGAAATACTCTCCCCGCCTCTTGAGGCTTTTCAGAGGACTAACAGGAGAGTGGATGGCAATGCACTGGAAACTGTAAAGGGCCGTCCACTTTGGCACTTTGCAGGAGGCTTATTAATAGTCGTTGTGTTCATGGGATCCCTCGAGACTGAGGGGGATGACGGAAGGCAGCACAACTCACCCAGGCCTCTCCCTCTGACCCCCTCTCCAGAAGTTCACCTCCAAGATATGTGACAGTCACATAAAGATAATTCCGTACAAGGGTCCCTGTGCTCAAGAAGTCCCAATTGAGCAGGGAGACACATCAAGAATGGCTGGAGGAGGATGTGGTCAGGACTGGGGCTCAGGGTCCTCAGGAGATTGTGGGAGCACAGAGGGGGTCTACCTAATCCTAACCCCCATCAACTCCCACCCCAGGCAGTGCACACTTTCTACAGAATGCCAGGGTAGTCTGCAGATGTCACTGTGATAAGCAAGAGAGAAAAGCCAACCAAGCATCAGTGGCGGTTAGCATGAAACCATAACAGATCTTTGATTTGTTGGTGGAAGGGAAATGAAATTCCTCTTGTTCCTGCAAGAGGAATCTGTTGATCTGTTGAGTGGGAATTACTAGTTAGTGTGTGTGTGCCTGTCTCTCTCCAGGCCTGGCCTGGGGTCTCACCAAAAGGCACTGTGGGGCCCCAGGGCTAGTCCCTTCCCTGTCTGGACCTCAGTTTCTCTATCTGTATTAATGGAGCGAATGCCTCCCTCCAGTGAGGGATGAGAAAGTCTTAGCGGTGTGGAGGAAAGAATGGATGGGATAGGTGGACTAGAGGACTGGTCAAGTCAGGGCCTGCCCTAAGTACCCAGAAGATCAGGCTCAGAGGAGATGAGAACGAGGTCACTCCGGGCAGAGGCCACCCAGAGAGAGAGAAAATTTACTGCCGAGAGAGGGTTGGGCAGGAGGAGCATCAGGAGACATGGAGTCAGTTCTGACTTGAGGAGTCAGCCTGACTGACCCCTCCCCTCCTGGGCCTCCGTCTCCCCTCCTGTGGAGTGAGGAGCCTGGTCTTGACAATTTCCTCTTTCATCCCAGCAAACAAGGCAGGCAGAGGTGGGACAGCCTCCTGGCGCTGCTCCTTAGTGAGATGGCCGGTGCTGCCAGGTCTTGCTGTCCATCCTTAATTAAATGGTGGGTGGGCGAGGCAGGAGTGGAGCACTCTCGGTAACTAAAGCCAAGATGATGAGGCCATAAATTGCTGAGGGCTTGAATCATCGATTGGTGAGGGTGAGGTGGACTATAGAACCAGGAGCGACTGGGAGAAAGAGTTGCTAACCTGGGAAATGGGGCTTGTCCCTTCTGTGCTCTGCAAGCACCAGCCCAACCTTAGTACTCATTTTAATAACACTAAGTGTTCCCATCAAGATTCACTGAGCTCGTACTCTGTACCCAGAACTTCGGTCACAATCTCATGTAATCCTCACTCCAGACTGAAAAGGAACATACAATTATCATCCCCACTTTGTGGGAGAGGAACCTGCTGATAGCACAATAACCCTCCCAGGGCCACCAGACAAGACCGAGGGGGAGTCTTGGTCCAACACAGGTTGGGGGTCTCCAGCCTAGCACTTGAGCCTTGGCCGAGCCTGGTGACTTGGAAGTCAGGAGCCTGGTGAGCTTAACTCACCATCTTCCCAGCCTATCTGGGAGGAAGAGCTGCCTCAGTTTCCTAGTAAACACCAAGACAAGCTCTGTGGCCTCAGGCCACCCCCTGCCGAGTTCCACCTGGAACATTTGAGAGTATAAGCAAGGCCTACATACCATATGTCCAAACCCCAGTAATCAAAATATAAATCAAGCAGAAGCTAGCAAACTCCTAAATATGTTCCATTCCTCTACCTCAATAAATACACCTTATGAACAACCTCAAAGAATTCTCAGCTTCCACACTGGCCCCTGGCAGTATGGCGAGAGCCACTCCCAGGCCCCCACCCCTCAACCCCACCCATCCCCTTTTCTTCTCACACAGCTCAATTTCAGTCCCACACCTATGAGACTCTGTGGGCTCTCTCGAGTGCATAAGGGTATACTGCCACCTTCAGGAGGACAGGCCCTGGAAGCAGGGGAGTGCCAGGATCCCAGTTACCCAGGGTGAGGTCTAAAGCGGGCACGGGCTCTAGGTGGGCACGTCCCCCTTGGGACCACTGACTCCTCACCCCATGGGAAGGGTTGTACCCCGAAGAGGGCCAAAGCAGGACCTTTCAACCCACGGGGCCCAGGGCTGGAGCCCCTCTTGTCCAGGGCTAAAGGCAGAACTGTCCCTCCCCCAACCCTCACCACTAGCTTGGTGACTCTATCAGGGTGCACTCCTGAGTTCAGATTAAATGTTTTTCAGTACAATCCAATTTCTTCCTGACACACGGACTAGAAAAGCCCAGTCCATGTGTGCAGACAGACAGACACACACACACACACACACACACACACATTTGGTGCTAAATATCCAATCAAGTCCGCAGATAATAGAGACCAGCCAGTTCACTCCCAGTTTAATCAGATAAAATGCTCATTCATCGGCTCCTGCCAGAGCTGCCGTCCCCTCCTTAGGGCGGAGTCGAGGGGGCGGGGAGGGCCTGTGGGGGAAGGGGCTGAGACCCGAGTGGCTTGAGCATGTGGGCTGCGCCTTTAAATCTTCAAGGAGGGGGGACAGCGTTGCCCACGGGGGACTAATTATCCTTCAGCCTTTAGCCAGCTCTTACTCAAACAGACAAAAGGGGGCTCAGCATCTCTGGTGGCACTAAGCCTCTGCAGCAGAATTTTTTTCACTCTCAGATATGCAAATCCACCTCCACAGGGTGGACCCTGGGGTTGGGCTGCAGAGGGGCTCGGGGATTTGGAAGGGCCAGGAAGAGCAATGACAGCTGGACCCTCTCAGAGGACTAGTTTGGGACTGGAGGCATCTCACTCTTCCTCCTCAGGCTGGGTAGGGAGCCATTCAGTAGGGAGCTGCCACGCTGGTAGGGAGGGTCCTGTGGAGGCCAAGATGAAGACCTCACCCTCCTGCCTTCTCCTGTATGTGGGTGGGGGGGCTCCTGTGGAGGGCCAGTGGGCTCACTCAGAGAGCTGGCTCAGGATCTGGGAGCTGACCGTCCAGATGGGGCCCTCCTGCCTACCTCAGCCTTCCTCCTCCTAAGACACAGCCACCAGGTGACCTGTCCCAAGCCCAAATCTAGACATGCTACCCCCCGCCCTGAACCCATGCATTGTTCCCTTGCCTGCAACAGGAGCCCCTCAGCCTGATGGGCCCTGGGGCTTCTGAAGCCCCTGCCTCAAGCCTTTACCTGAACCCAGAATATTCTACCCATGCTCAATGGCAGTGGTGCCTCCTCCCAGCTCCAGGCCTGTGTTCCCGGCTCACTCCACCTTGTACCCCTCGCCCACCTCCACACCAGGTGCCTGGCGTGCAGTGGGTGCTCAGTAAGTGTGTGCTCACTGAATGCACAGAATGCCCTTCCTGAGCAGCTTGGTGGACCAGGGGTGGTCTGGATCACAGAGGTGTTTACCTCCTACTCGGCTCCCAGCCAGCACCTACAGGAACCTCAGTCTCTTTAGCTGGGAAAGGGGGACAGTGCTAGCCCTTATCCCCAGGCTGGCTGTGAAAACCTCACAGTGCCTGGAGCGGCTTCTGTGAGCCATGAAGAGCTTCTGGCGCCTTTTTTTCCTACAGTGGGGAGTGAAGAGTACAGTGTAGGAGAGTGCAGAGGGTCTGGGAACAAGCTTCCATCTCTCTCGGTCCCTCCAAGACCCACATCTTACACCACTATTGGCCACTCCTTCAGGGAATCTATTTATCCACTACAAATGGATCTGTGCCCCACCCGTTCCAGACCCCCCAAGTCCTCCACCAGCCATCTCAACAGAACAGCCTGGACTTTAAGTATGAGGGGAACTTAAAAACTCTGGGAGAAGCTAGCGCAGTGGCTCACACCTGTAATCCCAGCACTTTGGGAGGCTGAGGCAGGAGGATCACTTGAGACCAGGAGCTTGAGACCAGCCTAGGTAACATAGCGAGATGCCGTCTCCACAAAATTTTTTTAAAAAATTAACCAAGCATGGTGACACGTGCCTGTAATACTAGCTACTTGGGAGACT
Organism: Homo sapiens; assembly: GCF_000001405.40. Lineage (NCBI taxonomy): Eukaryota > Metazoa > Chordata > Mammalia > Primates > Hominidae > Homo > Homo sapiens. Next base: position 139,321 of record NW_021160016.1, read on the forward strand.
GAGGTGGGAGAATTGCTTGAGCCTAAGAGGTTGAGGCTGCGGGCAGTGAGCCATGTGCCCGCCACTGCACTCCAGCCCGGATGACAGAGTGAGAACCTGACTCAAACAAAATAAAAACAAAAACAACTCTGGGAAGATGGTTAGGAGGCAGGACTGGAGATGTGCTTGGTGCAGAAGGTCTGGCTAATCAGAATTTGAATTCTGAGGCCGGGCACAATGGCTCATGCCTGTAATCCCAGCACTTTGGAAGGCCGAGGCGGGCAGATCACGAGGTCAAGAGATTGAGACCATCCTGAACAACATGGTGAAACCCCGTTTCTACTAAAAATACAAAAATCAGCTGAGCGTGATGGTGCATGCCTGTAATCCCAGCTACTTGAGAGGCTGAAGCAGGAAAATAGCTTGAACCCAGGAGACAGAGGTTGCAGTGAGCCGAGATCAAGCCACTGCACTCTAGCCTGGGCGACAGAGGAGACTCCATCTCAAAAAAAAAAAAAAAAAAGAAATTTGAATTTTGAGACCGACTCTGAGGGGCCTGAGGTGGTCAGGGGGCATCCTGAGAGAGCCAGCAGGGAGGGTACCCGCCAGCAGCGAGAGTGCTGCCCCCAGGAAGCCCCCTCCCTTCATTGCCACCTGCATCTGTGAGGTCTGGGCCCTGGATTTCCATTACCTGAGCAGTGGGCAAGGCTGAGCAGGCTGTAGAGAAGGTTCCCATGGGGGACTCTCAGGGATGGGGAGAGTGAGGTGTGAGAGGAACTGAGGCCAAAAGAGGCTGGGTGACAGGCAGGGGAGGTGGGGGGCTCTGAAAGGACCAACTGCCTTGAGGCTCAAGCCTCAAGAGGCAAAGCTGAACACAGGGATTACTGGGGTTTTGATGGCTGAAGCACTTTGTGAAGCTCTGGGGTGGCCTGGAGCCTGGCAGCAGTGAGGTGGTTTTCCGCAACACAGGGCTGGGGAGGAGGCTTGTGGCCTAGGCTGGAGGCAGGACCGTGATCTGCCTGGACAGGGCGCACGGGGCCTGTAGCACAGGCCTGGAGGCAGGACGGGTGGTCTCACCCCACCTCTGCTCTCCTGTGACACTGAGCTCCCATCACCCTGGTCCCTTCCCCTACCCATGGTCCCTCCCAAGGCTAAAGATGGTCTAGGCCTCCTTGGATCCCCCAAGAGCCCCAAATGTCCAGACAGGGCTCCTTCCCCCAGGGAGAGATGTGGCAGGTGCCCCCAGCATCTCTCCCCTCCACACCCCCTACCCCAGTGTGTTCTCTCCTGGCCTGGGTGAGGACAACAAATGGGACACAGTGGGCACATGCTTCGCAAAAATAATGAGAGGGAAGAATGTGAAAATGAGAGCCTAGGATTCAGGCCTGGAGAGCACAGTCATCTAAACAGACGAGGCTCTAATAGCAGGATCTCAACCCCTCCAGCTGAAAACGACCAGGAACACACATGCAGTTTAACAAAGTTGGAGTTATTCTGGGTTTATTGACTCGTTGTAGTAAGGGGGATGCAACCATGGGAGTTGCGGGGCATCCCAGAAAGAGTGTGTGGGAAAGGACTTCACAGATTCAAGCTGGTGTTAGGGGATTTGGGAAAGGGTTTGAGGAAACAGGCTTTGCTCTGGGTTAGATGACAGCGGGAGGCTGGCTTAGAATCAGCATTCTAAGAGTCGGTATCATAGGAGTTCTCATCGAGAAGGCAGGAATGATGGTCACTAATAAAGAAGCAGCAGTCACTCATATTAGCCAGGAAAGGGAGTTTGGTCATTTTTGTGGTTTGGACAATGACTATGTTTTATCTGTGTTCACACACTTTACAGAGTGGTCAGAGAGTGGTGTTGTGAATGACACCAGGGTCCAGCTGTGGCCGCCAGCTCCTGGCCACCAGGGGCCGCTTTTCTTTCTTGGTAGCTTCAGACAGTGACCGAGAAGAGATGAAAGGGACAGATGTTACTCACACAGCACATGCCAGGCACTGTGCTCAACACTAGACAGACCTTGCTCACGTAATCTTCACCACAGCCCTCTCCTCATTGTACAGATGAGGAAACTGAGGTTCAGAGAGGGAAGGTGCCCATCAGAGTCCAGAAGGACTGGCAAAACTAGAATGTAAACCCAGCTTATGTTCCCCTTGTTCCAAAGTCCCTTTCACCCCCTTGCCCTTGCCTAGAGGCTGAGCCTCTGCTCGTTCCTCGGAGCCACGTGGTCCTGAATAGTGTCCCTTGGACACCCCCGCTAGGCACATCTTCCTGAAGGGGTTCAGCCTGTCCATGGCAGGCCAGCCGCAGTGTCAGCAGCCGCCCCAGCCCAGGAGGGTCCCCCGTGCCTAGAGGTGTGAAGGGTAATGAGGCCCCGTAATTAAGGTTTCTGAAGACATGGCTGGGAGATTTATAGACAGGCTTTGTCAATAATTGTGCTACCGGCTGCAGATCCAGCGAGACATCGGTAAGTGCTCGTTACAGCTTCTCCCTGCTCCCTGCCCTGCCCCCGCACCACCCCTCCTGAGCCATCAGCCTGCCTGTTCACAGCGCCTATGTACACAGGCTTCGCTCAATTAATTTGCACTTGTTGGCGCCATCTGTTCTTTTCATGTGTCCTTATCAGGAGTGTGTGCGTCCTGCCTCCTGCTCAGATGTGACAGTGCAACCCTCCTCATACATATAGGGGCTTCCTGGGCAGGCTCACATCTCCCCTCTCAGACTGGGCTCCTCAGGGTGGGACACTGTCTCCCCCCTCAGTCTAGGACCCCTGAAGGCAAGGCCAAGTCTTCATCTTCCTTCACCTCCCCCTCAACACCCACAGCCTCTCTCTGCTGAGCCAAGCTTGGCCTGGACCCTAGCAAAACCTTCTGAGTCTGACCCCACCAGGCAGGGCCTCAGCCCTCCAGAGGAAGCCCCCAGACCCCAAACCAAACAATGCCCTGGAAGGCTGGCTGCCTCTGGGTGCTGGGAGGTAGGGTGTTTGTTCTGATCCCCACTCTGGCTCCCATAGCCTGAGCTTTGGCAGGTTCTTGTTACGAGAACAGTGACATCTTTGAGTCACAGGGGTGGGAAGGGGCTAAGAAGCCACTTGGAAGTCTCTGTTTCCCTTGAGCAGCATTGGTTAAGGGTGGTACAGGGGCCAAGGCTTGGACAGCTCCTAGAGTGGGGTGGGTCATGGCCTGGTGGCTCCAGGATGCCAGGGCAGGTGGCCCACCCAGATAACTGAGAAAAGGCAGCACCTCAAGGATGCTTTCCCTTGGCTCTCTCCCCATCCCGAGGTTTTGGGCAGCCAACATCCCAGCCTACTCTTCTCTGGGTCATTCTGTCTTCCAGAAGGCCTCTCAGTCCCTTCCAACCCCAGCACAGATTTCTTTCTTTCTTTCTTTCTTTTTTTTTTTTTTTTTTTTTGAGACAGAGTCTCACTCTGTCATCCAGGCTGGAGTACAGTGGCGCGATCTCAGCTCACTGCAACCTCCGCCTCCCCGGGTTCAAGCGATTCTCCTGCCTCAGCCTCCCAAGTGTCTGGGATTACTGGTGCTGGCCGCGATGCTCCGCTAATTTTTATGTTTTTGGTAGAGACGGGGTTTCGCCATATTGGCCAGGATGGTCTCGAACACCTGACCTCAGGTGATTAGCCCAGCACAGATTTCTAACCCCGGAGGGCTATGAATGCTGAGCTGGCCCTGCCACAGAAGTGCTAGGCAACTTCTTACCCTGTCTGGGCTCTGGGTCCTGCATAGCACATTGGATTTGTTTAGAATGCAACCAGACCTTATTCTGGGAGGGTCACAAGCATGCTTGGTGCCAGCATCCAGGCCCAGCCCAGTCCACTTTGCCTGCCTATAACAGGCTTGACAGCTGGGCCTTGGACTTACATCCAAGGTCCCATGACTGAACCCTGCAGCCGCTCCAGTCTCATCTCCTACCAGCCCCTCCTTGCCGCGTGTCCTGTCTGCACTCCCACGGTGTTCCAGGCTGCTGCTCACCTCCACACCTGTGCTCCTGCTGTTCCCTGTGCTAGGACTGTGTCTCCTCCTTATGCCTGTATCACCTGACAAACTCCTACTCATCCTTCAAAACCCATCTCCCGCTCTGACATACCCTCCAATACACCCTTGCCTGCACCCCAGGGTGAGGAGGGGGCTGGCTGGGGGGCTCCCCCGCTACTGCATTTGCCATACTGATTTACTATGCCACACTGCCTGCTCTCACATCGACTAGAATACAAGCTACTTGGGGACAGAGACCCCAAGCCTTGGCCACATCTGTGTCTCCAGTGCCCACCACAGGGCCTGGCCAAGTGGGCCTGCCAAAGAGTATATCCTGAACTGGGAGGACCTCAGTCCTTGGCCTGGGTGGGGGAAAGGCAGTGCTCACCCCTCCCCTAGAGATGGAAGGAGACACACTCTTGCCACCCTGGCTGCCCACTTATAGGGTCATGGCGACCTCAAGGCAGACAGTGGATTCAGTTAGGGCAAAATGCAAACACACATTTCAGGGGTGGGGGGCACAGAGCAGGGGGCTTTAACCAAGCTCTCTGCCCACCCTCCCCCTGCCAGCCCCCTAGTCTGGACCCATCCCAGGGCCCCTCTGTGAACATCACTGGCATCATGACGAGCCCTTTCCTGCAGACAGCTCCAAGCTGTGGTGGAGCACCTGGGGTGGGGATTTGGGGGTTAGGAGGGGTACAGTTCCATTTGTATTTCAGGCCCAGCAGCATTCCTGCCAGGAGAGAGTTTTAGAAATGGAAATGGAGGGCTGTGTTCCCTCAGCACATGTCCCGCCTCCGGGAGCTGGCATCTCTGCTCTCACATGGCCCATGTGCAGGGGCACAGAACCCCAGGTGCCAACGAGCCCCCTCCTAGGCTGCAGCAGAAGCCCACAGCCAGGCAGGGCCCAGAGAAGTCTGACAGCCTGCCAAAAGCAACAGCAAAAACCACCTCAGCCCAGGAGCCTCCCATCCCCCACCCCCGTGTGTCTGATGCGGTGGTTTTATTGCGGGCAGTGAGGGCATTCATGACAGCCTCAGAATGTATGAGCCAGACCTGGAGCCAGCAGGGGTAAGGGGAGCAGAGCAACTGTGCGACTCCAGGAGATGGGATGTGGGCTCAGTGGAGGCCGTTGCAGGGGACCAGGGAGGCATCTGGACCTTCTGGCTAGGCCAGCTTCAAGCTCGAGTTGCGGGGAGGCCTCTCCTACCAGCAGCTAAGCATGGCTATCAACATCCTGCGTGCCCCACCCTGAGTTCAGCTGAGCCTCTGGCCCTGCAATAGGGAGATCCCAGCCCTGATGAGTGATGAAGCATGAGCCCTGCCCTTGCGGACTCCAAGGCCAAGGCCAGTTGAGGACAGGAGAGCCAGCCCCAGGGTCCGGAGTGGTGGTGAAGACTCTGGAACCAGCTCACCCACTCCAAGAACTTCCCTAGCCTCCTCATACCTCACTCTCCTCCTCTGTGGAATGGACATGGAGAAGGCTACTTCATCAGGTGACTGGTGGTGAAGTTAGGCCGATCTATTTAAGGTAGTTAGAACAGTGCCCAGCCTATGGTGAGCTCTTGTTACCTGCCTGGTGCAGGCTCTAGAAATTCAGAAAGGAAGCCAAGAAGAGTAGGAAAGTCTTTTGTTAGGAGGTGGGCTTTGCAGAATGGATCTGCAGAGATGGGGGAAGGCGACTCTGTCCTGTAGGTGGGGGAACTGCGTGAGCAAAGGCACAGAGGCCGGATGCACTGAACCTGTTTGTTCCCCCAGAGGTTCTGAGGCCACAGGAAGTGGCTGGCGTGGGAGTGGCTGGTCCAAGGGGAGCTGCACTATTAAGTGTGGAGGGGGAGGGGGACAGGAGCAGGACCACAGGGACCTTGACCGCCAAGCTGGGGGAAGGAAGTGTGAATAAAGCCCCAATGCCACCAGGCATCTCTGTACTGCCCTCCTCTCCCTCCCCACTCCAGCCAGGCACCTGCCCTGTTTCCTGGGACCCCCTGAAGGAGGACATCCCTTAGCTCCACAAAGAGCCCTGCCCTAGTCTTCACATAGTAATTGTCTTGTGTGTCTCACCCAGTGATAAGGGGTGGGCAAGGGGCAGGGGTGGGGGCTCTTGAGCACCCGTTTTATAGATGAAATGCCTGAGACCAGGCGGGAGCCCCTGGGGCCTCCCTGGCTTCATGGGGCAGGCTCAAGTCCCTCAAGGGCGCGGCTTCCCTCCCTCTCAGCAGCCCACACTTGTTCTATGTCCGGTGATGGGTCCCTGAGGGTCCGCTGGGGCGCCCCTCCAGCCTCCCGCCAGAGCAGGGCTGGAAGACTGCCATGTCTGGGGCCAGGCTGAGCTCAGTGCATGCCTCTGCGTAGTGCATTATTGATGGGGCTTCTAATTGTGCGTTTCCCAAAGTCTACAGGCTTTTGATGAAAAATTCATGGCACGCCCGAGGATGGGAGCAGACTCAATCGATTGGCGCACAGCAGGCAGGGGAGGACAGGGCCCCTTGCAGGGAGGGGTGGTGAAGCCTGGTCTGGGAGGCTTCTTGCCCCAGGATCTTGGGGATAGCAGGGGGCACACACCCATTTCCCTGGTGGGGAGGCTGAGGGGCAGGAGCAGGAAGATTTAAGGCCCACATCTCAGTGCCAGCCAGTGACTGGTGCCATCCAGGGAGGATGGCCGACTCCACCACGGGCCTCCCTTTCATTTCCCTGGAGGGGTGCTAGACCCTCCAGAGCCCCTCATGAGAGTTGCACAGAGGAGGGAGTAATATTTCTGGAGCCACTCTTATATGCCAGACGCTGCTCGGACGTGTACACTCGCAGCCTCATTTAATCCCCAACAGCGTTATGAGATGGGCACAGTGATGCACTCCATTTTACAGAGGAGAAAACAGGCTTAGAGAGGTTAAGTGACCTGTCCAAAGTCACACAGCTGCTTAGTAACAGAGCCCACTATCTTTCCACTTCACCAGGCCCACTCAAATAAGAACTAATAGGAGTATGGGGATTGTCTTGTGCCACTCCCCTACTTGTCCCTATTGTTCAGAGGAAGTGTCCCCATTAAGAAAAAGTGGAGTGGGCCAGGTGCAGTGGCTCATGCCTGTAATCCCAGCATTTTGGGAGGCTGAGGCAGGTGGATCACGAGGTCAGGAGATCGAGAGCATCCTGGCTAACACGGTGAAACCCAGTCTCTACTAAAAAAATACAAGAAATTAGCCAGGCATGGTGGCAGGCACCTGTAGTCCCAGCTACTCGGGAGGCTGAGGCAGGAGAATGGCATGAACCCGGGAGGCGGAGCTTGCAGTGAGCCCAGATCGCGCCACTGTACTCCAGCCTGGGAGACAGAGCAAGAGACAGAGCCAGACTCCATTTCAAAAAAAGGAAAAAAGAAAAAGAGTAAGTGAAACATGAGGCCTGCAAATGAGAAAAGGAAGCGCCCTCCACAACACCGGCAGAAGCCAGAGGCCCCCCAACCCTGTGCAGAGTGCTGAGCTGGGCACCCAGCAGCAGGGGTGGAGATTTTGAAACGGGTAGAGGTGACTGTCTTGGCTTGTCCAGTCAGGGATTATTATTGTGCCACCATTGAGGCCCCAAAGAACACTGTAAGTCATCTATTCATTCATTAAACAAGTAAACAAATATTTATGAAGTCCCAGTGCTGGTCAGCATCTTGCTAGGTCCAGGTGGAGGGCCCTATCATGAAAGCCTTTGGGACCAAGCTTGTCTGGGACAGACAGGCTGAACCCAGTTCAGCTGGGGAAAGGCAGGCAGGCCCCTCCATGCCCCAGGAGGGGGTCTCCGCAACCCAGGCTGAAGCCAGTTATATCAGACATTCTGCCTTCATGACCAGGGCCGTTTCTAGGTGGCGGGCTGGCTTGTTTGGGTTTGTTTTTTTTTTTTTTTTTTTTTTTGCTTCCCAGTGAGTTTCTTTCAAAAACATCCACCCATGTCTCCGCTGAACTAAAGAGAAAGGAATTTGTCCAGAGCATCAGGAAAGCAGCCAGAGGAAGTCCCCAGGGACCAGGCGTGGGGCCCTAAGCCACACTGCAGCTGCAGGGAGGAGAGTGAGCCCAGCTTGTGCTGCTGCGGGGTGGGGAGGACTCCTGAGGGGACAAGGGGGAATCAGGGAGCAGAGAGACTAAGGGGGAGGGGGAGGAGGAGACTCAGGGACAGAGGGTGAGGCTCAGTGGGAGAGAAAGGGGAGACAGGGTATGGGGGTAACCAGGAGGCAGAGAAAGTGGAGAAGAGCGGAGGGAGTTGAGGGGGAGGCAGGAACCAAGGTGTAGCCAAGGGCAGGTGAGGGAGGAGGGACTCTGAGCCTGGGCCAGGGGAGTCAGAAGGCCGGAGCCCTGAAGGGCCCCACAGCCCTCCCCGGCCCTGCTGTCTCCATACAATTCTGTGGCCAAGGAGTGAACCTTGCATGATTTCAGCCACCCCACCCAGACACCCCCCACCCTGGAACAAAGGGGAAGTGGCCCCATGGGCCTGCCTGCTTCCAGCTCAGGGCTGGGCTTGGTCACCAGGCAGGCACTTGTTGTAGCAACAGTCCCTGGGGACCCATCCTGGGGAACAGGACTGCTAGCAGTAAAGATGGGGGAGCCAGGGCCCCCATCCCCTCCAGCCCCCAAGGCTGCCCCAGGCCTCATTGACAGCTTCTCTGTAAGTCGCCCCCTCGCCCACTGGTTCTGGGAAGATGGGTTGGCTCGCCTAGCAGCAGGTGTGTTGGGGTGTGTTGCCCAGCAACCAGTAGAGGTGTTCCCAGAGCCTCTTAAGTGGGAGGCAGGGTGGAGAGGACCAGGGCTTTGGCCCTTAGATGCCCGTGGTCACAGGAATCTTTTGCAAGGCCCCTGGCTCCAGCCTAGGCCACCTGAGCCCACACAGTAATCCAGAGAGGGAGGACAGAAGGGCTTCTGGGAAAATCCCTTGAAGTGATCATTGCCTCCTGCTAGTCTGGGCCCTACCTCTGGTGTCTTGGAGGTCCAGCCTTGGATCCTAGAAAGTGGCTGAGCCTGGGCTAGCCTGGGAAGGCTTGCTGGTAGTGCATGTGTGGTGCCGAGCTGTGAGGAGGAGTGGGTGTGGCAGATGGGGCATCCAGTGGAAGCAGCAGCTCAGACTGGGGGCTGGGGCCGCCCCAGTAAGTGCTAACCCTTCTGGTTTGGGCCCCAGTTGCCAAAGCATTTCTTCTTCCCCTTTGGCAAGAATCCCAGAGGACAACCCCAACAAGGGTCATTCCCCACAGGGTGCAGATGAGCAGGCACGGAGTGGGCAAGGGCCTCGCTTCGGGTCGTTCGACAGCTGTGGGCAGAGGCTGGATCAGAACCCAAGGTTCTGGGTTCCAGCCAGGGCTCTTCCCCCACCCAATGTGGGGCATTCCTGAGGCAGCAAAGCTCTAACCAGGGAGGATTCTGGCAGGAGGTGACCAGTGGGGAAGGGTTCTTTGAGGAAGAGTGAACAGGGCCTGTGAGACCAGGACTGGGGCCTGCCCCTCACCACCTGCTGAATGCCCAGCCCTGTACTCACCTGGGCTGAGAGCAAGGGCTGGCCCCAATCTGCTGTCAGCAGAGGCTGGACTCTGGCCCAATACCCAAGGAGTCATGACTGATGGCCTGTCTTGGGATAGCCCGGGGGTCTTCCTGGAGGAGGAGGGCCCAGAATGGAGCCTTGAGGGTCAGGCAGCGTTCAGAAAAGCCTAGGAGGGGAAGTAGGAATGGGAAGCCAGCATCTTCCAGGAAGCCCCGCCCCCACCCCAGCCCAGCCGGTCTCCATTGTCCCAGCCAGGCCCAATTAGCACCTGGCTCCTGCAGGGGCCAATTAGACAGGGGCTGAGGTCAGCTGCCGGCCAAGGCCCTGCCACCCCTCCAAGCTTCACCAAGCCAAGCACAAAAGCTTTCTAGGCATCATCTCTGCTGCAGCAGGAAGGGAAAGAAAGAACAGAAGAAAGGGAAAATTCACTCCTTTTGTTTCTTTGCCATAACCTTGGGCTGAACAAAGAAGCAACTGCCTCCCCTCCCTGGGAGGGCAGCTTCTGTGGAGCAGGAAGTCTGTTTTAAACAGCAATTTGCACAGATTTGTTGTGGTTGGGAGGCCCAGATGACATTCGAGGGGAACCAGGAGCAGAGACCTGGGGTGAGCAGGGCCCTGGTTCTAGAAACTCCTGTGACTCCCCACTGCGCTCTGTTCAGAAGCAGAGCTTCCGGGCCTGGCTGGTGCAAACAGGTGGGCCTGCTCCAGCTCTCTAGCCAGACAGACCTGTGTACTTTGCTGCCTCCAAAGAGCCCAGCCCACATGGGCCTCCACACCTTCCCTCAGTGTTCCCCACCTCTGAAGTCCCACCCAATCCAGTCAAATCTCACCTGCACCTCAAAGGCCCAGCTCCACCCCTCCCCTGCAGGATCCCCTCCCCAACCCTACCCCTGGCCTTGACTTGCACTCCTAGGGTGTGAGCCATGTCCCACACAAGGCCTGCCTCCCACCGGGAACTCTCTGAGTGCAGGGTCTCCCCACCCCCAACAGAGCTGAGCTTAGGGGTACAAACAGCAGCTGCCAGGCCCTGCTGGGGAGCAGGTGGAAGGGAGATATATGCCAGAGTCCAAAATGGGGTTTGGGAAGCTGGGGCCACCCTGGGGTGGTGACAGGTGGAGAAGGGGACCCACCAGTGCCATTGCCTCCTCCAGGCTCCCACCCCCAGGGCAATGCCACATCGCACAGACCACCCTGCCCTCACCTCCCTAACCCTGCCCTCTGTGTCTCAGGAGCGCAGCCTCTCCCACTGGGCTATGCCCTTGCCGCTTCGATATCCCACCCAGCCAATGAGGCTCTCAGTCCTCCCTCGCCTGCCCTCTGGTGGTGATGAGGTTCCAGAGTGAATGGAGGGAAAGAAAGAAGCTTGTCCTCATGGCCAGTGGGTTCTATTGTCCTTCAGTGGCTGGGAAGGGAGCTTGGCTGGGTGGGCAGTGGCAAAGAACTGAGAGGCCAGGGTCCCAGTGGCATTGGCCCGTGTGTTTCTGGGAGTAAGGGGACTTCTTAGCCATGGTGAGCCCCAACCCCTGGGAAAACACTAGTCCCTTTCAGCAAATTTTCAGGCACAACCTCCATCCTCCCCGACTTGTCCCTGAGACGGCCCCTCAGAACTGGGCTTTTGCTCCCTGGTCTCTGGAACTGGAGGAGGCCAGCATCAATTTGCCAGCTGAATTTTCCATTGTATTTTAAAGAAATGTGGTTAATTCGCTTTATTTTATTTTATCTTATTTTATTTATTTATTTATTTTTGAGATGGAGTCTTGCTCTGTTGCCCAGGCTGGAGTTCAGAGGCACGATCTCAGCTCAGTGCAACCTCCGCCCCACCCCCGCCTGCCCCCCAGTTCAAGCGATTCTCCCACCTCATCCTCCCAAGTAGCTGGGATTACAGGCATCCACCACCATGCCTGGCTAATTTTTGTATTTTTAGTAGAGATGGGGTTTCACCATGTTGGCCAGGCTGGTCTCAAACTGCTGACCTCAGGTGATCCACCTCCCTTAGCCTCCCAAAGTGCTGAGATTACAGGCATGAGCCACTGTGCCCGGTGTACTTTTTGTATTTTTAGTAGAGAGGGGGTTTCACTGTGTTGGCTAGGCTGGTCTTGAACTCCTGACCGTGAGTGATCCGCCCCCCTCGGCTCCCAAAGTGCTGGGATTACAGGCGTGAACCACCGCACCGGGCCAAGAAATGTGGTTAATTCCCTTTAAAAGTATTGGGAAATTTAGATTAGCCAAGAGAGACCTCTCTGACATTCAAAGGACACCTACAGGAGTTCTGTTTGGCAAATCTGGCAGGAGCAGGGTCTGGGTCAAAGGATTTGCCTGAGTAAGTCAGGGAGGCAGGGAGGCCCTTCCCTGCCATCAAGGTCTTTAGGAGCTGAAGGGGGAGCATGTGCGTGGCCCTTGGCAGATGAGGAGTGCCAGGCTGGTGTAGGCGAGAAACAGCTTCTGGGCAGAGGTAGGGAAGGCTTTGAAGATAGGGGCCCAGAAGGCTGGGCCCATGGGTGGAGTGGCCAGGGCTAAATTCTGAAAGGGGGTCTAGCTGTGCTGAAAGAGGTGGAAATTCAAAGTTGGAAATTTACCATGAGGGCCAGTGGGAGTCATTGGAGGGGTCTGGAGGCCAGAGAGGATGTTCCAGTTACCTATTGCAATAACAAACTACCCCAAAATGTTATCATTTAAAACGATAATTTTTTCTTTTATTATCACATCTCATAGCTTTGTGGGTCAGGAACTCAGCCACGGCACAGCAGGTCTAAGTCCTCAGCTGGGACGACCTACGGGCAGGGGCGGGAGCAGCCAGGGCTGGGTGGGCCTCGCTCTCTCCCATACACTTAGTTTGGGCTTCCTCACAGTCTCAGGGCAGCAAGGAATTAGCAGCTAGCAGGGAAGAATTGGGGTTACTGCAAGATGGGTCTCATCCCAAGCCCCTGTCCTCACCACTCAGCCCCAACATCTTCCCTGGAGCTAACCCAGGATAGAGGCCCCAGGTTCAAGATTCACTGAGTGACTTCAGGCAAATCTCTGCACCTCTCTGGTCCCAATATCAGAACTTGTGAGATGGGGGTTCCAGGGCTAGAGGTCTTGGAAGGCTGGCTGGACCACCTGGAGGAAGGACATGTGCTCCTGGAACTGGGGAGAGAGACAGCTCCGCACACACCTTCCCCACAATATGAGCTGTGGGCCACTCAGGTTGGCCTCATCCCACCACAGGCTGAAGCTGAGTGTCTGTGGGAGGCGGCTGCCCTCTGCTGACTGCAAAGGCAAACCACATGCAGATGGCCTGGGCCTGCCAGCGATGGATCCTGGGGATCCGGGGAACCCTGAGATTGGGTGGCCGCCCAAGGAAGGGGACAGAGGAGAGGGTGTGTGCCTGGTCCAGCAAACCCACCCTCTGCACCCACTTCAACACTAGCCAGACTGCCACCCACACTACCTCAGACCCAGCAACCTGTCTCAGGCCTCCTTCTCTGGGAGAGTGAAGCCCCTCCCCGCTCCTACCCCTGCTCCAGCCCATACCTCCCCTATGCATCCCTCCCTCTTACCTTCTAAGTCTCCAGGAAATCCTCTCTCTCCACCACTATGCCTCTCCTTGACCCTGTTTTCCTAGCTACCTTTGACCCTTCTCAACCTCACTGTCCCCTCAGACCTTACCCACAGCACCCAGCATTCAGAGCACTGGCCAAGGTCACTTCCTCCAGGCCACACCAAGAGGCTCCCTCTGCAGATCCGGAAACTGCTAAGCCTTCTCTCCTTTTTCCAAAATTCTTTTAAATTGTGAAATGTAACCCATTTCACAATTTAAGAAAAATTGCATTGAACATATAGAACATAATTATTATAAATTATTATATAGCAAATGTCCATGAAACCACCACCCAGGTCAGGAAACAGCATCACCAGCATCCTCACGCCCCTCATGCCCCTCCCAGCCACACCCCTCCTCTCCTGGATGTAATCACTCTGCCAGCTTTCTGTCCTTGCTTTGCTTCTTTATTTTTTTATTTTTTAATTATTTTTTTTATTTTTGGGACACAGTCTTGCTCTATCACCCAGGCTGAAGTGCAGTGGCATAATCTCAGCTCACTGCAACCTCCGCCTCCCGGGTTCAAGTGATTCTCAGGCCTCGGCCTGCCAAGTAGCTGGGATTACAGGCACCCGCCACCACGCCCGGCTATTTTTTGGGCTTTTGTGTAGAAATGGGGTTTCACCATGTTAGTCAGGCTGGTCTCAAGCTTCTGACCTGGAGTGACCTGCCTGCCTCAGCCTCCCAAAGTGCTGGGATTAAAGGGTTAAGCTGCCGGTTGGTTCACGCCTGTAATCCCAGCACTTTGGGAGGCCAAGGTGGGCGGATCATGAGGTCAGGAGTTCGAGACTAGCCTGACCAACATGGTGAAACCCCGTCTCTACTAAAAATACAAAAAAAATTAGCCCGGCATAGTGGCAGGCGCCTGTAATCCCAGCTACTCAGGAGGCTGAGGCAGGAGAATTGCCTGAACCCGGGAGGCGGTTACAGTGAGCCAAGATCACACCACTGCACTCCAGCCTAGGCAATAGAAAGAGACTCCATCTCAAAAAAAAAAAAAAAAAAAAAAAGTGTGAGCCACTGTGCCTGACCTGCTTTGCTTCTTTATACTGTCGCTACCTGAGCATGCCTCTCGAATCACTCTGGCCTAAATTTTCTATTTTTACCTTCATGGAGAGGGCACCGTGACATACACATTGCTTTGCACACGGCTCTTTTGCTCACCTTGATGTATGTGAGGTTCACCCACATCATGGTTTCTTATTGCTCTGAAGTATCCCGCTGTATGGGTCTCCACCTGCCCCTATCTCTGCCCCATAATTCCTCACTCACTTGCCAGTTCTTTAATGTTTTTATGAAGGTGAGTTTTGCTTTGTGTCCCATTCAGACCATCTCTAGCGGCGGGTTCATCTCCATCATCCAAGCCGCAAGACTCAAGCGGAAGGTGGTTGTCCTCCTTTTGAAGCCCTCTTGCCAGCCTGCTCTCGCCGCTTTTCCTCCTACCTCTCTGGCAATTGCGCTAGTCCTGAGAGCTCCTCTCCTACCACCCCTTGTCCTTGAACCCCCTCCTCACTCCACAGTTGCCAGACGCTGAAAATCTGCTCCCTTCCCAAGGCTCCAATGGAACCAGGGCTGTCCTGCCACCTGTCCCCCACCAGGATTCACTCCAGGCTTGATCACCATCAGCCACTGCTGGCCTCCTGCACCTGAGGCCCTGCAGGTACCTCACCCCTAACACGCTCCTCCCCCAACCCAGCTCCCCCTCCTTCCCACTCCAGACCTGCGCCTCCTCCACCCAAAGACCCCAGCTCCTCCTCTCCTCATCCCCCACCTCCTCCTTCTCCCCTCTTCCTCCTTCCCACTCCAGGCATGCACCTCTACCAAAAGGCCCCAGACTTCTCCCACTCCTCCCCCTCCTCCCCCACCTCCTCCTCCTCCACACTACAGGCATGCACCTCCTCCACCCAAAGACCCTAGCCCCCTGCCAACCTCCTGCTCTGCCATCCCCAACCCTCCTCTTCGTTGTTCACTTCACTCTGTCATGCTGAGTCCTCCTTGGTCTGCCTCCACCCAGCAAGGGTCCCTGGCTCCCTGCTCTGGGCCTCCATTCATTTCTCTGTCCATCTTGGTGGCCTGAGGCATCTTGCCACAAACCCCCTCCAGCTTAGGCCCTTCACTGGCCTGCAGGATGGAATCCAAGCTCCTGAGATTGGCCACACCCCTACTTACTCCCCAACCAGCACTCTGCCCTCCAGGAAGTCACCGACTTTGTTCCTGATCATACACTCTCTCTCCTCCCTGCCTTTGCCACAGTGTCTCCTCTGCCCAAGAGCCCTCTCCCCTACCCCGGGTAACACCTGCTCACCCTCCTAGAGTGAGCTCAGGCTATCACCACCTCCAGGAAGGCTTCCTAGACCTGGGGCTAGGAAAAGAGACTCCTGTAAGCTCTCCTCTGTCACAGATGTCACTGCCATCTCCTTGGTGTAGATGGGAGACCATCACAAGCAGGGACGGTCTGGGCTGGTCTGGGCTCCATGGCCCCAGTGTGGACATGGCCTTCAGCAACTGCTGATGACTGTGCTGCTTCCAATGTAGCCTTTACACTGAGTCTCTGTGACCTTGGGAACACTACTTCCAATCTCAGCTTCCCCATTTTACAATGAGTTTATAAGGACCCTAAGTAGCCACAGGTGTCATTGGATGCAGTGCCTCAGATTCTGCCAGAAGCACTTCTTATTTTTTTGCGGGGGGTGGGTAAGGGTTAAGCATTACCCTCTTTAGGCCTCCTGCACCCAAGGCCCTGCAGGTACCTTACCCCCAACACACCCTCCCTAACCCAGCTCCTCCTTCTCCCCACTCCCAGCATAAAAACAAAGACAATCGCCATTCCTCCTCCTTCGTGGGAACTGGTCCTCAGTTTCTATACAATGAAAGTAGTCACATCATCATATCTTCTGTGCCCACTGCCCAGGGTTATAATAAGAACCATTAAAAGTGCGACGGCAGGCAGAATGGCTCATGCCTATAATCCCAGCACTTTGGGAGGTCAAGGTAGGAGGATCTCTTGAGGCTAGGAGTTCAAGACCAGCCTGGGCAACATAGCAAGGCCCCATCTTTACAAAAAATTTAAAAATTAGCCAGGCATGGTGGCACACACCTGTAGTCCCAGCTACTTGGGAGGCTGAGTCAGGAGGACCACTTGAGCCCAGAAGTTCGAGGTTGCAGTGAGCTATGATCATGCCACTGCACTCTAGCCTGGGTGACAGAGTAAGTCTCCATCTTGGAAAACAAGAAAGCACTCAGAAGGTGGTGGAGGAAAAAGAGATGCTGTTGCCAGGCACCCTGTGTGCCAGAGCCTGGGCTGGCACTGTTCATGCCCCCTCTCTCTCCACAGCAACCCCCCTTGGGGTGGGGTGATTTTCCCATTCCACGGATGAGGACGCTAAGGCTCAGAGAACAGCCTCCCTTCCAGAGCCAAAGCGAAGGTGTCGGTGCAGCAAAGGCCACCAGCGCTCAGTGGCAGTGGGGCAATTCAAACCCAAGGACACCTGACATTTCTCACCTGGGCAGGATCTGATAGCTGGGTCTTGGATGGGGAAAGCGCAGTGTCAATGGGTGAGGAGAATGCAGTGGGCACTAGCCTTAGGCACAATGGCTTTGGAGTCAGTCCTTCTAGAGGAGGCTAAGCCTAGGGACAAGACAGGGAAGTGGCTGGTGCCTGACCCTCCCCCAGCAGACTGGAAAGTGGGGAGGGGGCTGGAGGGGAGGGATTGGAGCAGGGGAGTCAGCAGGACCACAACAGGAATCTGGGCCATGGTGTCCTTCCTGTTCTCAAGGCTGGGCTGTGACGCAGAGCATGGCCCTGGGGGTTGGGGAGGCCCAGCTCCAGGCTGTAGGGAGTGGTCAGGGCTGCTCATCTGCAGGCAGTGTCCTCCCAGACCAGCTGTGCTGCTCAAGGTCACTGCTGTGCGGGTGGGGGAAGCCGAGGAGGGAAAGCAGGTCCTTCAGTTTCCCACAGATGTAGAGGGAAGAGAGCATACAGACTGAGGGGTAAGCCAGGGCCGAGATCCCTCTCCATGCCCTGGGGGAGCCCTCTCTCTCAGAGAGCAGCCAGGCTTGGTGGGGGAGGGGGATAGGCACCTGTGGAGGCCTATAGGACTAGTCTCCGAGGAGTGGAGTCCAGCAGGGACCGTCTGACTGAGACAGGGACGCGGCCTCACCAGAAGCCATGCTCTCCCTCCATCTCCTTCCTCGCTCTGGGCCCCAGCTTTCTTTGTCTGTCAAAGCGAGGTGTTAATAACAGAGCTCTGGGCCAGGTGCGGTGGCTCATTCCTCTAATCTCAGCACTTTGGGAGGCTGAGGCGGGCAGATTACCTGAGGTCAGGAGTTCGAGACTAGCCTGACCAACATGGTGAAACTCCATCTCTACTAAAAAGACAAAAATTAGCTGGGCGTGGTGGTGCACGCCTGTAGTCCCAGCTACTTGGGAGGCTGAGGCCAGAGAATGGCTTGAACCTGGGAGGCAGAGTTTGCAGAGAGCCAAGATTGTGCCACTGCACTCCAGCCTGGGTGATGGAGTGAGACTCCGTCACAAAACAAAAATAAAAATAACAGAGCTCTGCTCATGCCCCAAAACAGCTGAGTTGGAGAACAGGAGGGTCTTAGAAAAAATGACCCTCTGAATGAGAAGAGGGGGTGATCAGACCCATGGGGTGGGCTGAGGAACTGGCAGCCCCCTCCCCCAGGACTCACTCCATGAGCATGCTCACAACCCGGTTATGGACAGGATCGTATTAATTTGCCACATGCACTTTCCTTTCACAATAGAGCGTGGCCATCTCTGTGTGTCAGTATAATAAAATCTGGGTCATCCTTTGTGACCACAGCCTGTGGTGCAGAGACTGAGCATGCCCTCATATAAGACCACAAGCTGTGCTGCAGTGAGCATCCCTGCATGCATTTTCCTGGATGTGTGTGTGCGTGTTTCGCTGGAAGCCAAGAAAACCCATTTGGATGCTGCTGTAATTGTCCAGGGCAGATATGCTAAGAGCTTGAACCAGGCTGGGCAAAGAAAGAAGGGGCCAAATTTCCTTTGCCAAAATATCGTGTGCTTCCTTTGGTCAGTCCCCCATCAGTAATGGGCTGCCATAAACTGAAGATTTAGAGCACAGCAAAGGAAGGGCCTGGGAGCTCTGGGGGCAGCAAGGAGGAAGAGGAAGGGGTCTGACCTGTTGATTAAAGCAGTGATTAGAATAGAAATGGGTGTGGAGGAGAGCAGCAGCCTCCAAATTATACCTGCCTGGGCAGGGGCTTCACGCACCAACTCTTGAGCCTCACAGCAACACCAGGCATCTCCGTGTGAGGACTCTGAGGCTCAGAAAGGTGAAGGGGCCTGGCTGAACTCACACTGCATGTGAGTGGCCAAGCTGGCCTGCTGATCTGGGCCTGACTGCAAAGCCCTGTGTGTGTGTGGTCTCTAGACAGAGTCTCTCCATTAACAATGCTGTCCGAGGACACCAGATGGGCAGATCTGGAGGAGCCAAGACCTGGAACTCAACAGGGGCAAGTGCTGGAGAGATGAACCTGGCACTGGTGCAATTAGAGGGAGCCCAACCAGAAGGCTAGACAGTGGCAGGTGACAAGTGGTGTCTGGTGGGCCCCTGCTGCCAGGAGACCCCTGCTCTCGAAGCCATGGCCTGCCATGCAGCAGGTGGGAGGCAGTGGCTGAGAAGGCAGGCCATATCCGCAGTCAGCATGAGGCCCAGGTGGTTGCTGGGGGCCGAGCTCTGCTTCCTGGAGGTGTGAGTCCCCACCCGTATGTACACAGCCTCCCACAGCTTCAGGAAGCCCACAGCCACAGGGGCTCAGCAAACGCAGGAGCAAACTCACTTCCCCATGCCCATTTCCTCCCCCATCCCAGCTCCCACCTGCTGTTCCTCCATCCAGACCTCTCTGGCTTCACATCGAGGTTGCAGTGAGCTATGATGGTGCCACTGCACGATCCTTTTCTATTTTGTGCTGTTCAGATTTAAGAAACTCCCTTTGTGAAACTTTATAAATAACAGTAGGGAATTTCTGCTTATAAAACAAATGCATATAAATATAGCCTATTAATTTTCATATATATATATATATACATGCACATGGGCAGGCATGATTTTTTCTCTCGATTGGGGATTGCACTGATCATTCCTTTTTGTAGCCTGCTTTTATCACTTCTCAGCGTATTGTGAAGTGTCCACATATGGAGGCCTCATGGCAGAATTGCACGGCTCTTCAGAACAGAGGCTCAAGTCCCTGCAGGCCTGGATTTCAGACCCTGGCTCTATCACTAATCAGTCTTGTAACTGAGCAAGTTACTCACCTCTCTGGGCCTTGGTTTCCGCATTGGTATAACGGAGATAATAGTACCTATCCACGCAGGTCTGATGAGAGGACTGAGGGAGGGCACATAAAAAGCTTAGAAGAAGACCTGGAACACAGTGAATGCTCAATGAGCATCAGACATTAGGATTGCTGTTGTTCCTGACCTCATGGCTGACTCCAGCCCCCAGCCCCACCTCATACCCCACATCCTGTAGCTGGATCCCAGCCTCCACTAAGCTCTAACCTGGGTCTCCCAGGGTGACCTTGGGTCCTCTGACTACTGAGCTGTTTGGAGGGCTGATGCCCAGTCACCTTCCAAGTGGCATCCAGTGGGATTTCTGAGAGGTTCTTCCCTGGGTTCTCAGTGACGTGAGGAATGAGAGGAGTTAGAAGATGGGGAAGGAGGAGGGAAAAGGTGAAGAAATAGCTATGATCGAGCCAGACCCTGCAAACCTGGCCCTGGATCTTCTCAAGTCTCCATTGCCCATAGGCCTCCTCCCCTGTGTCCACACCTGGGGTTTCCCCCTGAGTTGGTATCACAGGACGTGATGTGGCCCCGGGGAGAGAACATTAGTGTGGCTGCCCTCACATGGCCAGGATGGGTGAGGATCAAGTCATAACCACCCTTCCAGGGAGCTGCTAAGACTTAGGGCCATGGCTTGGGGCTCCTGGTGCTCACTGGCCTTGTGGGGGACCCACTGACTTTCAAGTGTAGATGTGGATGTGGGACCAGGGTTGCTATGGGGCAGTGGGCTCAGCTCTGGGCTCTGGGATCCACAGGAGATGAACAACTACCGGCGGGCCATGCAGAAGATGGCAGAGGACATCCTGTCTCTGCGGAGACAGGCCAGCATCCTGGAAGGAGAGAACCGCATACTGAGGAGCCGCCTGGCCCAGCAGGAGGAGGAAGAGGGGCAGGGCAAAGCCAGTGAGGCCCAGAACACGGGTGAGGATGTGCAGGCCACCAAGGGCACCCGGGCTTCTGCCTGGGCCCAGGCTCCAGGTTGTGCAATAGGGTGGCTGGGAGCTTCTCCCAGATGTGCATGCTGCTGGACTCTGGCAAATAGGAGCCCCTCGCCCACAGACACTCACACAGTCCCTGCCCAGCTGGGTCCTCTCAGGGATGGGAAACAGAGAATCCAGTCCCGTCCCAAGCCCTCGGGCCAAGGGATATCTGCCTTCCTGCTACTGACCATGCTGATTTGAGCTGGGAGAGGCTTCCTCCCTGAGCCAGCTCCCCAACCCACCTAACAGTGTCCATGAAGCAGAAACTGCTGCTGAGTGAGCTGGATATGAAGAAACTGAGGGACAGGGTGCAGCATTTGCAGAATGAGCTGATTCGAGTGAGCTGGGGCTTGTGGGGGCAGAGGGGAGGGAGCTATGGTGGGGGAGCATCGGGGTGAGAAGAGTCTGGGAGGAGAAGGGAGAACAGGCACAGAGGGAATGGAAGCACGGAAGAAAGGGGGACCAGCCTGGTGGAGGATTCAGCAGAGGGGCCGAGGTGGACCCTCAGGGCCAAGGTGGACTCCCAGGCACCCATTCTCTCCCCTTCTCTCCTCCCCCATCTCACAGAAGAATGATCGAGAGAAGGAGCTGCTCCTTCTGTATCAGGCCCAGCAGCCACAGGCCGCTCTGCTGAAGCAGTACCAGGGCAAGCTGCAGAAGATGAAGGCGCTGGAGGAGACTGTGCGGCACCAAGAGAAGGCAGGTGGCAGAGGGGCTGCCCCCGAGGCCAACTGATGATGGCAGAGTAGGGAGCCCCTGGGCCAGCCCAGCCTCTGCTCTGCTCTCCAGGTGATCGAGAAGATGGAGCGGGTGCTGGAGGACAGGCTGCAGGACAGGAGCAAGCCCCCTCCTCTGAACAGGCAGCAGGGAAAGCCCTACACGGGTGGGTCCACACCCTGATGTGATCAGCTCCCCAGCTTCTGCTCCACCCCTGGAGGCCCTGCCTTCCTGGAGCCTCTCAGCTTCAGGAGAACCTGCGAAGAGGTCCCCTGCACTCAGTTATGTCTGTGGGCCTGGGAGACCCAGGATTGCCCTGCTCCCCTCCTCATTCAGGCGCCCCATCCAGAGATCCCCTGAGCTCCCTCCTTCCCTGGAAGCCCCTCAGAACACAATTGGGATGCAGTGTGAGCCAGGCTAGAAAGAGGGTGGACCTCCAGAGGAGGGCCCTGCAGACTAGCACAGCAGAGAGGGCCTTCCCCTGAAGAAGGGCCACCTGGGGCAACACTTCCCAGCTCCTAGCCCCAGGATCCGTCGAATTATTTCCCCATACCGCCAAAGATTCTGCCTCTGCAAAGCAAACAAACAAAAATACTTTGATTAAATCAATGATCTGGGGCCAGGCGCAATGGTTCATGCCTGTAATCCCAGCACTTTGGGAGGCCGAGGAGGGCAGATCACTTGAGGTCAGGAGTTCAAGACCAGCCTGGCCAACATGGTGAAACCCCATCTCTACTAAAAATACAAAAATTAGCTGGGCATGGTGGCGGGCACCTATAATCCCAGCTACTTGGGAGGCTGAGGCAGGAGAATCACTTGAGCCCAGGAGGCAGAGGTTGCTGTGAGCCAAGATTGTGCCACTGTACTCCGGCCTGGGTGACAGAGGGAGACTCCGCCTCAAAATAAATAAATAAATAAATGATTTGGAGGTTTTCTTCCCCATCGATATTAACCAAAAGCCACCTAAAACTGCCAATCAGCCTCTGATAAGCAGAAAGGACCAGGTAACACCATATCAGGCCAGCCCAAAGCAAGGGATTTCCCTGAGCCTGCCTGTGCAACCTCACCCAGGGCCCCTGTGTGCCCAGCCCTGTGCTTAGCCTTCACCGCTGAGGGTCTCAGGGGCAGGAGGGTGTTTCTAGGAGCCTTTAGAATGCAATGAAAGCTGGGCTGGCCTTTCAGGAAGCCTGAGGTCATCCAGGAGTCTGGATGAGACTGAGAAGGCAACCTAGGGAGGGGAAACAGCCAGATCAAAGGCCCAGGGAGTGAGAAGAATTCCAGGATCAGAGAAGGGAGGAAGAGAGAGAGGTGAGGAGCTGAAATACACTGAAGACAAATGAGGAGTTAGAGAGAACGTTGAGGTCAGGTTCTAAAGAGCCTAGAAGGACAGCCTGTGTGCACCTGATCCCACTGGTGGTAGGGAGCCATTGAAGGCTTGGGAGTAGAGGGGAGGGGTGGCAGATTGAAGCAAAATGCTGGAGCAGATCAGGACAGGGACATGGGAAGCAGGAGAGCCCATCTCACCAACATCTGTGGCCGTGTCTCTAGGCTTCCCTATGCTCTCAGCCTCTGGCCTTCCCTTGGGTTCTATGGGAGAGAACCTGCCGGTTGAACTTTACTCGGTGCTGCTGGCAGAAAACGCGAAGCTGCGGACGGAGCTGGATAAGAACCGCCACCAGCAGGCCCCCATCATTCTGCAGCAACAGGCCCTGCCGGTAAGAGGCCCTTGACCTGGGCCTGCCTATGCCGGTCACTGGGTGCCCAGAAATCACCCATGGTACAACCCAAGTTGAAGATCAAGACCAGGAGCTAAGCTTCCCAGGGTCTCCAGTCTGCCTGGGGGCTCCTGGAATCAGCTCTCAGGCCTTGGTCTTTTTCTCCTGCGGAATGTGTGTCCCCGAACACTTCACCTTTAACCTCATCTAGCATCCCAGGAGAAAGCAAGCCCCTTGTTGACCCTTGGTCCCTGAACCCTGACCCCTTTTTCACCTGGCTGGCCTCCACCTGGACCCTACACAGGCCTCTCAAAACTCCCTTCTGGAGCATTCCCTGGTCTTGGTGCAGCCTTGGAGAGCCCTTTTCCATCCCAGGTGGACCCCGGGGAGTTGGGAGCAGGAGGAGACTTGACAGAGAGGCTACAAGAGACGCATGGCCCAGGCCACTCAGAGTGCACAGAGACCCTGCCCGCACAGGTGGGTGGCCCAGGGCCCAGAAATGCCCAGGCCCTGCTCCACCTCTGAAGATGCTTCAGGGGCCCCTTGCTTTACATAAACCCCAAAGCAGAACATTTGGAATCACAGAATATTGGGCAGGGCAGGGGCACAGGAGAGTTTTCTCTCCATCCCAGGACTCGCCGGAGGTGAGTTCTGTTGAAAGCACACCTGACTCATGGACATCCAGGTAAAGTGTGAGGGATGAGGTCAACTGCCTCACAGGTTCTTCACTTCACTCAAAGACTCCCAGTGCGTTAATTATAGGGGGCTCCCTAATGCATTTTACATTAAAAAAAATGTTGTGTCAAAACTTCGTATTCTCAAAATCTGTGTGGGAAACAGCTGTGAAAAAAGCACATGCCAGACCCTGTTCTGAACTTCCAGAAGAGGGTTCGGCCCAGGTCTGACGCTCTGCCTCGGGAGCTCAGTCTGAACTCAGGCCTGACTGGTTTCTTCCTCAATACCTTATGGTTTCCCAAGCTCACACTGCCACAGCCTCCAGCTGGGGCCAAATGTGAGTTTGTGCTTTGCCCACAGGATCTCCTCTCTGGTACTTCAGACAAGTTCAACCTCCTGGCCAAGCTGGAACACGCTCAGAGCCGGATCCTGTCCCTGGAAAGCCAGGTGGGTGAGATGCAGGAGTTGATGAGGCTGGATCAGGCTCACCACACAGCCTATAACCAGGGCTCAGTGTGTGAGCAGAGTCTAGGCTCAATCTATGACCAGGATCAAGGCTTAGTGTGTGGCCAGGGTCGGGGTTCAGTGTGCAACCAGGGTCAGGGCTCAGTGTACAACCAGGGTTAGGGTTCAGTGTGTAACCAGGGTCAGGGTTCAGTGTACAACCAGGGTTAGAGTTCAGTGTGTTACCAGGGTTAGGGTTCAATGTGCAACCAGGGTCAGGGTTCAGTGTACAACCAGGGTTAGGGTTCAGTGTGTGACCAGGGTCAGGGTTCAGTGTACAATCAGGGTCAGGGCTCAGTGTACAACCAGGGTTAGGGTTCAGTGTGTGACCAGGGTCAGGGTTCAGTGTACATCCAGGGTCAGGGTTCAGTGTGTGACCAGGGTTAGGGTTCAGTGTGTGACCAGGGTCAGGGTTCAGTGTACAACCAGGGTCAGGGTTCAGTGTGCGACCAGGGTTAGGGTTCAGTATACAACCAGGGTCAGGGTTCAGTGTGCAGCCAGGGTTAGGATTCAGTGTGTGACCAGAGTCAGCGTTCAGTGTGCAACCAGGGTCAGGGTTCCGTGTACAACGAGGTTAGGGTTCTGTGTATGACCAGGGTTAGGGTTCTGTGTATGACCAGGGTTAGGGTTCAGTGTATATCCAGGGTCAGGGTTCATTGTGTGACCAGGGTCAGGCTCTGTCTATGACCAGAATCAGGGATCAGTGTGGACTCAGGATCAGAGCTCAGTATGTTGTTGAAATGTCCATCTGTGTCTTGGTCAGGCTGCCTGACTGTTTGGCCCCCTCACCCTCACCCCGCCACCCCTGAGGTCTCGGGAAGGTGTCAAGCCCACATGGCCCAGAGCTTTGCTTTCTGCCTGGACAGCAGGCTCAGGCCCTGGTTGTCCTGGCCATCAGGGATTAGCCCTGCTGCCCATGGTCCTCCAATTGTCCCTCTCTGTGTCTGCAGTTAGAGGACTCAGCTCGACGCTGGGGACGAGAGAAGCAGGATCTGGCCACACGGCTGCAGGAGCAAGAAAAAGGTTTCAGGCACCCCTCGAACTCCATCATCATAGAACAGCCTGTGAGTGACCCCCCTGGAGTAGCTCCCAGGGGTTCAGGTGGTGGAGCAGGAAGCCACCGCACCCCCAAAGTCACTGGGCCCTGAGAAAAGCCATTGTGGAGCCAACTCCAGGGCTGGGGGTCAGGAGTCCTAGGCTCCCATTCCTGCTCCATTACCAACCGAAGGCTCGGTCTTAATTCCCCCACCTGTCTAAGGGGAACAGAAAACCCCTGCCAAAACTACCCTTTCCCCCATGGGGTGCTGTGAAACTCAAGGAGATGACTGTGGATGAGGGGTCCATGCAGGCATCTCCAGGATGCCCTGACACTGTGCTTTAGGACTGGCTGCGCTCATGGGCAGAGTAGCTTGTGGCCCTACCCCCCTGAATCCATAGAGCCTAAGATTCTCAAATTAGCACACCCTTCTCAGATGGCCACGATGTAGGCTCCACTTTGCCAACTTCCCGAGAACAAACAGGCCTGCTCACAACTGCCCCTCAAGTTCAACCCCGGGACCGCCCAGCCCCGCAAAGCAAAGACCCTGACTTCTCCTGCTCTTGAGCCAGCTGTGCTTTGCCCGTGGCCAGAAGCTCAGCAGCGGCTCCTGGGAAAGGCCTGGAAAGGATGAGGGAACAGGCAAGGAACAAAGGCAACCTTTGCACACTCACCTGAGCCCTGGGGACCCTTGGAGAAATTAGGTGTCACCTGCTGTGGCAAAATGGGTTTAGAAATCTTTGCCAGGTCATGGCCCACTGGATTCTGGATACTCTGAGGCCTGGTTTGTCAGGCAATATGCCCTTGAGCAGGTCACCCCCTGGGAATGGGGGGTACTCACGCACCCCGCTTTGCACACCACAGAGTGCCCTCACCCACTCCATGGACCTCAAGCAGCCCTCAGAGCTGGAGCCCCTGCTGCCCAGCTCAGACTCTAAGCTCAACAAGCCCTTGAGCCCCCAGAAGGAGACCGCTAACTCTCAGCAGACCTGAGCCCCAGAGCAGGCCTCCTTCCCTGTGTGCTGGGGAGTCTCATCACCGCCCCCTAAAAATGACGTTATTAAATGTTGTAGCTCTGTGAGCATTTTCCTCTTTCCTGGAGCAGGGCAGCCTGGGGGCCCTGCTTCCTCCTCCTAGACCTCACTCTGGGCCTGGGCCTGGGTCTTCTGCTGCAGCCTTACAGCCTCCCGCCTGCCCCAGGAGCCAGCATCTTTGGAAAGCCAAGGGCCACAGTGGACCCAGGAGGGTGGAGAGAAGAGGCCTTCCAAAGCAGGGGCCAGGGAGACGGGCCCCTTCCAGACCCGGAGAAGAAGCAAGGCCACCAGAGACCAGCTCTGTTGGGAAATACGAGGGAGGCTTGTCCTTTTCATCTGCCCCAAAACATCTATCATGTCTGATATTCCTTCTTTCAAGTTTGGTTTGTCTGTCTCTTGGAAAGGGAAAGACTTGGAGGCTTGAAGCCTTCCTGTGGCAGTCACGTATCATTGTGAAATACTCCATTAAGCCACTAGGCTGAGCTGGCAATGATGTGTCCAAATGTAGCCGGGGCAGGAGAGCAGATTGGGCCAGGGGAAAGGAGGCACCTACAGGGAGTCAGGAGGCCCAGGTTCTGGGGGCAAACAGGCTGTGTGACCTCAAGGGACCCAAGCAACCTCTCTGGACTTCAGTTTCCCCATCTATTCCATGTAGAGCTTGACCTCATTGGCTGTAAGCCTCTTTCCAGCTATAACATTTCTGAGTCAAAGCTGACTCAGGACCAGAGAAGAAAAAGGACACAGGAAGGAAAGACAAAGACAACAGGGAAGAGGATTTTGTGGTGGGGAAAGCAGAAGGGCTCCAAGAGTGGATCCAGATCCCACAGCTTCGGGCAGGAGAGGCCAGGCCAGCTGGACCACTGGCCTCAGCTGGACTAGCTCCCCCACCTGCCTGCAGGACTTAGACTTGGATAGCCGAGGGCCAAGAGGAATCAGGTCAGGAGTTGGGAGACCCCAAGGGATTAGGGGGCGGAAGTCGAGACCAGTGTCATTCAGTCCAAATGACAAACCAGCGGCTCTGCTGCAGAATAGTATCCCCACCTCCCACCCTTGGACAAGGGGGCGCAAGCCCCCAGAGCAAGAACACGAGGCCTGGAGCAAGCCCAGAGGAGGCCCGGGAATGGTAAAGGAAGCAGGCTGGCCTCTCATCCCCAGTCAGCCACCTCACACCAGCCCTTCAGTAGCAGGGGTTCTCACCCACAGTTCTCGGCCTTTGCCATGCCCAGGACTCTGGCTGGGCCTTGGCAGGAAGTCCTCATGCCCCACAGGGAACTCCCACCCAGAGTTCACCCAAGCAGAGCCCTGTGCGAGCCTTACCCCTGTGGGGCAGGTCCACTCAGAAAGGCAGTACTGGCCCACACTTCTTGGGGCCACCCACAGAACTCCCCAGTTCTCCTTTGTCCTTCTGCCTGATGCTTCTGTAGCTCCTGGCACAGTAGCAGTTGCCTCCCCTCCTCTGCCCCACTCTGCCTCACCCCTTGCCCCAGGGAGCCTGGAGTTGATTCTGCTGGCTCCTGAACTGCCATGGGTGAGGGGGTCCCAGCAGAGGTGGCTTCAAGTGTGGCTACCTGGGGTCTCCTGAGCATGCCCAGATCCTGCTTTAACACAGGAAGCATCTCCACGGGAGTGATGAACACCTAATGAGTCTGATGGAACGCAAGACACCACATGGTTCAGCTGTTTATTGTCTCCATGGGGTGGGTGAAGAGGAGTGGCCCAGCTGAGCTGAGGAAGGTGACCACTGAGAACCCATTCAACCTGCTGAGCAGGCTGGGCAGAAAGGAGCAGGACTTGGGACAGACGACTGAAGATGCAGAGACCCCATGGGCCCCACCCCTGGGCCTTCCTCCCATGTGGCTGCAGGCCATCCTCTCTGATCACTGCTGGGTTGCTTCCTGGTTAAAGGGCCAGAAGGTGAAGGAGATGGGCTTTTCAGGCATCAGAATGAGGTTGAATGTGGTGCCCACATCGCTGAGGTGTTGGATTTCAACTCTGAAGTTCTCCAGCATCTGAGAAAGGCAGATGGTAGGTTTAGGGGAGGGCAGGGGAGGATCTGTCTCCCTAGCCAGGCCAATTCACCCATAGGCAGTGCCTGTGGAGTGTGATTTGAGGAGTTCCAAGGAGTTCACCACCAGCTCCTGGTGTAACCCTGCACAGTGCCTGATAATGCACCCTTAGTGCTGCATTTCCTTGATTTAGGCCTAGACCTTAACTTGTCTACAAACCTCAGTCCTATCCCATCCCATCACCACCATGGGGAATGGATGGCCAGGGGCATCAGTGGGTGATGAGTGGTTGAGCCCGAAAGAGGGGGCAGCAGAGAACTGTGGGAGAGAGCGAGAGCAAGTAACTGGAGGTAGATGCGCCCCAGCACTGACATCCTTGGGCTCTGGACAGAGATAGGAGGAGGAAGATTGGTGCCTTCATTAGGGCCAGGGCCAGCCCAGGGTGCCTAGATGTCCCCAGCTTGACTCACATTGATGAGGAAGATGGTCATCTCTAGCTCAGCGATCCGCCGTCCCAGACACTGCCGCACACCCCAGCCAAAGCCCAAGTTCCGGAAGTAGGTGATGTTCTTGTCTTTGCTCAGCCATCGGGTTGGGTCAAAATTTTCCGGGTCGAAGAAGAAGGTGGGCTCTCGGCCCAGAGCATAGATGGCCACTTGCACCAGTGTCTGGGGCAAGGTGATCAGAGGCCTGAGTAAGCCCCACTTCCCCACAGCCCTGAGCACAAAACCCCCTTCCCTAGTCCCCTGCCCTCTCACCACCACTCCCACTCCCCAGCATGGCTGCCCAGCTCTCCAGGGCAGGACATTCTGCCCACTGTGCAGCCTTGAACAAGGCCCCGCCCCTCTGTAATCCTTACCCACCAAATGGGGATGGCTGAAGACCCAAGGCCAGGATGATTGTCCCACCCTTTCCTCAGACCCAGGCAAATCATGAAGTCTCCCTCCTAACCCTGGGTTCCAATAACATCCTAGAGGTCACCGCCCACCATGCCCACCACCTCTGCCCTTCATTCAGACTTAGACTGCTGCCATCAAGGGCCCCACCAGGGCCCCAGTGCCACCCTCTGTCTGCAATTCCAGCCTGCCCCAGCCCTCTCTGACTGGCAGAGCCTGCAGCCTGCTGGCTGCACCTACCTTGGCAGGAATCATGTAATCTCGAAGAACCAAGTCATTTACAAGATATCTCTGCAGGGTCACGGAGATGGGGTGAAGTCTGCGGGAGGAGGGCACTCAGAAGCTGATGGCCCCAAAGGCTGGACACAGCCGCCGGAGCCCCACACCCTGTGTGGCATCTCAGCCCTAGCTGCAGCAGCCTGGGGGGACCTGGGGGTAGGGCCCTGGCTCTATTTCTTTCTCCTCCAGACTTTTCACTTCCTGCTTCCAACCTCCTCCACCAGCCCATCCTCGTAACCCTTTCCCCGGGCACTTCCCTGGCCCTGCCCAGGGATTGGAGTTGGGGGCGGCATGGGTGGTTGTGGGCTTGCCTTAGTGTCTCCTTGATGCTGGCTTTGAGGAGGGGGACCAGCTGTAGCATCGTGGCCATGTCTCCCTGGGCCTGGTGCCGCGCAGCCAAGACCTCTGCCCGCAGCATATCCTGCACCTTCAGGTTGCGTGCCATCTCATACAAGTGCCACTGCAGGGTCATGGACGTCTGGTGGGGAGTAGGGTATACAGAAGACCAGGAGGGCCTGTCACTCCGGGGCCCCTTGAGGTCCTTGACCCCATGGTAAATTTTCATTTCCAAGAACCTCTTTCTCCCCGAACCCCATCCCAGTCTCCAAGACCATCCTCTGCAAGAGCAAAACACATTCCATTGTCTAAAAGGCAAATGTCCAAGAAGCCTTTCTTGCCGGCCAGGCAGGAACATTCAGGGCAGCACTTGTCCCTGCCCTCGTCCCTCATGTCACCAAAAACCCACCCATGTCCACAGTGAGTAGAGTGTCAGCTACACAGCCAATGCCTTCTTCCAAAGAATTCCAGAGGCCCTTAGAGGCCAAATCCTTCTGTAATGATTGCACTCCAGAATGACTGCCATTCCTTTTGAAATGCCTTGTTAAACAACCACCCCTCTTTCCAGTAGAACTTCCTAAAACCTTAGGCTTCACCTATAGCAACATGGCTTCAAGTAAGGCTCAAAGAAGCTGAAACCAGACCAGCCGGATGTTTCCTATCAGTGTTGCAATTAGGGTGTGGTGTGTGTTGAAATTAATCAGCTAATCTCAACGTAAGCCAGAGGCTGTGACCACTAGCCCTTCGCCAGAGATCTGAGTGACCCTCATCAAACCCCACAGTCCCAGATTCCTCAATGATGACAAACCAGGCCCGTTTGGGAC
Organism: Homo sapiens; assembly: GCF_000001405.40. Lineage (NCBI taxonomy): Eukaryota > Metazoa > Chordata > Mammalia > Primates > Hominidae > Homo > Homo sapiens. Next base: position 169,705 of record NW_021160016.1, read on the forward strand.
TCCAGCCTGGAGCAGCCCTCCCTCCTGGGGACTAGGACATGGGTTGTTGACACATTATCTTACCAAGGATCATATTTTTGTCCAACAGACTTAGACACCCACCTCCCTCCTCCTGGCAGGGGCAACAATGACAAGCTGTGAGGTACCATTTATTAAGCATATATTATATGGCAGGCAGGGTCCTAAGCTGTTTACATATGTTACCTCGTTTAATACTCACAAACAAACCTCTAAGGTATGTTACCATCATCCCCCTTTTTCAGATGCGGAAACTGAAACAACACACAGCTCCTTCTCAGCTTAAAATCCTTGCCTGGCTCCCCAGAGCCTCCAGATGAAATACAGAGGCTCAGGCCTGAGCCACAGGGCCCCTCAACACCTGCCTGCTGCTCCCCAATACCCCACTCCCCACCTCTCTCCAACACACACCTAATGTTCCAGCTACATGGAGTGGCACACAGCCCCTGAAGCCCAGAAGTCTTCCCCACGCTAGGTCCTCTTCCTGGAATTCCCTTCCCCGCCTAAGAAGGAAGGATGTGCTCCCTCTGCAAGACTCTAATCAAATGTGTGTATTCATCTCAGTACTGCCAAGGCCTGCCATAGAGATGTACTTGGGATTTAATAAGGTGGTTAACTATGTTACTAGCTGTGTGACCTCGACCAAGTTATTTAACCTCTCTGTGCTCTACTTTCCTCATCTGAAAAAGGGGGATGATGGTAACATACCTTAGAGGGTTGTTTGTGAGTATTAAATGAGGTAACATATGTAAACAGCTTAGGACCCTGCCTGCCATATAGTATGTGCTTAATAAATGTGACCTCACAGTAATCGTTTCTTTGGTGCCGGTGAGTGATTTTTGAAGATCTCTTCTACGTAATAGACAATGAACTATGTTTAAGGTATGCTCAAAGGCTCCATTTGCAGTCTGTCTCAGGGATGGAAACTCCTTCATCAGAGTGTAACACAGATATAATACCTGGGAATGAAAGTGATTCACCCAGGGGGCTTGACATGTGCTTCTCCCTAGTCCTGAAATGCTATTCCTTCTCTCTCCTCCTGGCAACAGCCTGCAAGACACGCACGTTGAATTTTAGCTCCTCTGTGGAGCCTTCTCCGTGTCCTTCATGGCCACATTAGCCACTCCCCACCTCTCAGCTTTGTCAGTGGCAGGTGCTTGCCTCTGTCACTGCAGTGTGCTATTCCTCCGTTCACACTGCTGCCTCCCTGTTATAGGCTGAGCTGTATACCCCCTCCCAAAATTCATCTGCTGAAGTCCTAACCCTCAGAACCTCAAATGTGACTATATTTGGAGATAGAACCTTTAAAGATTTTAAAGTAAAATGAAGTCCTTGAGGAGGATCCTAATCCAGTTCTGATTAGTGTCCTCATGAGGAGAGACAATTCTGACACAGACACAGAGGGAAGCCCATGTGAGACAGAGGGAGAAGACGGCCATCTACAAGCCAAGGAAAGAGGCCTTTAGAATGCACCAACCCTGCCAACACCTTGACCTTGAACTTCCAGCCTCCGGAACTGTGAGAAAATCAATGTTTGTTGTTTAAATCGCCCAGTCAATGCCATTTTGTTACAGCGGCCCTAGCAAACCAGTACACCCCTCCCCTCTGAGCCACGTGAGGACATTTGAGGTCTACTGTATTCCTTTTGAGATGGAGTCTCACACTACCACCTGAGCTGGAGTGCAGTGGTGCGATCTCGGCTCACCACAATCTCTGCCTCACGGGTTCAAGCGATTCTCCTGCCTCAGCCTCCTGAGTAGCTGGGATTGTAGGTGCCCACCACCAGGCCCAGCTAATTTTTTGTATTTTTAGTAGAGATGGGGTTTCACTATGTTGGCCAGGCTGGTCTCGAACTTCTGACCTCATGATCCGCCCACCTCTGCCTCCCAAAGTGCTGGGATTACAGGCATGAGCCACTGCGCCCGGCCAGGACTGATTATTCTTAATATCCAAAGAAAGAAGTTTCTAGGGTGCCATGCTGCTATGGAAAGAGCACTGGGGATGCCTCTGGGCGTTGGGGGCACCGTAGGGTACTGAGGTCTGGAAAGGGGAGGAGGAAGGACAACAAAAAGACCATGGACGGCAGAGCCCACAGCAAATGCCTCGGCCTCCCAATGTTTCCGGGCTCCTGCCTGCTTCCCTGGATTTGAGTGAGTGTGTTCTCCACCAGGAGCTGGGGGCATTGTCCTCCATCAGCAGGGCTCTGATAGAGCAAGCCTCCAGAGGGGACCTCCTCCTGTGGAGACTCTACGTGGAACCTGGACCTCACCACCATGCCCGGCCACTCCTCTCTCACAGGCAAAGAAAAATAGCTGATCATCCTCAAATCATGCCCTGGGTGACTTGACTTTGACCCCACCATCTTAGGAGATTAGCGCTTTGGAAATGGAGGCAAGGAGGAAGACATATCCTACATGAGTAGGAACGCCTTGAACAACAGGGTTTCAGACAACGAGGGGCCTGGTGGGGAAGGGGCACGTGGGCACAGGGGGCAACAAGGTGCCGCCCCTACAGCCACCTCACCGTGTCCACCCCTCCTGCCAGCATCTCTGTGACGTTGGCCTTGATGTCCTCGAAGGACATCTTGCTGTCTCCCAGGAGTCTGTAGAGGATGCCACGGTAATCGTGGTGAACACTTCCTTTCTGTCTCAATTCCCAGTAGAAGTTCTGGGTGTATATGTCAGCTGTGGGGAAGGAGGAAAGAAAAAAGAGTGAGGTTCCCTGCAGGCGGGTGGGAAGGAGGGCAGTCTGTGGTGAAAGGTGGCACCAAGGGCCTGGGGATTCCGGAGCCCTGTGCTTCTTAGGCTGCCGTTTTACTGAGCACGTACTCTGTACTAAGCCCTTCATATCTGTTTTTTCATCGAATTCTTGGGGTATGTGACATCATCCCCATTTTACAGATAACAGAGGTGCAGAGACATAGTCACTTGCCCAAGGTCACATGGCTGTAAGGGGCAGAGGTGGGATTTGACTCTGCCATACCCTGACGAGCCTTCTCCACCCAACCTTCCCCATCTCTCCCACCCAAGTCCCTGTCATCCAGCACAGCCGTGGCTCAGACACTGGTCCTTTGCCCTCTGGGGAGCATGAGCTCCTTTGAAGAAGATCACAGATGTCTTTGCTCCTCTTTTTCCAGAAAAATCTAATAATCCCCAACAGCCAGCCTTCCATCCGCCATTTCCAGGGGTCCCAGGGCCTTCCTGACACCCACGCCTGCCCGCCACAGTGTGGGTTTCCTACAGGTCAAGTCAGCGCCCATTGACATAGCGTGGGACAAAGGAGCCGGCTGAGGCCTGGGGCTCCGAGGAGGAGAGCACAGCCAGAGAAGCCCTCACCTTTACTGAAAATCACGTCCCATGCAGCCACATGGTCCTTCCAGGTCTTGGTCCTGAACAGACGGAACAGGTCTGGGGGAAGGTTGAGCATGGGGACGCTGGTGTGGAACATCTGGTAGATGGCATCAATGAATCGCTGGGCCTCGGGGTTCACTACTTCCTCCAGCATCCCCTGGCGCTCCCCAAAAATGACGTTAGTGATGGCTGCAGGGAGAGGAAGAGGCTGAGGAGCCATTTCTGACGGGGCCATCTGAGAGCCACAACTCCCAGGGACTCCTCCACCCTCACCTCCCTCAGCACAAAGGATCTCTTGCCCCTACCCTCAGCCTCCTTCAGTAAATAAATTGAGGCCTGAGTCCCAAAGGGCTAAGATGCAAGGCTGAGAAAGCTGACCTCTGGCAACCACACAGGTCCTGCAGAGGGGCATGTGGAGGACCTGAAAGGTGGGAAGCAGGGTCTCCAGCAGAGCTGAGAGAGGGCCTAGCCCAGGATGCAACTGCTCTGCCCAGGCTTCCACCAAGAGAGATTCCTCATCTGTAATTGGCTGAATTGGCTAAATACTTCCTGAAACAGGTCAGAAAGGAGACTGAGGGTCATAAATCCCTGGATAATTAACCATCCAGGACCTAGTCTTGCTGGACCTAAGAAGTTACAACAGCCTCAAGTTTTCCCCACCTACCAGGTGAGTAATTTGAATACTGATTTCATACAAAGCTCTGGGCACCCCAAATCTCTTGCTGTGACCACACAATCTTCATCAAGCCACAGGGCCTTTGTATGTGTGGTTCCCTCTACCTATACTGCCTGACTTCCTTACCCCATCTAGATAACTCCTACAGATTCCTCAATGCCTACCTCAGATTAACCACTGAACTCTCCTCTACCCTACCAGACTCCAAAGGTCTATGGCCCAGGAGGTGGAGACTTGCAGAATGAAGGTCCAAGCCAAGCTCTGGCTTTGGCGGATGGTGGCAATAGGGACCTGTACTTTGGGGACCCTTGCTCCTACAGCACAAATGCCAGATGAGAGAGAATGCCAGATGAGAGAACCCCAGAGCAAGGGGTCTCACTCTGTTGCCCAGGGTGGTCTTAAATTGCCTCTGAGTAGCAGGCAGTGGAGGACATGATCAGCGGCTCATCCCAGAAGTCAGTCTCAATGCCTCTGCAGGGTCTGTACTGAACCTCAAGGTAAGAGAGTGAACACTGAGTCCTCCCACCCCCATGCCCACTGCCAGCCAGGTGCAAGCCCCCTTACACTCAAAGGCAAAGCGGAACAGGTCATCACTGATGTCCCCCGAGTAATTTCCGGAGCCCGCCTTCTTGATGCGCCTGTGCAGGACACTGACGAAGTCCCGAGACACTGCATCCAACAGGGGCAAAAAGTTCTTGGTGGCCTCTGGAGCCATCACCTCCTGGTTCAGGGCCACCCGGTCTTTCTTCCAGGCTGCCGACTTCCTGAGAAAACATGGGCCCACAAGCCCTCATGGTCACAGACCCCAGGCCTGGTGAACACAGAGGGGGCTGACTCAGTTTTCCCAGGAAGCTGAGTCACAGCTCACAGCATCCAGCACTCCCACCAGGGCCTCTGCCCTCACCTCTCCGAGCACCCTCTGCCTCTCACCTCCTCCCTGCTCTGCCTGGCTGGGAGAAGAGAAAGGAAAAAAGAGAGTGAAGGGGAACAAAACTCCAACTCCCCTCCACTCCCTCTGCTGAGGGCCAGGAACTGATATTCTTAGAACCCTTTGTGTAACTTTCAGTCTCTCCAGTCTTTGCCTCAGCTGCAGGCATGCCTTCCATGCCACTCCCACTTCCTCCTGGCCGATGCTCACCTTTGACACTCCAGGGCCCCTCTATATAACATTTTCTGACTCTTGCACAAACAAAATTGACCAGCCTCTCCTCCTCTGCACCCCCAACACGTCCCATTACTCACTTCTGTCGGGGGACCTCAGGTGCCCCGAACTGGGTTGGTCATAATAAACCTTAATTCATGCACACTCTTGAAATTCATCAATCCATGCAAAGTCCTCTTCGTGACTTGGGGGTGTTTTTGTTGATAAGAATATTATCACAAACTTACCACCCACCATAGAAACTAGGAACTTGACAGTAACTTACACTTGCCCTCCTGGTCCTTCCACATCCTTTGTTCCCTTCTAAGGAGACCACCCACTAGAATCCCTTGCTCTCATTTGTGTCTAATTTTATCTGATCTCCATTTATTCCCAAAAGGTACTATTACAAAATATATACTAGTGTTTAACTTCTTTTAAAAAGCTGTCGGTCAGACACAGTGGCTCACGCCTGTAATCCCAGCATTTTGGGAGACCGAGGCAGGTGGATCACCTGAGGTCAGGAGTTCGAGACCAGCCTGGCCAACATGGTGAAACCCCGTCTCTACTGAAAATACAAAAATTAGCTGGGCATGGTGGCGGGCATCTATAATCCCAGCTACGCCGGAGCTTGAGGCAATAGAATCACTTGAACCCGGGAGGCGGAGGTTGGAGTGAGCCAAGATCGTGCCATTGCACTCCAGCCTGGGTGACAGAGCAAGACTCTGCCTCAAAAAAAAAAAAAAAAAAAAAGAAAGAAAGAAAGAAAAGCTGTCATGCTTTGCCAGACTTGCTTTTTTCACTTAGTTGCACCGTTCCAAGTATCATCTGTATTGCTGTGGGAGACTGAGTCCCTTCATTTTGACTGGTGTGTACCACAATTCACTCACTTATAATCCTATTGGGCATTTCAGTAGCTTTCTGGTTTTTAATATCATGAACGGTACCACTGCAAACCTTCTACTACACATCCCCCAAAGCAGGGATACTCTTTGGAGTATATACCTGAAATCAAACTGCTATGTCACAGGTATGCAAATATTCCATTTTAGGAGAAAATGTCCAACCATTTTCCAAAGTAGTGGCTCCAGTTTACACTCCCACCAGTAACAGATGAGAGCCCCAGTTGCTCTGTAGCCTTACCCACACTTGATATGGTTACGTTTTACCTTTTCTTTTCTTTTTTTTTTTTTTTTTTGAGACAGGATCCAGCTCTGTCACCCAGCCTGGAGTGCAGTGGTGCCATCTCTCGTCACAGCAACCTCTGCTTCCTAGGCTCAAGTAGTTCTCTGGCCTCAGCCTGCCAAGTAGCTGAGAACACAGGCATGTGCCACCACATCGGCTAATTTTTTATTTTTTATTTTTTGTAGAGATGGGGTCTCACTGTGTTGCCCAGGGTGGTCTTGAACTCCTGAGCTCAAGCAATCTGTCCGCCTTGGCCTCCCAAAGTGCTGGGATTACAGGCATGAGCCAATGCGCCCTGACCCTCATTTTACATTTTTGATGGGGTGGGTATGGTGGCTCATGCCTATAATCCTAGCACTTTGGAAGGCTGAAGCGGGAAGATTGCTTGAGCCCAGGGGTTTGAGACCAGCCTGGGCAACATGGCAAAATCTCATCTATACTAAAAATGTAAAAATTGGCTGGGTGTGGTGACACGCACCTGTAATCCCAGCTACTTGGGAGGCTGAGGTGGGAGGATCACCTGTGCCGGGGGGCAGAGGCTGCTGTGAGCCATGATCAAACCACTGCACTCCAGCCTGGATGACACAATGAGATCCCATCTCAAAATAAAAAAAAATTTATGAACAATTTCGTAGAAAACAGTATCCACTACACTTAAATACACTGATCTGTCCCCATGTAGGACAAATGTCTCACTGCCCCTTTAGCCTGTATGGGACTCACGGTGGCAGGTCCCTGCTCTATTTGTCACTGTATCTCCAGTTCCTGGCACAAGTCCTGATTCATCAAGGATGCTCAGTAAGGTGGGACTCAGTGAGCAAACCAGTCAGTGAGAACTTTGCCAGATCTTTAATTATTCATTAGGATCTTCAGCATGGCCATTTCCCTGAAGGCTGGCAGAGCAATTCATCATCATCATCATCATCATCACCATCATTTGTTTTAGGGAGGCAGGAAAATGACGGGGATTCACCTAGAGGCCCTGCTAGGAGGCACAGGGCAAGCCTGGCCTCAGCCCCTCACCCCCAGCCTCTGCCCTCTCCACAGCTCCCCACCACCTCCCTCCAGTCCCTGGGAGATGGCCCAGGACTCACTTCAACAGGACTCCTATGGGTCTCTGGTAATACTGGTGATAGGCGACCCAGGGCGGGATGAGGAATCGTTCTGGGTTGGGGCCCTCGGACTTAAAGAGAAGGGCCACATCTTCAGGGTCGATGACATAAACCGACTCCACGTTGCCGAGCTTCTCCCTGGAGGGGTGGGGGAGAGGGGCTGATGGAAGGATCCGAGGAGAGCTATGGATACAGGCTCAGCACAGCTGCCTCACAGTTCCACAACTTGCTGACTGTGGGACCTGAGTCGAGGCCCTTAACCCCTCTGAGTCTCAGTTTCCTCTTCTGTAAAATGGAGACAAATACAGTACCTGTCTCGCAGCGCTGCTGAAGGACAAGACAATAGGAAGTATATGGATGTGACCTTTGTTAAACATTCTACAAGTGAGAGCTTTATGATCACTGTTGCTGCTGTCCCACAGCACATCCCCAGGGCCAGCCCAAAGCCACCCCCGAGCCTTCCATGGACCAGCAAGTCCTCCACTCCTTGCGCATTCTTCCTGTGTCCACACCTACAGCAGCCCCAGCTTCTCACCTGTCCACAGAGCTCAGAACCATGGCACACTTTCATGTCACTGCTAGAGTGACTCACTATAGCTTGCAAGGTAGGCCATATTCCAGGCCAAATCCCTGTCAGACTCTACAACTGAAATTCTGAGAGTGGCCACCCTGACCCTAAGAGTCAGAGGCCACCCAACAACACGCTTTGTCTCTATTAAAATAAAACTTCAGTAAAACATCAAGCCCCAACATACAGGCAGGGGAGACAGGCTTGCAAATCACTTTGCAGACAATCTGTATTAAATACAACTGGGTTTTTGTTGTTATTGTTGTTTTGAGACAGGGTCTCTGTTACCCAGGCTGGAGTGCAGTGGTGTGATCACGGCTCACTGCAGCCCTGACCTCCCAGGCTCAAGCGACCCTCTCACCTCAGCCCGGCCAAGTACCTGGGACTACAGGCACCACCATGCTTAATTTTTGTGTTTTTTGTAGAGATGAGGTTTTGCCATGTTGCCCAGGCTGGTCTCAAACTTCTGGGCTCAAGAGATCCTCCCACCTCAGCCTCCCAAAGTGCTGGGATGGCAGGTTTGAGCCAATGTGCCTACCCACATACAACTGTTACATATGACTGGTGTTCTTACATGAAGAGATGAGGACACGGATACACAAAGAGGAAGGACCATGTCAACACACGGGGAAAAGATAGCATCTAACTCCAAGGAGAGAGGCCTCAGAAGAAAGCAAGCAACTCAGCCAAAACCTTGATCTCTGACTTCTAGTTTCCAGAACTGCCAGAAAATTAATTCTGTTGTTTAAGCAAAAAATAAGAAATAAAAATACAACTACTAAAAAACAACAGAAAATTCCACTTCTTGCTAGCCTCTGCCTTTTATCGAAGAAAATTAAGATACACTTTTAGGCAAAATAGCATAAAAACATGGAGATACAAGCCAAGTGTGCTCATGTGTGTGCATGTTCTCTCTCTCTCTCCTCTCATAGTGCTGCTTTAACCACTGAGCCAGAAAGCCTGGGCCTACCTTGATGAGTTTCAGGCCTTCACTTGTTCTGTGGCCTCCCAGAAAATCCCCTCAGTGTTTTTCCAGCTACCATGTGTCTTTGCACTAACTAGCTCCATACCCCTAACCAAGTTCAGCCAAGCCCTTGAACTGCTATTATCATGATCAATTCCACTTCTGGGAATCTAGCCCAAGGCAATGATCTGACATCAGCAACAATGCTTGATGGATAAGGATGTCCATTGCAGCCTCATGTCTAACAGCAAAAAAGTCAAGAGTAGGTTGTATGTTCACTTTAAAGAACCCGCGAAAAAAAAAATCCATACTGTGAACTACTATGCTGCCTTTTAAAATTATATTAGAGGCCAGGCACAGTGGCTCACACCTGTAATCCCAGTACTTTGGGAGGCTGAGGAGGGAGAGGGAGGATCACTTGCGCCCAGGAATTCAAGGCTACAGTGAGCCTATGATGGCACCACTGCACTCCACCCTGGGAGACAGAGCAAGACCCTGTTTCAAAAAAAGTAAATATTAATAAGATAGATCAAGAAAAAGGAAGAAGATATAAATAAACGAAACGAGATCTTTCCCCAGAAAAGTCTGAGGACCACTGAACATCACTTTCTCTTAAAATATAAAATAATTTTATATTAGAGAGAGAAAAAAGGAAAGAATTCCTTGATATATTGTTGTGAGACAACATAAGCAGCATATGTAGTATATTCACATACCTCATGATACTTAAATGTTAAATCAATTGGAATTGATTGTATCTGACTTCAATTTTTCATTTGTGTTTCTCTGTATTTTCTAAATTGCTCTGTATAAAACAAGAACAGCCTTTGTGTTAGGAAAAAAACCCACAAAAGTTGTATTTTAAATTCCTCACATTTATTCAGAAGTTTATTGTTTATTAGCTATAAGTTCAAGTATAATGACACACAGAGCTGGAAGTCAGACAATTCCAGTTCCTGCCCTGGCTTTGCTCTCATGAGTTGTGTGACATTGACAAGACCCTTCTTCTCACTGGGCCTCAGTTTCCCCATCTGTAAAGTGGGGAAATAATAACACCAACTACAGGGATATGTTGCAAGATTCAGATGGAAGTGACTCAGAAAACAGAAAGATAATTAGGGTCTGGAGGCAGGGAACATAAGGCCAATTCACACTTGAGCTGTGACAGGAAATATCCTCTCCATAGGGCGTATGCTGTAAATGACTTTGTAACTTTACTTCATCCTCTCCATTTACATAAGGCATATGGAATTAACCAATGGAATGCTCTAAGGGGTATTTAAACTCCCAAAAATTCTGTTAACGGGGCCCCTGAGCTCCTACACTCAGGCCCCTCCCACACCGTGGTGTGCATTTTCATGTTCAATACATCCCTTCATCCCTTCCGTGCTTTGTTTGTGCGTTTTGTCAAATTCTTTGTTCAAGACACCAAGAACCTGGACACCCTCCACCGGTAACATGTATTTTGGCCAGCCAGCCAGGAGGAAGAGGTAAGCCCAAAGTTTGGGATTCGTTTTTCTCCCTTTCCTTTCTGCTCCATACAGGAGCTCTCTCTTTCTCTTTTCTGTTCCAACTTGGGACCCTTGCTGGGCCCCACCTAAACACGGAGACAACTGCAGGTTTCTGGCCGTGGCCAGTGAAACTAAGGGGTTTCCACGTGGAGAAGCAGCCTGACTGCCACCGCCCGGTTCGCTTAAGGGACCTGGGTCTTTTTTATGTTTTTTTTCTCTTTTTTTGTCTCTTTCTATTTCAGTCTTTCAGCGGCTGTTTCCTAGTAGCTCCTTGGAAATTGAGGCTGGGGTCACCAGTACTGCCTGAAGGTCTACGAATGAAAGGGAATAATTGCGCTGCCCCAAAGCGGGAGGGACTTTTTTTAAAAATCTTTTTTGCCTATGGTTCCTGATCCCTACATGCGGTGCTGCTCGGAGCAAACTCATAAATGTTTCTGGGGGCTTAAACCTTACTTTCTTATGCTAAATTCTTCCCTTATAGTGCTCAACTAGCTAAGGACAAAAAAAGCCCACGCAGCATCCAGTTCACATTACAGTTCATGGCTACTCTTATAAAGTTCATAGTATGCTCCAGAGGGGAAAGCCTGCATGTGATGCCCACCTAAAGCCAGAGACGTCTGGGACCCTAAGATTGGACCCCACAGGAGGATGCTCTGTGGGTCCTGCGGACCCCAGCCACTCCAAAGAGGATGCTCTTGGCAGAGGTTCTGAGGTCTAGCCCTCCTTAGAATTTTCTCTCCGCAGTTGCAATGCTGTTTGGCCCCAACATTGTTTGGAATCTGAAGTTTACTGTTGAATTGGAAAGTGGAATAGAGTTGCATGTATCCAGGCTTTTGTGCTGCAGCTCTAAGCAGGGGGCCTGGTTAACATGTGACACCCTGCTTTGAAGTCGTGGGAGGTTTGGCCTTTAAAAATCAAACTGCCATGGAGACTGCTTTAGCCAAAATTTTGGTTCACAGCCTTCATTGGATTATCTGTTGGGGCAAAAACTGGCAAGCTTGTATTGCTATCTCATGGCTAAGGTTCCAAGCTATTGAATCTTCGTTTATGTGTGTGTATACATGTCTAGATGTGTTTATTTGTATGTACACATTGTTATATGTTGTGTCTACCAAATTGCCTTATAAGTAAAAGAGCACTCATAAATTAAGTAAATAAGTCTAAGCAATTTTCAAGTTCACGTGACTTAAAGTATAACTTTACTAAACAAGCTAGCTTTAAAATTATTGGTGGAATAAAAATAGAAATGCCTTCAGTATTATCAGTATACATTTTGTTTGAATTTTATGTTTGTCTTTGCTATCTTTTTTTTTTTTTTTTTTTTTTTGAGACAGAGTCTCACTCTGTCACCCAGGCTAGAGTGCAGTGGTGTGATCTCGGCTCACTGCAACCTCCGCCTTCTGGGTTCAAACAATTCTCCTGCCTCAGCCTCCTAAGAAGCTGGGACCACAGGCACACGCCACCACGCCCAGCTAATTTTTAAATTTTTTAATAGAGACAAGGTTTCACCATATTGGCCAGGCTGGTCTTGAACTCTTGACCTTGTGATCTGCCTGCCTCAGCCTCCCAAAGCACTGGGATTACAGGCATGAGCCACCACTAGATATTCTTAAATGTCAGTGAATTCAACCTGGGAGCTGCTTGGGGCGAGCCTGCCTCCCCTTCTATTCAAAGTCTCACTGAGATAAATGCATATCTGATTGGTTCCTTTGGAAAGGCTAATCAGAAACTCAAAAGAATGTAAACATCTGTCTCCCACCTGTGATCTGAAAGCCTCCAAGCCCACTCCTTGCCTTGAGTTGTCCCACCTTTCAGGACCAAACCAATGTTCATTTTACATATGTTAATTAGTGTCTCATGTCTCCCTTGTTAAAAGTAAAAATTGAGTACAGCAAATGGGATAAATGCTTTAGGTAAACTTTTTGTGTAAATTAAAACCTTAAAGTTATTTTTGGCACTCATTTAATATCTGGGTCATTTCCAAGTAAGAAAGGGTTGTGATATGGGGAAATATGTTTCTAAAATTGTGGAATTGTTCTTATCTATAAATGCCCATATCTGATATTTCAGGATTTCTTGCTTTTTAGGGTTTCACTAAAATTTTACATTACAAAGGATAAGGTTTCTAGTTAACACGTAATTCTGTATACAAAAAGTGCCTGAAAGGGTTATTACTAAAAAAAGGAAAGAATAATTTTGTCTAATTCAGAAGTTATCTAAAAGTTAGTTCAAGTTACAGTTTTGAAAAGGTTATTTATGAAACAATGTAGTAAGGAACCATTAAGTAGGGGAGAAAGATGAGGTACAGTTTAAATAATAAAATATTCTTTAAAACCTGATAAAGAATTGGAAACATTTGGCTAATTAACATTTTTATAGTTAAAGCTCTTAGTCTTGATTAAAGTAAGAAGTATTGTAAAAATGCATTGGCAGTTTGGCAACTCTTTTTTTTAATATAGTTAAGCATGAAGCTGGATTTAGTGTGGAACCAAATTCCACATACATGCTTACATTGCTTCATACTATGTTTACTGTTTTGCATGGATAGTGCTGGAGTACTTATTGGTCATACGCCTAAAGTGAATTTGTTAATTGCACAGGATGTATGATAATATTAGTGAACTTAAGGATACTGAATTGTGTATCAGGAATAAAATATTCATTATGTGGGTTTTTGGGGGCCCTATGTAACACTGTAGCCTCCAGGGTAAATTGAATAAGAAAATTTAGGGTTGGTTTCCTGCTTATTTGTTTTTGCTTCTAGTTTTCATTTGTTTGCCATTTGTTCTCCTCTGACTTTGCTTGTGTATGCATGTATATAAAAACCATGATTTTTCTTAGTTCCTAGTGGAAGGTTTTCATTTAGTTCTGTGTTCCTGTGCATTTCTAGCAAGTCATCATTCATTCCATTTTTCTGGAATTCCCAAGCTACCTTTGTTGGGCCTGCAGGAATTAATGGAGCATACTAGCTTTTTTATCCTTAAACTAACTTTTTGGATTTTAGGCTTCCTGATACTTTAAGTGTGTTGAGTATACTCTCACAAATAGAATTTTAGTCATATTTCTCTCACTCTGCCTAGTTTCTCCAAAATTTGTAAACTATTTATGAATATTCTTAATTCATTGCAATGTGTTTGTTTGCATACAGTCAAGCAGGGTCCCTGGGGCCACTCAGGGAGAGAATGTCAGGCCTCTGAGCCCAAGCTAAGCCGTCATATCCCCTGTGACCTGCACGTATACATCCAGATGGCCTGAAATAACTGAAGAATCACAAAGAAGTGAAAATGGCCTGTTCCTGCCTTAACTGATAACATTACCTTGTGAAATTCCTTCTCCTGGCTCTTCTGGCTCAAAAGCTCCCCCACTGAGCACCTTGTGACCCCCACCCCTGCCAGCCAAAAAACAACCCCCTTTGACTGTAATTTTCCATTACCTACCCAAATCCTATAAAACAGCCCCACCCCTATCTCCTTTTGCTGACTCTTTTCGGATTCAGCCTGCCTGCACCCAGGTGATTAAAAAGCTTTATTGCTCACACAAAGCCTGTTTGGTGGTCTCTTCACAGGGACACGCATGAAATTTGGTGCCATGACTCGGATCAGGGGACCTCCCTTGGGAGATCAATCCCCTGTCCTCCTGCTCTTTGCTCAGTGAGAAAGATCCACCTATGACCTCAGGTCCTCAGACCAACCAGCCCAAGGAACATCCCACCAATTTTAAACCCGGTAAGCAGCCTCTTTTTACTCTCTTCTCCAACCTCTCTCACTATCTCTCAACCTCTTTCTCCTTTCAATCTTGGCGCCATCTTTCAATCTCTCCCTTCCCTTAATTTCAGTTCCTTTCCTTTTCTGGCAGAGACAGAGGAGACGTGTTTTATCCGTGAACCCAAAACTCCAGCGCTGGTCACAGACTCGGGAAGACAGTCTTCCCTTGGTGTTTAATCACTGCGGGGATGCCTGCTTGATTATTCACCCACATTTCAGAGGTGTTTGATCACCACGGGGACACCTGCCTTGATCCTTCACCCTTAGTGGCAAGCACCACTAATTTGGGGGGCAAGCACCTCCCTTCTCTCCGTGTCTCTACCCTCCCTTTTCTCTCCACTTTCCTGGGGGGCAGGCATCCCCCACACCTTCTCTCCATGTCTCTATCCTCTCTTTTCTCTGGGCTTACCTCCTTCACTATGGGCAAACTTCCACCCCTCCATTCCTCCCTCTTCTCCCTTAGCCTGTGTTCTCAAGAATTTAAAACCTCTTCAACTCACACGTGACCTAAAACCTAAACATCTTATTTTCTTCTGCAATGCCACTTAACCCCAATACAAACTCAACAATGGTTCCAAATAGCCAGAAAACGGCACTTTCGATTTCTCCATCCTACAAGATCTAGATAATTCTTGTCATAAAATGGGCAAATGGTCTGAGGTACCTGACACCCAGGCATTCTTTGTTCCCTCCCTAGTCTATTTCCAATGCAATTGGTCCCAAATCTTCTTTTCCCTCCCACCTGTCCCTTCAGTCCCAACCCCAAGTGTTGTTGAGTCTTTCCAATCTTCCTTTTCTACCGACCCATCTGACCTCTCCCCTCATCCCCAGACTGCTCCTCAGGTCACTCCCCAGCCAGGCTGAATCAGGCTCCAATTCTTCCTCAGTTTCTGCTCCTCCACCCTATAATCCTTCTATCACCCCCTCTCCCCAAACCCAGTCCAGCTTACAGTTTCGTTCTGCAACTAGCCCTCCCCCATCTGCCCAGTAATTTCCTCTTAAAAAGGTGGCTGGAGCTAAAGGCATAGTCAAGGTTAATGCTCCTTTTTCTTTATCCGAACTCTCCCAAATCAGTTAGTGTTTAGGCTCTTTTTCCTCAAATATAAAAACCCAGCCCAGTTCATGGCTCATTTGGCAGCAACCCTGAGACGCTTTACAGCCCTAGACCCTGAAGGGTCAGAAGGCTGTCTTATTCTCAATATGCATTTTATCACCCAGTCAGCCCCTGACATTAGAAAAAAGCTTCAAAAATTAGAATCCGGCCCTCAAACCTCGCAATGGGAATTAATCAACCTTGCCTTCAAGGTGTACAATAATAGAAAGGAGGCAGCCAGACAGCAACACATTTCTGAGTTACAATTACTTGCCTCTGCTGTGAGACAAAACCCAGCCGCATCTCCAGCATACAAGAACTTCAAAACGCCTGAACTGCAGCGGCCAGGCATTCCTCCAGGACCACCTGCCCCAGGATCTTGCTTCAAGTGCTGGAAATCTGGCCACTGGGCCAAGTATTGCCTGCAGCCTGGGATTCCTCCTAAGCCATGTCCCATCTGTGCAGGACCCCACTGGAAACTGGACTGTCCAACTCACCCAGCAGCCACTCCCAGAGCCCCTGGAACTCTGGCCCAAGGCTATCTGACTGACTCCTTCCCAGATCTTCTCCGCTTAGCGGCTGAAGACTGATGCTGCCCAATCGCCTCAGAAGCTTCCTGGATCATCACAGATGCTTTAGGTAACTCTTACAGTGGAGGGTAAGTCCGTCCCCTTCTTAATCAATATGGAGGCTACCAACTCCACATTACCTTCTTTTCAAGGGCCTATTTCCTTTGCCTCCACAACTATTGTGGGTATTGACAGCCAGGCTTCTAAACCTCTTAAAACTTCCCAACTCTGGTGCCAACTTGGACAATATTCTTTTATGCACTCCTTTTTAGTTATCCCCACCTGCCCAGTTCCCTTATTAGGTCAAGACATTTTAACTAAATTATCTGCTTCCCTGACTATTCCTGGGCTACAGCCACACCTTATTGCCACCCTTTTCCCCAGTTTAAAGCCTCCTTCACATCCTCCCCTTGTATCTCCCCACCTTAATCCACACATATGGGACATGTCTACTCCCTCCTTGGTGACTGATCATGCACCCCTTACCATCCCATTAAAACCTAATCACCCTTACCCTGTTCAATGCTAATATCCTATCCCACAGCATGCTTTAAAAAGATTAAAGCCTGTTATCACTTGCCTGTTACAGCATGGCCTTTTAAAGCCTATAATCTCTCCTTATAATTCCCCCATTTTACCTGTTCAAAAACCAGACAGGTCTTACAGGTTAGTGCAGGATCTGTGCCTTATCAACCAAATTGTTTTGCCTATCCACCCCATGGTGCCAAACTCATATATGCTCCTATCCTCCATACCTCCCTCCACAACCCATTATTCTGTTCTGGATCTCAAACATGCTTTCTCTACTATTCCTTTGCACCCTTCATCCCAGCCTCTCTTCACTTTCACTTGGACTGACCCTGACACCCATCAGGCTCAGCAAATTACCTGGGCTGTACTGCTGCAAGTCTTCACGGACAGGCCCCATTACTTCAGTGAACCCCAATTTCTTCCTCATCCATTACCTATCTCAACATAATTCTTCATGAAAACACACATGCTCTCCCTGCTGATCACGTCCAGCTAATCTCACAAACCCTAACCCCTTCTACAAAGCAACAATGCCTTTCCTTCCTAGGCATGGTTAGATACTCCACCTTTGGATACCTAGTTTTACCATCCTGACTAAACCATTATATAAACTTAAAAATGCAAACTTAGCTGATCCCATAGATCCTAAATTCTTTCGCCACTCCTCTTTCTGTTCCTTAAAAACAGCCCTAGAAGCTGCTCCCACACTAGCTCTCTCTAACTCATCCAACCCTTTTTCATTACACACAGCTGAAGTGCAGGGCTGTGCGGTCAGAATTCTTACACAAGAGCCAGGACCGCGCCCGGCAGCCTTTCTATCCAAACAACTTGACCTTACTGTTTTAGCCTAGCCCTCATGTCTGTGTACGGCAGCTGTCGCTGCTTTAATACTTTTAGAGGCCCTCAAAATCACAAACTGTGCTCAACTCACTCTCTCCAGTTCTCATAACTTCCAAAATCTATTTTCTTCCTCACACCTGATGCATATACTTTCTGCCCCGCTCCACTACCTCTCAGCAAGCTGAACTCATTGCCTTAACTGGAGCCCTAACCCTTGCAAATGAATTACACGTCAATATTTATACTGACTCTAAAGATGCCTTCCATATCCTGCACCACCATGCTGTTGTATGGGCTGAAAGAGGTCTCCTCACTACACAAGGGTCCTCCATCTTAATGCCTCTTTAATAAAAACTCTTCTCAAGGCCGCTTTACTTCCAAAGGAAGCTGGAGTCATTCACTGCAAGGGCCATCAAAAGGCATCAGATCCCATTGCTCTGGGCAATGCTTATGCTGATAAGGTAGCTAAAAAGCAGCTAGCATTCCAACTTCTATCCCTCACAGCCAGTTTTTCTCCTTCTCATCGGTCACTCCCACCTACTCCCCTACTAAAACTTCCACCTATCAATCTCTTCCCACACAAGGCAAATGGTTCTTAGACCAAGGAAAATATCTCCTTCCAGCCTCACAGGCCCATTCTATTCTGTCGTCATTTCATAACCTCTTCCATGTAGGTTACAAGCCACTAGCCCACCTCTTAGAACCTCTCATTTCCTTTCCATCATGGAAATCTATCCACAAGGAAATCACTTCTCAGGGTTCCATCTGCTAGTCTACTACTCCTCAGGACCCTCCCTTCCCTACACATCAAGCTCAGGGATTTGCCTCTGCCCAGGACTGGCAAATTGACTTTACTCACATGCCCCAAGTCAGGAAACTAAAATACCTCTTGGTCTAGGTAGACACGTTCACCGGTTGGGTAGAGACCTTTCCCGTAGGGTCTGAAAAGGCCACCACGATCATTTCTTCCCTTCTGTCAGACATAATTCCTCGGTTTGGCCTTCCTACCTCTATACAGTCTGATAACAGACCAGCCTTTATTAGTCAAATCACTCAAGCAGTTTCTCAGGCTCTTGGTATTCAGTGAAACCTTCATACCCCTTACCGTCTTCAATCTTCAGGAAAGGTAAAACGGACTAATGGTCTTTTAAAAACACACCTCACCAAACTCAGCCTCCAACTTAAAAAAAGGACTCTGTCAAGAATAGAGCCCAAAAACTCACCAACCAAACAAGTAATTACACTGAATCCCCTTGGGCACTCTCTAATCGGATGTCCTGGGTCCTCCCAATTCTTAGTCCTTTAATACCTGTTTTTCTCCTTCTCTTATTCAGACCTTGTGTCTTCCATTTAGTTTTTCAGTTCATACAAAATTGCATCCAGGCCATCACCAATCATTCTACATGACAAATGCTCCTTTTAACAACCCCACAATATCACCCCTTACCACAAAATCTTCCTTTGGCTTAATCTCTCCCACTCTAGGTTCCCACACTGCCCTTAATCCTGCTTGAAGCAGCCCTGAGAAACATTGCCCATTATCTCTCCATACCACCCCCAAAATTTTTGCTGCCCCAACACTTCAACACTATTTTATGTTATTTTTCTTACTAATATAAGAAGACAGGAATATCAGGCCTCTGAGCCCAAGCTAAGCCATCATGTCCCCTGTGACCTGCACGTATGCACCCAGATGGCCTGAAGTAACTGAAGGATCACAAAAGAAGTGAAAACGGCCTGTTCCTGCCTTAACTGATGACATTACCTTGTGAAATTCCTTCTCCTGGCTCATCCTGGCTCAAAAGCTCCCCCACTGAGCACCTTGTGTCCCCTGCCCGTGCCTGCCAAAGAACAACCCCTTTGACTGTAATTTTCCATGACCTACCCAAATCCTATAAAACGGCCCCACCCCTATCTCCCTTCGCTGACTCTCTTTACGGACTTAGCCCACCTGCACCCAGGTGATTAAAAAGCTTTATTGCTCACACAAAGCCTGTTCAGTGGTCTCTTCACAGGGACACGCGTGAAAGAGAGAACCCTGAAATCTGGCATGCCGGTGAAAGGATAAGAATTTCTTATGAGTCAGTCTCTGGGCTCTTTCCCTCTATGCAAACTGGTTAAATATAAAGTAGAAGTCACGTATATCTCCTCTGTAAGATTTTAAATTAATTGGTTTAATAATAATAAAAGCTTAAGTCAAATATTTTGTCAGAAAAGTAGAAAGTGTAATGCCTTTTAGTTCATGTGACTTTAGCAATAGTTGGGAAATAAAGACAGTTTTCAAGATTATTGGAAAAATACAGTTGTCTTCAAAATGTAAACATGTGGTGTACATTATGTTCAAATACTAGGTTTGCTAAATCCTTTAACATCATAAGCTACTCCTTTGGCTTTTGAAAATTGTTTAACTTGCCTGCTTTCCAGCTAGGTAAGGCCTGGGGACACGTGGAGTTAGCCATGCCCCTAGCTGTGCTGGAAGTAGTCAAACCTTATCAGAAACTTTATCAGAACTTACCAGTTTTTTTTGTTTTTGTTTTTGTTTTGACAGAGTCTCACTCTGTCCCCCAGGCTGGAGTGCAGTGGCGCAATCTCGGCTCACCCACAATCTCCATCTCCCAGATTCAAGCAATTCTCTGCCCTAGCCTCCTGAGTAGCTGGAATTACAGACGCCCGCCACCACACCTGGCTAATTTTTTATTATTATTTTTAGTAGAGATGGGGTTTTACCATCTTGGCTAGGCTGGTCTTGAACTCCTGACCTCATGATCCACCCGCCTCGGCCTCCCAAAGTGCTGGGATTACAGGAGTGAGCCACCGCGCCTGGCCTAACTTACCAGGTTTTATGTTAAAATTCGCCATTATAGGCCAGTCACAGTGCCTCGCACCTGTAATCCCAGCATTTGGGGAGGCCGAGGCAGGTGGATCACCTAAGGTCAGGAGTTCAAGACCAGCCTGACCAACATGGTGAAACCCCCATCTCTAGTAAAAATACAAAATTAGCTGGGCAAGGTGGTGCCTGCCTGTAATCCCAGCTACTGGGGAGGCTGAGGCAGGAGAATCATTTGAACTCAGGAGGCAGAGGTTGAAGTGAGCCGAGATCATGCCATTGCACTCCAGCCTGGGCAACAAGAGTGAAACTCTGTCTCAAAAAAAACAAATTTGCCATTATAACATGCAATTAAGACTACTAGAAACAGTTTTACATGCAAGGTGTATAAGAACAGTAGAAAGTGTTGGGGGTTTTTTTGTGTGTGTGGAAGGTTACAAAAGGTTTTTGCTTCTTTAAAATTTCTGAGTCATCATTTTGGCAAAATAAATAGTTTACGGTAATCTGGAATTCCAAAATCAAACTTCAGTTTCAAAATTGTCTTTCCTAATGCCTGGCTTTCTAGATGAATCAGAGGGCCCCTGAAAACATCCAGAAAAGAGGTAAACAGGATTATTTGACATGTTTAGGTACATGGGATTGACAAAATGATGTTAAATCTTCTTTAGGTTATATTTTTGTGAATAATATATTCCAAAATTGTATGGGATTTCTCAAATTCTAATGTCTAAGTATATGTTACCAATCACAATTATAATTATGTTAAGTTATTGTAAACCACAAAAATGACCAAATTTTCTTGTATAAAGCTACTAACCCACGTAAAACAACAACAACAAAAAATTAATTACATATCAAGAAAAGACTTTCATGTTAAACCAGCTAATACTGAAATTGTTTAAAATAGTTTATAACCTGTCGCTTTGCAGATGCCGTCACTGCCACCAGGAGCCCTGTACTATCAGCCATGGTCAACCCCACCGTGTTCTTTGACATCGCAGTCACGGCGAGCCCTTGGGTCACGTCTCCTTTGAGCTGTTTGCAGACAAGATTCCAAAAACAGCAGAAAACTTTCATGCTCTGAGCACTGGAGAGGAAGGATTTGGTTATAAGGGTTCCTGCTTTCACATAATTATTCCAGGATTTATGTGTCAGGGTGGTGACTTCATATGCCATAATGGCACTGGTGGCAAGTCCATCTATGGGGAGAAATTTGATGATGAGAACTTCATCCTAAGGCATACACGTCCTGGCATCTTGTCCATGGCAAATGCTGGATCCAATACAAACGGTTCCCAGTTTTTCATCTGCACTGACAAGACTGAGTGGTGGATGGCAAGCATGTGGTCTTTGGCAAGGTGAAAGAAGGCATGAATATTGTGGAGGCCACGGAGCGCTTTGGGTCCAGGAATGGCAAGACCAGGAAGAAGATCACCATTGCTGACTGTGGACAACTCTAATAAGTTTGACTTGTGTTTTATCTTAACCACCAGACCATTCCTTCTGTAGCTCAGGACAGCACCCTCCACCCCATTTGCTCGCAGTATCCTAGAATCTTTGTGCTCTCGCTGCAGTTCCCTTCCATGCCTAGCTGGACTGCAGAGTTGAGTTAAAGTTTATGATTATGAAATAAAAACTAAATAACAACAAAAAATTGTTTATAACCAATGCTTGATCCCATATTCCTAGGAAAACAATTAAAGCTTCAGGTATATTTGGTCTTCTGGTCAGCCATTTAAACATTTTATAAAGGGATTTCATTCCATTGTTATTTTCCATGCATGTTTTCTGGTTGTAGAAAAGCTTTCCCATGCAAGAGGGCTGATGTTATAACAGTAGATTATTATGCTACAGTGTATTTTCACCAGATTAAAAAAAAAAGCTTTTTATGGTTTGAATCTGCTGGAAACATCAGAGAAAGACTGTCCTTGCCATCTACACTATAACAAAACTTCAGGACCTTGAACTTTGGGTTCATAATCTCACAACTGAGAAGGGCCCCTCCATGCTCTTGGAGCTGTGCACCCACTGGAATGCTTAAGGTAAAACTAACTAGGGAAATTTCTCCCAAGAAGAAGATGACATCATTGATGTGAACAGCTTTTCCCAAGTTCACAGATTAAGACTTCTACTATCATGAAACTCTTATTTTTGAATATTTTTTCTTGCTTATGCCTTCTACGAACAATAGAAGTGGAAAAGGGGTCTGTTATGTGCACTTATGGGGAACATTTTTATTTGTGAAGGAGTTTGCAGCCAGCCTTATACATGGATAAAGGCCCAATGTATGTAAGAAACTTTAATGGTAGATGTGTTAGCTCATAATCAATCAAAAACAAAAAATTGATTCACTCCACATAACCCACATCGTGGGTTAAAGAGAACATTGCCAGAAGTCCTTCACTCTTCTGAAAGGGCATCATTTGTTAGGTCCTTTTTCCATGGTTTAAAGTAAAAGAAGCAATGATTAGAAATGTATCCCTCATGATAGGTTCCATAGCAAATTCTACTCTAAAGGCTACAGACTCTAAATTCTCTTGTGAAAGTTATAATAGAATTGGCTAAACAGCGAAGTATCTGTGCAGCTGCTGGCACTTGTGGCCTATACAGAAATACATCAAATGAAGACTATAGAAATTCAGTGGTAGGAGACTGACAAAGAAATTGATTAGTCAAGTCTCTCTCTGTTGCCCAGGCTGAAGTGCAGTGGCGTGATCTTGGCTCACTGCAACCTCCGACTCCCAGGTTCAAGCAATCCTCCTGCCTTGGCCTCCCAAGTAGCTGGGATTACAGGTGCACGTGACCACACCCAGCCAATTTTTGTATTTTAGTAGAGATGGGGTTTCACCACGTTGGCCAGGCTCATCTTGAACTCCTGACCTCAAGTGAGCCACCTCACCCAGCCGTGAGTAAACTGTATCTAGCTCATTCTTAGATCCATTTGATTTTAGGAGGTTTGGTTTATGGGGACCTTGGGTAAGGAGTATACTCCCAAATTCTTGGTATTATCCTCCTAATAGCCATAATAATGGTCTCCCTGACGAGCTGTATGCTCTCAAAGGTTTTAAATGCTTGCATGAGCCATCTCTAGAATGTCATATGGTCTCTCTTCAACTGGAATAACAGGAGCTCAAAGAAATATGCAACCATGAGGACACCATAACCTATAAATGACATGCTGAGACCAGAAACCCAAAATGATGGTAACTGAGAGTGGCACTGAGGCCCTAGGTTTTGGTCACACTCTCACCTAAGTGAAAACCTGATCAAAAAGGGAATTTTTTTCAACAAAATTCTGGGAGGCCGTTGTTTTGGACTGATCTCATGCACTAGGCCCCAACAAACCAAACAAAACCAAAATGGGGCCACTCATGCCAAGACTTTAAGGAAACACATAGATTCTAGAAAAGACTAGGTTTTGTTTTTTCTTCTGCAAATCACTACAACAAACATTTCTGACAGTATAGGTATCCACCCCCTAAAGTTTCCATTAAATCTTTTAACCAAATTCATTTCCTCTCACCTAGAGACCATCAAGCTTCAGATGATCATGTAACAAAGGTTCCAGCCAGTTCCAAGTGAAGACACCACCCCTGGACATCAAGAAGCTACCCTTCCTCCACTAGATAGAGCAGGGTGAGAGTTCCATGATCCCCAATAGGTAGGGACTATGCCCCAAGCCAGCATGAAGCAGTTACAGAAAAAAGACCATCGGTCCCTCTGCCTCCCATAAAGATTTATGGGGATCACATCTCTTGAAGGGGCAGATGAGGCAGGAAAATAGGGTCTGAAGTGTGAAGATCGATTCACACTTCAGCTATAACAGGAAATATCCTCTCCATAGGGTGTATGACTATGTAACTTGAATACTTCATCCTCTCCATTTACATAAGGTGTATCTGAAGTAACCAATGGAATCCTCTGGGGGTAAATGCCCCACAATTCTGTAACGGGACCTTTGAGCCCCTACGCTCCGCCTGCTCCCACACTGTGGTGTGTATGTTCATTTTCAATAAATCCCTTCATTCCTTCCTTACTTTGTCTGTGCATTTTGTCCAATTCTTTGTTCAAGACGCCAAGAACCTGGACACCCTCCACCGGTAACAAAGGGGCTTAATAAAATAAGGAGTTGCTACTGAGGGTCTAGGAAGTGGTGAAAAGGGAAGAGAGGAGGAAGCAAGGATAACTAGAGATCTATGTGAAGTGAGCACGGGACAGAAGCACTAATAGGCCTAGGAGAGAGGGGGAGGAAGGAGAGACCCAGCGGGGCGCAACCTCCCAAGCCCAGCACTCAACCTTGAATAGGGTGGGGTGCGGGGTGGGGGGAGCTCCCTGCCACCAACCAGCTATCAAAAGGGGCAGTTTGGACTTTAAAGGAGTTGTGAGAGAGGGAGGGAGCAGCTGAAGCCCCAACACAAACTAGCCTGCCTTCTCACCCACCCCCAGCCCAGTCATCAAGCCGGCCAACACATCTTACCCTTCCCTCTTCGTGACTGACCCATTGGAATGCTCTGAGTTGTAAAGACCTTTCACTTAAAGGAAAACGTACTGTCCCTCCTGGTCTCCCCTCCCAGCCCCCAACCACCCCTGCGCCACCTCCGTTCCCTCTCAACCGGACTCTTAGCAAAGAACCCAGGTGTGGCTGAAAGGCTGCCCACCGTGGGAACAGCTTTAGCAGTTTTCCCAGGAAAAAGCCACAAGCCCTGGAGGCACAGAGGCCCAAAGACAAAAAAAAAAAAAAAAGGCCTTTCCTCCTAGCAGGAAGCAAGCCCGATTCTTGGGAAAGGGAAGGGACAGACTCAGAGCCTCAGGGCCAAGGGGTGAGATCCAGCACCCCAGCAGGACAGGAATCTAGCTGGGTGACCTCTCTGAGCCTCAGTCTCCTCCTCTGACCATGGGGACAACAAACTTCGCTTGCAAGGTGTGCGGAGGGTAACGGATGTAGGGAGGCATTTAGTAGGGCTTGTTCTCTAACCACCTCTCTCCGAGAGTTTCAAAGGGAGTGGGATCTGGGGAAGGTTGAGGCCTCAGGCCTGGGAACTAGGAATACTTTCCCTTTTACCCACCACCATCCCAGGCCTGGAAGAAGATCAGAAGTTGGACAGGAGAGGTCCGGCCGCGCGGACGTCACCTTAGCGCGCCACTGTCGGCTCCGGTGGGCTCGGGTGAGCTCGGGTGAACGCAGCGAGCGAGGGCAGAGGCCAGCAGAGGCGAGGAGTGGATGCTGCAGGGCCGCAGGCCGGGCAGAGAAACGCATACCGGGTCGCTCCCTGCTTCGCCGCCGCCTCCTGGCAGGGCCAGCGAAGCCAGTGCTCCAGCGCCCCCGTAACACCTCAAAGCGCACGGAGTCCGTGTTGGGGAACTTGGCGGCAGAGTGACTGGGACCTAGGACCTGCGGTGGGGCCGCCGCCGCCTCCGCGGGGCCGAGCGCCTGGACCTCGCCCTGAGGTAAACGCGGGTCGACCCGGGGGGCGGATGGGCTCGGGCTGTGTCGAGGGGAGGCGGAGGTGAGCGACCCGCGAAGAGCGCAGGAGCAGGCCGGGGGCCACGCTAGGGCGGACCCAATTTCGGAATAGCGCGGCCCGGGCGGCGGCGTGCGCTGGGAGGAATGCTGGGTCTGTCGCTAGCGCCAAACTTGACCACGCTGCGACCTTTTCACTCTGTGCTCTGACCTTCAAATCTCCCTCCCCCGATTTTTTTTTTTTTTTTTTTTTTGAGACAGAGTTTCGCTTTTGTTGCCCAGGGCGGGAGTGCAGTGACATGATCTCGGCTCACTGCAACCTCCACCTCCTGGGTTCGGGCGAGTGTCCTGCCTCAGCCTCCCGAGTAGCTGGGATTATAGACCCCCGCCACCATGCCCGGCTAATTTTTTTTATTTTATTTATTTATTTATTTATTTATTTATTTATTTTTGTAGTAGAGACAGGGTTTCACCATGTTGGCCGGGTTGATCTCGAACTCCTGTCCTCAAGTGATCCGCCTGCCTCAGCCTCCCAAAGTGCTGGGATTACAAGCGTGAGCCACCGCACCCGGCCTTCTCCCAATTTTTAAAACTCGCTGGCTGGGCTGACAGCTACAGGGCCAGGAATTCAAAACTTAGCCTCACCAGTCTCCCCTCCTCAGACCGAGGAGGTTGTTTTGTTTTGTTTGAGACAGAATCTCACTCTGTCGCCCAGGCTGGATTGCAATGGTGCGATCTCGGCTCACTGCAACCTCTGCCTCTCCGGTTCAAGCCATTCTCCTGCTTCAGCCTCCCGAGTAGCTGGGATTACAGGCGCCTGCCACCACACCCAGCTAATTTTTGTATTTTTAGTAGAGACGGGGTTTCATCATGTTGGCCAGGATGGTCTCGAACTCTTGATCTCAAGTGATCCGCCCACCTCGGCCTCCCAAAGTGCTGGGATTATGGGTGTGAGCCACCATGCCTGGCCAGACCTGGGGTTTGGACCCATTAAAGAGCTTCCTTACAGATGGCTGGCGGTCTTGCCACCAATTGTTTCAAAAGTAGATGTCTGGTTTAGAGTACTTAAGACATTCACAGATTCAAATGTTGAATTTTGAAATATCCCTGATATATTTCTGTATTGTATTACCAAAAAAAAAAAAAAAAAAGAAGTTAGACAGGAGTTTGGAACCAGAGAACAGCCTGTTGGGGGAGTGGGGACTACAGCAGGGCTACCCAGGCCCCTCCTCCTCCCTGTCCCTTCGGCTCCCACCCTCTGCCAGGCTTACCTGTAAATCGGGCCATACTTCTGGAAATTCTGGACATGGTGAAGGTGGACTTTGTGTGTGCCCGTCTCCCTCCAGAAATGGTACAGGTTTAGCCAGCCATTGTCACCAGGAGAGGGGATCTCATTGAAGGGGCGAGGACTGCGGGTGGAGATGCCAGCTCCCTCGCCAGTGGGCACCCTGAGACGCCCCAGCCCCTCCCTGGGGGCACTCAGAAAGGTCTGGCAGCCTTTGACCAGGACTGAGCGTGGGGGAAGACCCTTGGCCAGCATGCTGTCCCCACAGCTGTGACTGTACCTGCTCCACTTCAGCGGGGACTGCTAGGATGACTGTAGCCCTGGGCCACCAGGGCCAAGATTATAACTACCAGCTCAAGGCCATACCAGAAGCTGATAAAATGTTCACGTCCTTCCTCCTGCTGCAGGCTCAAACCCGCAGACAGCTCCTCCCCTACTCGGTATGAAGGTTCAGTCTGGAATTTCTGCAGCGTGAGGTTCTCCAAAGGACAGGGAGACCCCTCTGTCTCTGCCCTCAGTGCCAGCCCTAGCAGACTCCTGAAATATCTGCCTGTGCTTTTGCCTGAGCTGGGGCCTCCCACTGGCCCCTGCAGCGGAGTCCATGCCCTGGCAGCCATTGGTCAAGACTGCAGACAACCTGTGTTTGGGGGAAATGAGGGGCCCAAGAGAAGGTCAGAGCTATCTTGCCAGCTTGGGCAACATACGTCTTAGTTATGGCCCCACTGTATAGACACACATCATTGAACAACAGGGATAAGTTCTGAGAAATGCATCCTTAGGCTATTTTATTTTATTTTATTTTATTTTATTTTATTTTATTTTAAGAGAGTTTCATTCTTGTTGCCCAGGCTGGAGCGCAATGGCACAGTTTCACCTTGGAACCCTAATCCTCGTCGTCTCTCCCCAGTTGACCCAGATTTGGGGCTGTAATTCAGTACAGCTGACTCAGAGGGGCTCTGGGTCCCTTGAGCTGAGGTCTGTGGTCAGGCTCCACTCTGGACACACTCTAAGACCTTGGCAAATCTGGTTGCCATGGAACTCAGGATGTCAGCTCTTCCCTGTCCACACACTTGATCTGTGCTGCTTTCCCCTCAGAGCTGCTTCCATACCCCCTCCCATCATATCATATCCCCAGACCCATCCTTCCAGCCCAGGTCAGCCCCCACACCCACCCCCCATCACCCTGCACCTACCACTTTCCCAAACAACAAGGGTCAGTCACCTGTAGAGTTTTCAAGTCATTTCAACAAAATTACAGCCCACTTGGTAAAAATGTGTAGGTCAGAAAACATACATGTGCCATGTAGAGCATTTCATGACAGCAATCTACACTATACCTTATACTTATCATTGGAAGGTACAACTTCTTGCTTTTTTTCCCCAAAATCTTATTTTCTGGCAAATAAGGCATTTAAAACACACATCTAAGAGACAGAAAATAGACTGGTGGTTGCTTAGAGCTAGGGGGATAGAGGAATTAGAGGATGGGACATAAAGTGTGTAGGGATTCTTAGGATGATGAAAATGAAAATATTCTAAAGTATATTGTGGTAATTATTGAACAACTCTCTGATACACTAAAAGCCATTGAATTGCATACTTTAAATGGGTGAATTGTATGGTGTGTGAATTATATCTCAATAGAGCTGTTACCAAACACACACACACACACACACACACGAGTGACATCCTCCTGGCCTCTTCTGTTGTATGTGTCAGCCCATAGATCACCCACAATGGCAAAAGTTGTCCTTACACAGCCACTTGACCCCAGACTCCAATACTGTTGAACCACTTTCAACAAATTTAGAGCAACAGTTTTTAGAAGAAAAAAAAAAAGTACTTATCAAGAGTGGTTGTTGCTCTTCCCGCTGGAGTGACCACTACCTCATCAGTCATGAACCTTCTGATAAAGAGAGTATGGAGAAAGCCTGTTTTGCCTCACTGATGACCTTGAGCCTGGAATGACATCAGCCAAGGAAGGCAGTGTCTCACGAGCAGCGGCAGGGTGATGAGCTTCCACAAAGAAAAGCAGTCTTCCAAGGACTAGTTTTTCCTCCAAGGGTCTCAGCACTGAGGTGACATTTATAACTTTCTGACTTAAAGTCAATCCCATTGTTCTACGCAGCCCCACATTCCTCCCTCAGAAGGAGCCCTAATCGATGTGGCATGGAAGAACTTGTGGTCCTCTTGGCAGCCACCCCAACTTCCGTTCAGGCCTCCGCACCTCCCCCAGTGTTGTGGGGCACTGACCGCCTCCCCAGAAGTGGCCCGGGCTGGAGGTTATTGCCTCATCCTCTCCAATGGCCATGGTCACATCACAGCATAGGCCAGCGATTCAGTTTGGGCCAATGAAACACAGGGAAAGGTTTGCTGTGGCTTCTGGGAGAATAGCTCCCTCACTTCTCTGAAAGAGCTTCCAGAAACACATCACTCACTCCAAACAAGGCTGAATGTATTAGCTGTTTACTGCTGCTTAACAAATTATCCCAAAATTTAGTGGCTTAAAACAATAAATGTTTA
This sequence comes from Homo sapiens, assembly GCF_000001405.40. Lineage (NCBI taxonomy): Eukaryota > Metazoa > Chordata > Mammalia > Primates > Hominidae > Homo > Homo sapiens. The sequence continues at coordinate 199,123 of NW_021160016.1, forward strand.
TTATCTCACAGCTTCCGAGGGTGCAGCACCCAGGAGCAGCTTTTCTGGGTGACTGGGTGGCTGGGTGGCTGGGTGACTGGGTGGCTGGGTGGCTGAGTGGCTCATGCTCAGGGTTTCTCACAAGCGGCTGCCATCCCTGAAGCTTGACCAGGGTGTAGGATCAGCTTCCAAGCTCAGTGGATTAAACTGGCCCTGCTTCAAAACTTTTCAGTGGCTGTTTCAGGACTATTGAGAAGATTAATGAATGATACATACATTTCAAAATATATATATTACACATATACATGTGTATATTACATAATTTTTCCCTCCCTCTCTCTGTTCTTGCCAGTGCCCAAACTGAAATTTTCACCCTCTCAAAAGTGATGGGAAGTTAGGGTCCAACCCTCACCAAGCCCCTTACGATGGGCAAGTGAATCCTCTGCTAGGTGAGGTTAGCCTAGTGCTCGGCTATGCCAAAGTCCTTCTTGGCTCTCTCAAGACAGGCCCATACTTATAGTGCTTTCTCCTCCCACTCCTGCCTCCCACATTCTGTAACTATCCTATCATTCTCAGAGTAGAGGGTGTACACATTTAGACCCATCTAAACGTTGCCTAGGACGGGGAACATGATTTTATTCATTGCAGGCAGCTTGGATGGATAAACAGAAAATCCAAATCACAGACTTAAAGAAGATAGAAGTGTATTCTCTCTCCCATAAAGGATGTCCAAGGCTGGGCAGTCCAGGGTGAGTGTGTCAGTCCCAGCAAAATGCCAGGCTCCATCTTCCTGCTTCACCACGAAGACATTTGGTTGGCATTTCTAAGGCCACCCGATGGTCCAAGCTGCTGCTGGAGCATTAACCGTGTTGCTGGCCAGAAGGCGGAAGAACTCAAGAAGACCAAAAGGGGCCCTCCCTGAAGAGCCAGCTTCATTTAAGCCCCTTCCTCAAAGTCCCACACGAGTCCAACCATATCTGATTGGTGGGAACTTAACCACATTGAGGCAGGAGAATAGGGAATTAGGGCAACCAAGGATTAAGGTAGGAACAAAAGAAGAGCAGGTGCAGCCAGTTCACATAAGCAAAAGGCACAGCAGGTACAGCCAATTCTAGGCAGGATTAGGCAACATACAGGCCACATCTTCACTTCTGTGATAACCACAGGCCAAGTCGCCACTTAAGCCTCTAATTGGTCACGGATCAATCCTTCATTGGATGTAACTGATTGGAGGCCTCTGGAGGGCACCGGGGGTGTTCATGTTCTTTAGCTTAATAAAATCTCTAATTGAAGGGGCTCCTGAGCCACTTGCTCAAGCCCACTCTTGCTCTGTGAATTGTACTTGCACATCTTCAATAAATCTGTGCCTTCATTACTCCATTCTTTCGTTGCTTTGTCTTTTGTTGCTTTGTGCGTTTTGTTCAATTCTTTAACATGCCAAGAACCTGGACAACTCAGTCAAGACCTTCCATTCAGTAACCACATGACTGTACCTAGGTACAGGGAGGTAGGTACAGGGAGGCTGGACAATGTCGTTTTGCTCTGGATGGCAATACATCCGCTAGCAGAGGTGCTGGCCAGACCATAGACATAATAATACAGTTTTGTATCATGAAACAAGCAACGGTTTTGGAGCCACATGGACTCAGGTTCAAATCCTAGTTCAACCACTGAGTGGTCGCGTGGCATAGGGCAAGACACTTGAGCTACTTGAGACTTAATTTTTTCATATTTAAAATGGAGATAATCAGACCTGCCTCTCAGAGCTGTTGCAAGATAAAAAAAAGCACTTAAAAGATTCAGAGGTTCTCAAAGTAGCCCACCTAATATCATTGCCTTAAACATCACCCTCTTGCTCAGCTTAGGGTATGGACACCATACATGAAAATTAGGTGATTCTTTCCCTGTTTGTTTTCACATGCACAGCTCAGGGTATTTCACTAAGTCAGATGGTCCCCCCGACTCCACCCTATTTCTTTCTCTGAGGGCATTTCATCTGTTTCGGTGTCACCCCACTCTAACAGTTTAAAGGGAGGAGGGAGAGGCAAGGACCTAAGATGTTTGGAGAGAAATCAGCCCTAGAGATGGGACTCAAGGTTATGGCATTTCTCAGCTTAAGTATCAGATGTGGCTGTTAAAACTATTATTAAATAGATTCCTTTTGCTGTTTGGGGTTTTTCCTGTTTGTTTGTTTGTTTGGCCTTGGGAGGGGTCATGTGGCCATATGGTAAAGAGACATTCCCAAGGAAGGAATGAAACACATTGTTCCTGCCCGGGCCAGGGCTTATGTAGTCAGGGATTATGAAGACTGAATGTTCTGTGTCCTGGAGGAAAGGGGTCCCTGCTTTGGGGACTGTTTCTTTTTATGGATCCTGGGCTATTCCTTCTGTCCAACAAGAGTGAAATGAAGGGAAATACGGGACAGAGTTGACATAGCTTTAGGGGCAGGAGTAATTGGGGTAAAGGAGGGGAGAAGACTGGACCCAGAAGTCAAAGGCCCAGAGCCCCCGGCAAAGGAGTGTTGCCAGGTTGGGAGCCTCTGCAAAGGGCATCTCTGAGGGCTGTTCCTAGGGGCCCACCCATTGCAGCCCTCCTATGAGAACTTAACTCCACATGGTGAACTGGAACCTGAGCCCTAATCTTAGCTACCCAGGGCAGCCTCTCCCTGCTCCTCTAAATCCTCATCACTCCTGTAAGTCCAGAGGAACCCCCACACCCCAACTTGAAGGGTGAATGAGTACCCAGGCACTCCCTGCCTGGGTGCACACTGTGGCTCCTTGTCCCCCTCTATACATTGCCCAGGCTGGCTTTGAACTCCTGGGCTCAAGCAATTCTCCTGGCTCGGCCTCCTGAGTAGCTGGGAATACAGGCGCGTGCCACCGCGTTCAGCTTCATTTTTATTTTTACAGCTTCACTTCACTTCCTCAGTGCAAACATGTTAAAATATTAAAAATTTGCTGTAAAGTTTTTGAAAGGATATTTATAATTTTGCTCTTGAAACCATTTGGCTAGGAGTGACTGATTTAAATTACAATTGGGAATTCTTGTGAAATGAGAAAAACCTAGCCCACACATTCTTTCAGATGTAATGAAATTTTTATGAATACTAAATTTAACAGTTAATGAGGTTGATATAATGTTACAGTTGGACACTTGATTAAGAATTTATTGATTTCCATTTTGCAGTGTTCTTATTTGAGAGCCAATCATTTTTTCTTCAGCTGTGAAATATTCACATGGGCCCTTGGGAGGCCCCCGCTGCGGGCTTCTCTAGCGGGCAGTACATAAGTAACCAGGCCAACAGCTCTTCCCTGTCCTCCCCCTGACACACCTCGCACCCCTTTACACAGGCACATAAGGAAAAACACCCATCGTGGCTGGACCATGGAGACAGAGTCCAGTTCCAGAGGAGGAAGAGGATGGGGCCAGTCAGACAAGGGCACAGAAGCCATGCCATGCCATGTCATGTAAGCAAGAAGCTTCTTACTGCAACCAGTGGCTGGGGCTGCTAAGGGCACTAAGATTCAAGACCAGTGAGCCACGGAGGTTGGCATGGGCACCTCTTCCCTCCTGGGGACAGTAGGTAGTGGGGGCAGGAGGGGAAGGGCCACCTGCCTGGTTTACATAGTCGGCCACAGAGCGGTGGCCCACACTTATTCGACGACTATAGCCTCAGTGTTCCAGGCAGGTGTGCATGGGGCCAGCGGGCTATGAGAGGCTTCCACGTGGCACAAGGACAGCACCCCACAAGGAGAACATGAAAAAGCTAACACAGTAGCACAGGCAAGTGCACAGTACCCCAGCCTCCCCTCGGAACCAGAGGGCGGAGTGGACTGAGGCCACCCTCAGCCAGGTCTGCGGCAGAAGCTGAGGCAGAGAAATGCCACTTTGTCCTTGCTCCAGTCTCTCTCTCAGCCATTCAGATACCGCTTCCTTCACTCCAGAGCCTCAGCCGGCGCCTCTCAGATCAAACCTTGTGCCACTAGGTGGAGCCAAAGCCCACAGCAACAGCGCCGGGCTCGGACACCCAGCCGCCCGCGTGCAGGAAGGAGGTGGGCTCGCGAGGCAGGGGACTGGGGGCCCCGGGCTGAGTCTGGGCCCTACCGGGGGGCCAGGAAAGGAGTGGGAGAGCCAGCCACAGCCCACAGTGGACTTATTTGGTTTACATGGTCCGTTCCGTCCGAACTCGCACTGTAGGCTAAATGGTCCCAGAGCCAACCCCGGCAGCCGCAAATCCCCGTTTGTCAGATAAGGAGGCTGAGGGCCTGAGGGGAGGATCCAGGAGAGCCAGAACAGGGCTGAAGCCAGAGCCCGCGCCCCTGTCCACAGAGCCTTCCCCTGCACCGCTTCCGGGATGTATCCCCTGCCCGTGGGGAGGGCGCACGAGAAGAAGGTGCGGCTTCCAGAAGGGAGATCCTGGGAACGAGGCCGGGAGACACGCTTGGCTCCGGAGCCTAGGACTGGCTCCGGGGCACGAGCCGCAGTCCCCTCCAGCACCTCCTGGTGGGGGCCGCAGCTGGGATGCTGGCTTCGGGCGCCGGCGGCCGGAGCAGCGGAAAGCATCCACCTACAGAGGCTGCGGTGGAGGGGGCGGGGCGGGCGCGGACCCGGAGGCGCCGCATTGGACGAGGGGGTTGCTGGGGTTCTCGGATTGGCTGGCCATGAGGGGGCGGGACCAAGGCCAGGGCTGAGAGGCGTGAGGACCTGGAGCGTGAACGCGTGGGGAAGGCGCAGAGACCTGGCGCAGGTGTTGCGGAGCCTTCTGAGACTGGCCTAAGCTGCAGAATTGATCGAGCATCTGGAGTGGCCATCGGCCGTGTTGCCCGCAGACACAGGTGTGCTGCGACAGACCAAGCTCCAGGGTCCCTCAGGTAGCCAGGTGTGCGGCACAGCTTTGTCCCTCCCAGAACTCAGTTTCCCCAGCAGGGGGCCCGGGGACTATTCCAATCCAGTACTCTGGCCTGCCCCTCCCCTCGCTCTCACTGACCTCCCAGCAGCCAGACCAGGTAGGTATCCAGGCTCCTTCCTATCCTGCCCCCTGCCCCGCTCCATCCTCATCTTTCCCTTAAAGAAACCTCTCTCCAAGGTCCACGGTTACATCACATACAGCTTTGCACACCCAGTGCCCAGCACAGAACCCCCACCCTCTGTGGTTGTCCTTTCGCTTCTCGCAAGGTCCATGGGAGCAGGGGACCAGGCTGGGACAACATGTGGCCCCACCTGGTTGCTATAAAAGCTCAGGTAAGGAAGTTTACAGAAATATGTTGGGGTTACTGCACCTGTAAAAAGTGAAAATGGCCAATTATCATCAATGTCAAGAAGAAAAATTGCCCTTGTTGCCCTTTCACTGTAGTAAAGTGCTGCTTCCAACAAACCAGCACACAAATGCCAACCACAGGTGCATTCCGCTTGGGAGGATGGGGGAGAAACTAGTTGTTTGACTCTGTACAAGAACCAATCACCAGGTTTCCTTAAATGGCACACTTTCTTTGAAATCTGAAGCAAGAAATTACCTCTCCGGACACAACCAAGTTCATCTCGTGTCCTCTCAGGACATACAGCCGGGCTCCACTAGAGGGCAGCAGAAAGATGGAGATGCTCGAGAGAAAAGGAGACTTAAGTTAGTTCTCACCATCCGTGGAGGGTGTGAGGAACCCAATAAAAACCGTACTGGTATTAGTTCCTATTTGTTGACTGGTTACTCTAGGCCAGCCATCCCTCTGACTGATCTGTTAAAAAAAAAAATTAAGTAATTTGGGCCGGACGTGGTGGCTCATGCCTGTAATCCCAACACTTTGGGAGGCCGAGGTGGGTGGATCACCTGAGGTCAGCAGTTCAAGACTAGCCTGGCCAACATGGTGAAACCCTGACTCTATTAAAAATACAAAATTAGCCGGCCATAGTGGTGCATGCCTGTAACCCCAGCTACTTGGGAGACTGAGGCAGGAGAATCGCTTGAACCCAGGAGGGTGGCAGTGATCCGAGATCGCACCACTACACTCCAGCTTGGGCAACAAGAGTGAAACTTGGTCTCAAAAAAAAATTAATTTGATCCTGCCATTAACCCTATCAAGGTGGATACAATTGTGTTAACCCCATTCTACAGCTGAGGAAAAAAACAAGTTGAATAACTTGCCTAAGGTCACACAGCCAATAAGAAGCAAATCTGGGATATGAACCCTGAAGTAGAGCTATAAATCTGACATTCATAAACCTATGCAATTTTGCTTCCGTTGAAGAGGGAGGGAAGGATGGCGAGCAGAGGTGGCAGCTGAGGCCCCCACAGATATTACCCTTGTGGGCTCTTTAAGGCCAGTTCCAGAAGCAGGCACCAGACAGGAGCATCTAGCTAATTAAGGACCTTGGGTCATCAGGCAGGTAGGGTCAGAAAATCTGAGCTCAACCTGCACATAAACCCCACACACCTTGCAGGAACCTGTCCTAGCCCACCCATCACCATGGGTGGCCCAGCTCTCCAATACCCTGGGTGCCTGCCACCATGGTGAACCCTTGTAACCACTGTGTCCCCTCTGGCTTAGATGTGTGAAATTGACCTTGACCCACTCTCTTCCTTACCTTATAGGCAGCCTTGCCTGCCTCCACCATCAGCCAGGATCGGGCCTCCTCATGTCAGTCAAGAAGATGCCAATCAGCAGCAGCAACTGCTGCCAAGAAGCTGGAGTCCAACAAGGATCAAGGGGATGCTGGTGGGATCCTTTCCAGGGCAACCTTGAGAAGAGTTTCAGGCCAGAGCCTAATCCTTTCCTGATTTTCTTCCCAATTTAACATTTACTGAGCCGCTACTGTGGGCAGGCACCTTGCTGAGTGCACAAGGGGGACTTGCTGGGTGATCTTGAGCACACTCTTTACCACCCCCACCTCAGCTCTTGGTTAGTTTCTCTTCTGTAAACTAAGGTTGCAGAGACCAGGGGTTCTTTACTCGGGACTGAAGGGTCCCCTAAAATTGGGTGTGTGTGAGAACATCTTTCTGGGGCAGGGTTTCTCAGCCTCAGCACTATTGATACTTAGGGCCAGATCATTCTTAGATAGATCCCTCCCAGAACACACCTGTGGGCTGGCATTTGCGTATTGGTTTGTTTGAAGTAGCACTCTGCTGTAGTGAAAGGGCAACAAAGGGGCAATTTTTCTTCTTGACACTGACAATAATTGACCATTTCCAGTTTTTATAGGTGTGTTGTGACCTTTAACTCCAACACATCCCTGCAAACACCCTTAGCCCAAAATCTGACCTGTGCATTGCAAAATGCCAAAACCCACTAAATGCCTCTCTGAAGCCTCCCAGCCCCACGGCCTTTCCACCCACTCCACCTGCTGTGGCCAGGCTGGGAGGGGTGCAGGAAGGTGGCACACTGCCATGTACAATTTGGAAGAGGAAGAGCCAGGAACCCCTCCAGGCCCAGCTCTCTGTGAGCCCTGCCAAGGCCACCTACACCTGCCTGACTCTCTGGGGCCCCTCAGCCCTGGCCTGGGAAAGAGGCTTCGCCCAAATCCAAGATGCAGGCCCCTGCCACAGGGCTTACCTACACCCCTGTGAGAGCCCTGGGTAGGGGTCAGAAAATGGGGCAGAGGCCAGAGCCAGCACTGGGGGCAGAAGCAGGCAGTCCCTCCTCCCATGGTTAAGCCTGCATCCTCTCTCCTCCTGCGCGGTGGCCCTTCCTCACTGAGCACCTGCCAAATCTGCCAGGTGCGAAGCCTGCTGTCAGGGCCAGAAAGTCAGAGGCAAATTCAGGGGTGAGCTGAACAGTGTTTAACAACCAGGTCTCTGGACTGGGGTGAGGGGCCCTGATTTGTAGTCTTTGCCTATTTCTGTGGTGCAAATATTCCTACCCTGGCAGATATAAAGCCAGCAGTATTTTGTCACTGAGCGTGGAGCTGGTTCACAACATCACAAAGTGTGTGCACCACCAGGTGCAATAGACACAAATTACCTTACGAGCATGAATAATGGTAACATATAGTAAAATAATTAGGAAATGATGAGTTGCTAGTGGGTATTTCCTTTTTTAACAAAATGTATTTAAGGTTATATAATTTAAGTACCGACAATGACTGTGCTTAACAACTCGTTCGCAAAATTCTGAAAATGTGGCCACCAGCACCTATGAGCCGGTACCAGCTGGCTGCAGGCCCATCACTGGGAATTGAGTGTGGTCCCTGCTCTCTGAAGGCGACAGGTCTACCCAGGGTGGGCCGGTCTGTGGGGGGACAGAGGGATGCATGGGGGCCACGGAGAACCAGAGGAGACACTCTGTGCAGGGGTTCAGGGAAGGCTTCTTGGAGGAGGCAGCATTATAGAGAACAAAGGGGAGGGTAAATATATCCCAGAAAAGGGTAAGGAGAGAGTGCCAGGCTAGAGAGGACACTGGGGAAAGACCAGGAGAAAACAAAGTGTTTGGCGTGGTCCAAAAACTAAAAATGTGTGTCTCAGTCTGGCTGATGGGATGGCTGGGTTCCAGCCCAGGTTCTGCTGCTGATGCCTCTGTCACTTGGACCAAGTCCACTCCATTCTCTAGGCTTCTCGCCTCTGTCAAATTGGGGTCCGAACCAGATGGGTTCCAGGCCCGCTGGTGATCTAGACCCCCAAGAAGTCTGCAGAGGGGCCTTGTGAACATGTATATAGCTCATGGAGGAAGTCTGGCCCACAACTGACACTTCACAACCAGATCTTCCCCTCCCTCCTCCTCTCCCCTTCACCCGGTTCCCCCAGGTGATCCTGGAAATTCTGGTTTGGCTTCAGAAAGTAACTATAATTACAGCCTTTTTTTTTTTTTTTTTTTTGAGACAGAGTTTCGTTCTTATCGCCCAGGCTGGAGTGCAGTGACTTGATCTTGGCTCACTGCAACCTCCACCTCCTGGGTTCAAGCGATTCTCCTACCTCAGCCTCCTAAGTAGCTGGGATTACAGGGGGACCTGCCGCCATGCCTGGCTAATTTTTTTGTATTTTTTAGTAGAGACGGGTTTCGCCATGTTGGCCATAATTACAGTCATTTATAGAACACTTTGCTGCCTCTCCTAATTACCAAGCTGTGCAATTCCAGTTACGCATGTAAGGAAACATCTCAGGAACCCCTCCCTGGGGCCAGCCTGTCAACCGCAGCCCCCAGGCCAGCTGGAATGGAGTGGGAGTGCCCGTGGCTGCTGCTGACGTCTCCCTCCTGGCTTCCTTTCATGCCAGACCAGGAAGGAAACCTTGGTTCAAAGGCCTGCCCTGGGGTGGGTGTGGGATGAAGAGAGACAGGGAAAGTCCCTCAAGATGATGAGCTTGCGACATGGGGGAGGGGAGAGGGACTCCTTCTGGTGATGCAGAAGGCCTCCGTCTACACAGCAGGTGAGTCTTAGAATGCCGGGGCGGGTCGTGGTTTCACAGCATGAGTTAGAGCTTGTTCCCCAGGAAAGGGGCTGTTTAAGTTTAGAAAGCAATGGTCCTTCCACTAGGTACAGGTTCCCCGGCCTCATGTCCATCACCACCACTGAAGCTCCCTTAGCAACAGCCCTCACCCTGCAGAGCAGCCATCCAGCCCTGCCTCTGATGCCTCCTGTGACTGGGATTAGTACCCCAAGCCTCTGTGACATTTGGGTACTCCATTAATGAGAAAGCTTTTCTTCCATCAAGATAAGCTTCCCTCTGTGCAATTTCTTTTTTGTTGTTGTTTGGAGATTTTGTTGTTGTTGTTGTTTTGTTTTGTTTTTTTGAAACAGAGTCTTACTCTGTTGCCCAGGCTGGAGTGCAGTGGCATGATCTCGACTAACTGCAGCCTCTGGCTCCCGGGTTCAAGAGTTTCTCCCACCTCAGCCTCCTGAGTAGCTGGGACTATAGGCACACACTACCACACCTGGCTAATTTTCGTGTTTTTAGTAGAGACAGGGTTTCGCCATGTTGGCCAGGCTGGTCTCGAACTCCTGACCTCAGGTGATCCACCCGCCTCAGCTTCCCAAAGTTCTGGGATTACAGGCATGACCTACCACATCCAGCCTCCTCTGTGCAATTTTTTTCCGTTTTCTTTTTCTTTTTCTTTTTTTTGAGATGGAGTCTTGCTCTGTCGCCCAGGCTGGAGTGCAGTGGTGCGATCTCGGCTCACTGTAACCTCCGCCTCCCAGGTTCAAGCGATTCTCTGCCTCAGCCTGCCAAGTAGCTGGGATTACAGGTGCCCGCCACCACATCCGGCTAATATTTTTTTTTTTTTTTTTTTGAGACGGAGTCTCGCTTCTTTGCCCAGGTTGGAGTGCAATGGCACAATCTTGGCTCACTGCAACCTCCGCCTCCCAGGTTCAAGCAATTCTCCTGCCTCACCTCACCAGTAGCTGGGATTACAGGTGCCCACCACCACGACCAACTAAATTTTGTATTTTTTAGTAGAGATGGGGTTTCACCCTGTTGCCCAGGCTGGTGTCAAACTCCTGACTTCAAGTGATCCACCTACCTCGGCCTCCCAAAGTGCTGGGATTACAGGCACTAGCCACCACGCCCAGCCTATATTTTTAGTAGAGACGGGGTTTCACCATGTTGGCCAGGCTGGTCTTGTACTCCTGACCTCATGATCCACCCACCTCGGCCTCCCAAAGTGCTGGGATTACAGGCACGAGCCACCACAGCCAGCCTATTTTTTTAGTAGAGACAGGGTTTCACCATGTTGGCCAGGCTGGTCTTGAACTCCTGACTTCATGATCCACCCACCTCGGCCTCCCAAAGTGCTGAGATTACAGGCATGAGTCATCACGCCCCACCTCCTCTTTTTTTTCTACCCACAGGTCCCATCTCAAGTCTCTGGGGCTACTACTCCCTCTGCCCTGGGTGTGCCAATGGATACTGTCCCCCCTACTGGTCCTCTCCTGGACAGGTGTCCAGCTCCCCTAAACCTCGCCTGGTTCCTTAGCCCCACCAGTTTCTGAGACAGCCCTGATGTGGAGGCTCCCTGGGACTTCTCACTGTACATACCACCTCCCGCCAGGTGCCCACACTCAGTCCTAGGCACAGAGCTGGCAATCCCAAGGGGCTCCACTCCTGAGCCCCAGCATCCCACCTCCCACAACTCGACCATCTGGGTGGCCCCCAGGCCCACACCCATGCCACACCCAAATCCAACCCCACCAGCTTCCTCTGCCCCTGCCCCTCACCCCAGGCCCCTTTCATCCAGTCTTCAAAGCGTCAAACTGCTGCTCCCCCTGCTCCTTCTTCCAAGTGTCTCCAAACCCCACCCCTCTCTTCCCAGACCCCGAGCCCTGCCCATCAGGCCACCATCCTCTGTCCCCTAAATTCTGAAAAGGCCCCTCCCTGCTCTCCCCGCCTAAACCCGCCCCCTCCCATGTGTCCTGAGAGCAGCATAGCGTGGAGGTTAGGGGCAGGGCTCCAGTGCATTCCATCCCCTGCTCCTCCACTCACTGACTGTGTGGCCTTAAGCAAGCTGCTCAACCTCTCTGTGCATCGTTGTCTTAATAGTATCTCTCTCCTAGAGTTGCCTGTGAATAGTCTGGTTGCCAAGGAATTCAGAGTGGCCGATAGAGGACAGAAGGGAGGGGTAAAACAAAGCAGAAAGGGGCACAGGAGCCAGGTCCTTAAGTCCTTAAGACCTTCAATGCTCAACTAAGGCCTGGGAAATTTCTCCTGAGATGAGTGGAGAGCCTTCAGGATAGTCTTAAGTCTCTGATCAATGTTGTGCCTTTGGAATGTCTTGGTGCCTATGGTGCCTATGGAATGTCTTGCTTTCTTTCCTGCAGAGACTGAGAGCCCCTCCTGTCCCAGGGGTGCTGAGAGGTCTGTCTCTGGCTCCCCCACCGCTCCCATGTCTCTGCTGGGACTGGTAAGTCATGGAGCTATGCCCGGCAGAGTTCTCTTGCCAGACTCCAGGCCTCTCTCACCACAGGAGATCAGGACTGGACTCCCAGGGGTCTGACCTGACTTCCAACCCCAGGAGGGTGGGTGGTGTCCAGCGAGGGCTTGTCTAGGTCGTCCAGCCTTCCGCTGTTGGCCTCAGGGACCATCCAGGCAGCCTGCCCAAGTTACTCTTGACCCCTCCTCTGACACAGACTCTCCACCTACCTACAAAGCTCTTTCACAAATGTGTCATTATTTTGTTTAATCCTCATAACAACTCTGGGAGTTGGGTGTTATTATCCCATTTTACAGTTGGCAAACTGGATAATGTATGATGTCTTACCTACTCGCTAGGAGCCCAGTCACAACGGTTCATGCCTGAGTGGGAGGAGGATTGGGGGTGCTCCTCCACCCACCTCAGCCAGCCAGGCCCAGCACTGAGTGAGGGGCCAAGTGGGAGGGGAGGCAGCCTGTGGCGGCGGGAGGGGGGCCCAGGGAAGTGGAGGGCAGGTGGGGGCTGCTGGCACTGGGACCTGCCAAGTAGAGAGCGAGGCCAGAAGGGGCTGGGAGGCCTTGAGGGCAGGGAGAGCAGGAACGGGAATGAAGAGGCAGGCTAGGAGCAGGCTCCAAATCTGAAACCTGGGAGGAACCTCCTTGAGTCACCCTACTCTTTGTACAGATCAGGAAATTGAGGCCCACCCAGTCAGGAAGAGAAATTCGTCTAAAACCACTCAGCCTGCCAGAGACCAAGCCAGAATCTGTGCCAGAGCGCACCCAGGCTGTTCCTGGAGAACCCAGGAACCAGCCCCACGGGGCCAATCAGCTGGCACTGGGCTGACCAGCAGGCACTGAATGAAACTTCTAGCCTCCGGGCCTCTCTGGGTGGCCAGCAGGGGGCGGTACTGCCCCAGGAGTGACAGCTCCCAGACTCCCAGCCACTGCCCTCAGGCCCATCCCAAGGTCCCAGGGCAGAACCAGGGCTGGGGACACAGAAGGCATAGGTGGGAGGCAGGGTTTCTGGGGTGGGAAGAACAGCACACAGAGCTGAGCATGGGACTCCCCGGCCCCATTCTGATGCCAGCTCCTTCTAACCTGAGCGAGGGAGGAAACAAGCCCTTCCTTTCTCCTTGCACCTCCACCAGTTGAGAGAACATTCTAGAAATGCACCCAGCTCCATCCAAAGTCTGCTCTCTCGAGAGGGGAAGGGGCTGGAGAAGAGACTGTCTCCCAGGCCACAGGTTTCCACAGAAAGTTGTCCTGCAAAGGAGGCTAGACCTAAGGAGAAACTTCTAGAGGCCTCTATACTGAGTATCCAACCTCAATTCCGGGAGTGTCCCTTTCCCAAAATAATGCTCTAGGAGAAGGTGGGGAAAGGGTGGCCAACTGCAGTGCTATGTGAAGACAGGGGCTAGATGTCCTTATTGCTGTTTCAGGACCCTCTTAGGTGCGACAAGAGAGAATTTTCTCCAGGATGGCTAAAGAAGAGCAGGGGCATGGGGGAGTGAGCAGGGCCGCAGGGGTCAAGAAGATGAGCCACTCTGGCCCCCAGGAGAGATGGCCAGGGTGCAGGGGGCTCCGTGTCACCCCCATCAGCCCTGGGACCCTTCCCAATGGCGAGGGCTTGTATTCCTAACCAAACTTCTGGATCTGGTCCCAGCGGGAACCCCTGCTATAATGAGTGCCCCCAAGGCCTCCCTTCAAAATCCCAGGAGTCCAGCTTCTCGGGGCAAAAGCCCCACAGCAGCTGGCAATACAAGATCTAGGAGGCAGGGGATCTTGAGGCCCCAGGTCAGAAAGGCCCCACGCACCTGCCTCTCCCAAGATTTAAAATACCAGGGGGCTAGGGGTTCCCATCCCCTGCTACTAGGCTTCGTGGTGGTCCTCAGCCCCAAGCCCACTGTGCCCTGTGCAGCATGGACAGATGGTCTCCAAGGGGCCCCTTTCAGCACCACTCCCCTTGGTTTCCCATCAATGCCACCATACACCAAAGTTCACACACTGTCTACTGGAAAGCCCCTGTCAGGGCCAGTTGTCCTACAATTAACTCTTCAGTTCTCCCAGGCTGATGGTTCCACCACACAGAGAGCAGACAGGGTGGGCAGGGGCTTGGGGAGTCACAGCAGGCACCCAGGGACAGAGGGGCAAGGAAAATGGAGATGGGGGCACATTCAGGGGGTGGGGACAGCATCCTGGCAGGTCCCGGGCCTGCACCACCTGGAGGAGCCGGTGACTCACGGGGCTGACAGAAGAACTGAAACCAGACAGGAGAGTGCAGGAAGGAGGAAGAAACACCCACCAGGTAACCTGTGTCCTCAGACATGTGCACTTCCAGGCCAGAGTTTCTATGAATCAGTGTCTCTAGACACAACCACCTTGATCCCTTCCGTTGCCTCATGCTGACGTCTGAGTCTGGCCCGTGGCCATCTAAACCCCCGCACTCTGGTTCAACCACCATCAGGCCCACATAGCAGCTGCTTCAGATCAAAAATCTCCTCTTCAGGGGCTTTTTCACCAAGCTGATGGTAAAGGCAGGACTCCTGGGTCCCGGTGTCCACTGCAGCCACTCTGGCTTCCCCTTAGCCCCTCTGCACCCCCTGCTCACCACCTGGCCAGTGTTTCTGCTCTTCCTTCTGCCTAGCATTCCCCTACCACCCCTGCTTTGCCTAGCAGGTACCTACTCATCCTTCAGGTTTCAACCCATGTCACCTCCTCCAGTGAGCTTTCTCTGACCTCTCACCTAAGTCAAATCCCCCATTACATGTGCTCCTGGCACCATGCACCCCTCTCTGAGCCCTTTGTAGAGTTTAGTTGTGTGGTTAGTGATGAGTGCCTGCCTCCTGTACTACAGCTGAAGCTCCAGGAGGGCAGGGACCAGGGCCTGGTCTAGTTCACCCTCCATTGTCTCTGCAGCATGTGGCAGAGTCAGTGCTAGGCACATAGAAGGCCCTCAGTAAACGTGCTGTGAATGAGTGGGTTCCCCAGCCAGCTGGATGTCCCACGGTTTCCCCCACCCCACCCCATCTGGCTCTAGCTCCTCTCTGTGACCCTTTTCATCTGCAGTCCTTGGAGCCTCCTAATGGTTGGGCTCTGTGGTGGGGACCAGGCAACCTGCCCCTGGGGCCTCAAGATCAAGGCAAGACACAAGACTCAATACCCCTCCAACAGGTTACAGGGGCAGCCTCAGTGGCACCAATTGCTCTGACCCGTGACTCAGAGGAAGCCAGTCCTCCAGAGCCCACATCCAGTCCACATCCTCCTTGATGATTTTGCATCCAGCTGCTGTTCCAATCTCAGGGCCTATGGCCCTCAGGGACTATCCAGCCTCCACCTAGAAATCAGACGACCAGAAATGGTTAGGACCCAGCCCAAGGTCACACAGCATAGCTGTCACAGAGCCGCACCAAGAATCCAGGGCGCCAACTCTAGCATAGGGTTCTCCCCATGCTATAATAAATGTAGCTATTTTTAGGAAGTGAATTAGCAAGTCAAATATGAAGTCTACTAATAATACCACATTTCTGCTTTTCAGAGTCTTCATCACCTTATTTGCTCCTGCAACATCAGGGTGGGCTGGGCACTGAAGTAGGTGGTGAGCTCATCTGAAAGGTGTGGTCCAGAGAGAGGAAGTGACTGGTCCTGAAACGCAATAAGCCCAGCCTTCCTGCCCGCCCTGCTCAGTGGTACTCCCAGAGAGGGTGCAGTGCCCCAGAAGTCCCCTTCCCAGGGCCTGGCTGGCAGCCTCCCACCTGGGCAGGCTCCTCGGGGCACTCAGACCAGCCGCTGCCTCCCTCGCCTGTTGTCCTCTTGACCCTCCCACCCCATCCCCCAAGCTGAGGTCAGCCTCCTGCCTTTCCTGGCCCCTGGCAGACCTTGCTTCTGTGCTAGCTCCAGCCCAAACCTGCATTCTCACAGCCTGTGGGCCTCAGGTGGCCTCAAGGCCTGGCATCCAGTTGTATTTTTTCCCCTGCAAATTCCTTAGCACATGCCAGGGGTAGCTCTGAGCAGGAAGGCACGGGCAGCCAGCTTTGCAGCCTGAGCTCCCCTCAACTTGGGACCTCAGTTCCCCATCAAAAGGGACAACAGCCTCATCCCAAGAGGGGCTGGAGTTAGATCCAGCCCCTAGTCCTGCAGCCCCATCTCCTACCCCTTCCCCCTCCCCCACAGAAGCTCCTCAGACATCTGGCAGCACCAGACAGGGCTGGATGGACGGAAACATGAGGTCAGATCCTCAATTGCTTCCTGAGCCCTTCCCAGAGGAGCAGGGCGCTTCCCAACTGGGAAACAGCTGAGCTGCTCCATAAAGGAAACCGGAGAGGCGGGGAGGGATGGAGACCATTGCTGGCAGAGGAAGCGACAGCGCCCCTATTTCTCAGATGGGCAACTGAGCCACAAGCCATAGGCCAGCATGCTGTGGCCACCACAAGCCCCCACCTCTTGTGAAAGTCTCTACTGAGCCCAAGGGCCTAGCATGAGCCAAGGAGGGGGTTGGGCTATGGCTAAAAGGATATCTGGGCCAGCTCCCAGGAGCCTTGACTCCCAGGACAGGGACCTGTAGGGATGGGTCCTTCACTCAGACTCATGCTGGGGAATTCTGCAGTCAGGAAGGCTTCCCGGAGAAGGGTGCTGTGGGGGGCTCAAGGGCAACAAGGAGGGAGGAAGGCATTGAGATGGGCTCAGCAGGTGCAAAGGGCAGAGCAGAGGAGGCGCTCAGAGATCCCCCTCAGGTAACCGACCTGGCCTGTCTCGCCTCCCGGCACCGGCTGGCTTGCAGAGGAAGATCTGGGCTCATTGTCCATTGTAAGCTGGGTATGTCCCAGTAGCTCAGGCTCCTGGACCCTGCTGGGCCAGCAGGGAGGGGCGTTGTAGCAGGAGGGAGACAGGCCAGGCCATCCTGATGAGGAGAGAGGAGAAGGAGGGGCCTCCCCAGGGTGGCAGGCACAAGCCTGTCCAGGGAAACCCACAGCTGCACAGGGGGCAAGTGGGTGCCTCTCCCTCTATCCATTATCTGGCAGGATGAGATGGGCACTCTCCTTGCCTAGGCCCAGACCTGGTCCCCACAGCCGGGACCCTCCCACCCGGCATTGTCCTCCCTAGGGAGCCATGCTGGTTGTGGGACTGCGGCCATGCCTGGCAGGGGATGGTGCCGATGCTGACACAGCAAGAACCAGGCCAGCCGTGAACAAAGAAACATGGGAAGGGGCCACGTCTGCAGGAGTCGTTCCTGAGGTGGCGGCCAGCACCGTGGACTGTAGGCTGAGGAGGCACAGGACGGCCTCTCCCTGAGTGTTCCAGCCAGCATGTTCCTGATCAGATACTCGGGGGCCAAAGCTGATCAAGGCCCTCGGGGCACAGCTCAGTCCAAAAATCCCCATCACCTCCCCCCAGGGCCCAACCCCCTTCACTCGTGACAGAAAAGGCCTCTGAATCACCTCTCAACCCTGACAGCAGGGTCCGCTCACCACCCCCACTTTTTTTGCCATGATCCCCCTCAGGGTGGGAGGCGAGACTGGACAGGAACAGGGGAGCCCAGAAGGGCCCATCCTGGGCCCAAAGGCAGACAGCACCCATACAGCAGGGGCTGCAGTGCCCTGATTGGCTTGTGGCAGGTGTTGTGGGGGAGGCACCCAGTAGCAGGGCAGCTGGCCAGGTGTGGGAGCCCTGACGTTGGGCCTGTCACACAGCATCAGGGAAGGAGCTGCTAGTACCGGTGGGGCGAGGGCTGGGAGCCTCGGGGAAGCGGTGGCTTTTCAGCTGAGAGAGCGAGAAACATTGGCTGAAGTGGAGTTGGTGCCCCACTTTCCAGGAGGGCTGCCCACTGCCCGCAGGGCCCCCGGTCAGGGCGGGAGGGCTCGGCACCGAGAGGTCCACCGAGCCAGACCAGGCAGAGAGAGCACATGGACCGGCGGAGACCAAGGTCCCAGAGAGGTGGGGAACAGGAGGCGCCCCCTCCCCTGCCACATGAGGAAAGTGGGCATGCTGGGCAGGAAGGGAGGGGATGGTGCCAGAGAAGAGTGCCAGCGTCCAGGGTGAGGGAATGCCAGCACCATAGACTGTGGGTGGGGCAAGGTAGGCAAGTCCAGTGTGGCTCCAGGGTACCTCAGATGCTGAGATGTAAGCAGGGTAGGGACATTTTATCCATAGCCAGGTTCTGGGAGTGCCCGGGGACAGCATTACCCTTAGATGCAAGCAAGAAGGAGCCCTGCCCTGGCACCTGCATTCTAGAGGATTCCACTCCAGCCTTCCACTGGCCTTGCCCCTCCAACAGGGAAATAAAGTCCATGAGCCAAGGAAATGTGTCCACCCGAGCCCCACATCCCCCCTCCAAATGCAGAACCCCAGAATTCCCTGCCCACAGGGCCCCAAATCTAACTCCACAGCCCACGTGGGCCTTTCCGCTGGGCCTGCCTTCCTGAGAACCGACCTGCAGCGGGTGTGCACACCCCAAGGCCTCGGGAGTGGCCAAGGGGCAGCCACTGCTACGTATATGGATGGGTCTGGGAAGGTCACACACTGCCCAAGGGGGAGCCCGGGATGGGAGCTGGGGTTGGCTCAGCCTCTGCCTGCCACATTCCAGTCCTGCATTCCAGGAGCCCAAGAATTCTAAGTACAAACCTGGTCCTCAGGGTGTTATGAAGGTGTATTTGCTAATGTAGGAGGATAGAGCATATCCTATTTAGAGGTTGTTGGCTTGATTTATAACTTTGAAATATCCAGACATATAGTATGTGGGCCTCCATTTTTACTCCTGCCCTGGGCCCAGGCAATGTTAGGGGTAGGATCAGAGGGCAAGCCCTGGCCCCTGCCCCACCCCTCAGGAGACCCCTGCTCTCCAGCCAGTGAGCGCTGCCGAAGGAGGGCTGGGCAGGAAGCCAGCAGCCGAGGGAGCCCATATGCACCTGTGGACCTAGCTTCAGGGCTGGTGGGACCTAGCAGGCTGGGTCCTTGGGGCTAGGAGCAGGGGAACCCGAGAGAGCGCTTCTCCCAGGGTTGAGCTTCTGCTTGAAGCTGGGAAAGCCACAGAGAGGCTGAGCTTGTGGCCCAGGGACACCCAGCCTGGATGCGGCTGCTGTGCCCTCCCCCTGGAGGTCCCTCCTGCTTCCAAGGCTCACCCACCTGTGCATCCAGCTCGGAGCTCAGGGTGCTTCGATCCCTTTTTTGAGTTCATTCCTGTGGCCAAGCCCTTCCCCCACGGTTTCCCATGCTGGCACCTCAGGAGGATCCTGCCCCTTGTTCCCTACCCAGCTTCAACCCCTTCCTCCGAGGCTCCAAGCCCCCTCACCCCCCTCACTGCAAATCACCTTTCTTCCATTGGAGCCAGGATCTTAGCTCAGGGAGCGACCCCAGCCCCAGTATACAAAGAGAAGCCTGCGGCCCACAGTCCCAGAGCGAGGCTGCAGCTGAGCCCAGGCTAGGACGGGTCTCCTGCCCCACCCCTTCAGCTCAGGGGGCATCACCCACCTCTTTGGAGCCTCACAGACCCCCCTGGTTCAAATTTCCACTAACACTCTCTGTGATCTCCCACAAGCTGCTTTATATTCTGAGCTCCTTCATTTATGAAATGAAGATAATAAATTTTGCCTTGTAAAGTCGTTAGAGGGATTAGATAAAATACACGCATAGGCCAGGCCCTATGCCAAGAACACCTTAGGGCTGAGACCTCCTTCCCTGCCTCACTCTGGCAATGGACATTACTGAGCAGCACCAGGATCCCGAGGCCCAGACAGATGTGCCTCTTGCCCTCCAGGAGCTTCCCTCATGCTGGGAAAACAGACACCAGCCAGGAACCCGCAGGAGGCTCCCAGAGACGGGGAGTGTCCAGGAGGGAGACGAAGCTGGAGGCAGGAGGGGAGGGCAAGGGGTTGAGAAGGCTGGTCAAGGAGGGCCTCTCTAAGAATATGCCCTGAGGACCTAAGGGAACCAGTTGTGCAGCATGTGGAAGAAGAATGTTCTAGAGAGGGGGAACTCAGGACGGTGCCTTGCAGGTTCTCAGAAACGCCTGGCGCTTATCTGAGCACACACTCACGGACCCTGTTACCACACCACAGCGGGGCCTCTGTGTGGGGCTGATAAGGCCAGAAAAGATCTCAAGATATTTTCTTTCCTTTTCTGTGAGTGGCCTGAGATAGGCTGTGTGGGGACATTTGG
This sequence comes from Homo sapiens, assembly GCF_000001405.40. Lineage (NCBI taxonomy): Eukaryota > Metazoa > Chordata > Mammalia > Primates > Hominidae > Homo > Homo sapiens. The sequence goes on from NW_021160016.1 coordinate 219,080, forward strand.
CTCACGGCCTGCCTCACAGGCCCCCCCCGTCACCAGGGCACCATGGAGCACTCACTGCTGGACCTCCCAGTGGGGACTCGGGATTGGCCCCCGAGGGGGGCTGCCAGCCAGTGCTGGGGGCCCATGCGTGACGGGGCTGACCTGGCTCCCCTGTCGTGACCCACAGAGGCCTGCTCTCTGCTTGTGCAGTCTCTGCCTGCTCGAGTGTACAGCGTACAGGCTCTGGGCTCAGAGATGAGGGCTGGAAGCCAGCTATGTCACCTTCATTCCCTCACCTGTAAAATGGGGGTGCTGACAGTAACATCGTCCTCAGAGGGTTCCTGTAAAGGAGTGGGGGAGATGGTGCTAGAGCCTGGCTCATCCAAACGCCAGGCAAGGTGGCTCACGCCTGTAATCCCAGCACTTTAGGAGGCCAAGGTGGGCAGATTGCTTGAGGTCAGGAGTCCAAGACCAGCCTGGCCAACATGGCGAAACCCCCGTCTCTACTAAAAACACAAAAAATTAGCTGGATGTGGTGGCGTGCGCCTGTAATCCCAGCTACTCAGGAGGCTGAGGCAGGAGAACAGCTTAAACCCGGGAGGTGGAGTTTGCAGTGAGGCAAGATCGCGCTGCTGCACTCCAGTCTGGGTGACAGAGTGAGACTCCACCTCAAAAACAAAAACAAACAAACAAACAAAAGCTCAGTAGGTGCTACTTCCTTTCTTACAGGACCTGTGCCTCCTGGGATGACCCCCACCATCCACCCCTAGGCACCAGGACTGAGTCGGCTCTGAAAAGAAATGGGGAATGAAGCTTTGGGACTTGGTTCCTGCCTTCAGGGAGCCAATGGTCCAGCCAGGGGGATTAGGGTTCATGTCCCTTCCTGGGCCTCCAGGAGGTCATGACCTTCAAAGCAAGAATGAGGAAGCCCACGATGGTAGCGTGGGGCCCTGCATGAAGTGCCTGTGACGGGAGATGGAAGAACTCTGTCATATGTCCGTGAGAGTGAAAGGAACCTCAAGCATTCAAGGAAACCAAACCGGTACCCAAGATAGATGAAGAGATCAGGAATTTACCAGGTCACAGAGGCTTCTTGGCAGCCACCTGCAGGAGACGGATAACACCATGGCCAGGGCCCCCATGCTCCATACCGTGTCTGTGACCTCCACAGACTCACTCCACAATGTGACTTTGGGTAGGTCACAGTACCTGTACGGCCTCAGCTTCCCCACCTGTCAGATGGGAAGAACAACAGCGCCCTCCCCATGAAGCCATCATGAGCACCACACCAGGTAAATCATGACCTGCTCTCGTGCATGCAGGGATGTCAATGAAGACGAGTTCCTTTTCCCTGAAGTGATGAAAGGGACTTTTAGAAAAGAGGAAGTGGGTGGATTCTTAGGAAACCTTAGTTCCATCCCAGGCAAGTGGCTCTGATGATTCAGTAGGTGACTTCCAGGTGTTCCCAGGAGGCGCAAGCTACCAAAGTCATGTCCTCTCACCTGAATTTTCATCCAGCCCAACCCTGCCTCTGGACACCTATCCCCTCTTGGGACCTCGAGGCCAGGCCTGGAGAGGATGTGAACGCCTGGAGGCCCTCCCAAGCCCAAGCAGGAGGTAGACGCAGGGACAGTGGGCATCTTCCATCAGGCAGAGCTTGGCCAAGATTCCAGCAGCACCCAAAGCCTGCTGAGCAACTCACAGATGCCCATGCCTGGCAGGCTGGTCTCCATGGTCAGGCCCCAGCCTCTCTCTTCTGGGCCCCTCTCATCCTGCTCCCCAAAGTCCCACAGGCTTCCCTGCCTCCATGACTTTGCCAAGGCCACCCACCTGCCCCCGTACACTCCTGCTTCCACCTCTGTGCCTGCAGGCCTGCCCTACCTGGAGGCCTTCCCCTGTGTTCTATGGGTTTCTCACCACATGGTCTCATCAGTTATCTATCAAAGCGGCTGACGCTCCCTCCACTCCTGCCTCTGCCCCTCCTTGCCTCTGCCTGTGTTCCCCCTCCCATCACCACCTTAGCCTGTCTCCCCTCCTTCCTCAGGACTCAGGAGCCACTGAGGCTGTGGGGCACCTGCCGACATTCTGCCTGGCCTCCCTGGCTTCTCAGCCTTCCCCCACCGCCTACTGCTGCCTCTGGGCATCAAACCAGCTGCTTGAGTCTTTCCCATCCCACAGGACCCCTCTCTCAATAGCCCCACACCCCCACACCTCCAGCCTCTGCCCTCGGCTCTGGAAAGCACGGTCTCCACCCACTGCCTCCATTAACCCCCTCCTCCCCATCCCCTTAATTCCTGGGATCTAACCCCTGCCCCAACATCCCACCGAGGCCACTGATCACCTCTCTGCTGTTATGTCTGGGGCACTTCACTGCCACCCCTGCCTCCACTCCTCAACACCATTCCAAAGCACAGACCCTTTTTTCTTTCTCTTCTTAAAACATGTGCCCATACTCCTGGCTCCTGAAACGCCCACCCAGATTTCCTGTCACCTCCCTGCCCACTCCATCACTGTCCCCTTCAAGGTTCCACTTCCTCCTCCTGGGGCCACCCTCAAAGAAGCCCCACCCAGGGGTCTGTCCTTGGCCTTTCTCCCCTCCCTTGCCTCCACCCTGGGAGACAGACCTCTCCCACCCCTAGCCTGCCCCTCCTCCTGCATCCTCAAGCCCCCCACCCTCTGGCTATTGAGGTCCAGACCACCTCCAGGATGTCCCTTGAGATGCCCTCCCTTCTCTCTCCCTTGTCCTCAGCCCAGATGCTGAAAGGGGCACCAGCTTTCACCCCTCCTGATTTCATCCAGTCTCAAGCCGTTAGATGCTGTCTGTACTGTCCACACCCAAACAGACGCCTGACTGTCCTCCCTCCCCCAGCCAGGCCTCTCCTCAGCCGCCCACATGACACTCCACTTGGATGTATAACAAGCATCTCAGCCGTTCCAGCTCCCGCTCCCCACAGCACCCCAACCCGCTTCCCCCACCACCGCATTCTCCCCACCCCCGGCTGGCAGCTTTCTCCTTCCTGATGCTCAGACCAAAAGCCTTCGAGGCATCCCAGACCCCTCTCCCTCTCCCATCCACTGGCAAACCCTACTGCTCTAATCTCAAAGGAGACCCAGAGTCAGACTGCCGCCCCCACCCTGGGCCAGGCCCCCATCATTTCTCATCTGGATCATTGCAGGAGCTTCCTAATTGGTCTCCCTGCTCCCACCTTTTCACTCCTGCCCCCAGGTGTTCCCAGCACAGTGGCCAGAGCCGTCCTGTTCAGATATGTCACTGGATCGCACCTCTCCAGTTGACGCTTCCCAATGGCTCCTGTGTCGCTCTCAGGAAAAGCCGGGGAATTATTGCGTGCCCTGGCCTCCTTGCCTGCATCCTCTGCTCTCCTCCCTGCACCCTCCTCTCTCTGGCTGCACTGCAGAGGCCTCCCCTGGGGTATCAGTTGAGGCAGGCTGGGGTGTGCTGTGGTGACCATCCCTACTCACTGGGCCTTAAAACAGAGAGGGGCATTTCTCATTCCAGCTTCACGTCATGAGGGTCAGCAGGGAGGGCTACGCTGCATCGTCCTCTCTCATGACCATGTCGGGGACATCTGGAGCATCACCTGCTTCCAGGCAGGGTGAAGGGAATGTGGAATCACTCGCTGACTCCTGCATGCTTCAGCTCGGAAGTGGCACGCATCTCTTCCACTCGTATCTCACTGGCCAAAGCAGATTACACAGCTGGGCCTAACCCCAAATGGAAGAAGTGTAGCCCTTCCCTGTTTCCAGAAGAAGAGACAGGCACTGATGGACAGGGGTGACAGCCTCCCCGCTGCTGTTCCTCGAACGCGCCAGACACGCCCCAGCCCCGGGCCTTTGCCCTGGCTGTTCCCTCTGCCTGGAGTGCCCTTCCCCAAACACCTGCACAGCTCGCCCCTCACCTTCTTTCAGTCTTTGTTCAAATGTCACCTTCTTGATGACGCTTTCCCTGACCACCTCACTTAAAACTTCAGATGTCTCCTGGACACGGGCTGCCAATCCCCCTTACCTTTACTTTAGCTTTCCACGGTTCTAACAGATTACCTAATTACATATTTCTTATGTCTATTACTATTGTCTGTTTCCATCAGCTAGAAGGAAAGCCCCTTGAGGGCAGGGGCATTTGTTGGTTTTGGTGACTGATGTAAGCCCAGCTCCCAGGACAGTACCTGGCACCCAGTAGGCACTCTATACTTTTGCTGCATGAATGAGTGAATGGATTAGGGGCCCCACTCACCACCAGGTCTCGTTCCCACATCCTTCAGAGCTTTTCAATCTACACTTGAATCCCCAACCCAAACTCGCTGCCTTCCCCAGGCCCTCACTGTTTCTCGTCTGGGTCCCCAACTCATAACAGCCCCTGACTGTCCCCGGTCTCCAGCAATCCCCTTCCAATCCAACACCGCTGTGAAAGGCAGGATAGCAAGGTGATTCTGGCGTGGGCTCAGGGTCCTTTCTCTGGCTCTGCTGTTTACCAGCAGTGTGACTTTGGACTGGTTCCTTAACCTTCCTGTGCTCCAGTTCCACATGTTGTGATAATAGCACTTCTCTCATAGGGGTTACAGTGCTGAGAGGTTTAAATGAGATGCTGCATGCAAAGCACATTATAAATGTGGATTATTGCTTTACACTTGCCAGATCTTGGTACCAGACAAAGGAGATCCGAATCTGCTGAAAACTGTCCCTTGGCTCCTGGTAGTTTTCAGTTTCTTCTCTGCACCCAGGGGCCCTCCCAAGCTGGTCTCCTTCTCACTTGCCTGGTCTGTCCCTTCTTGCTCCCGGTCCCACCAAACTCCCCAGGGCCTCCTGAGCCCGTCATGCTGCCTCCTGCCCTGGCCTGGGCATTGGGTGTTTTCTCTACTCTTCACTGACTTTTACTTGCTTTCTTACTTAACAGAAATCCCAGAGCTTTTTTGCACTTTCATACACAGAAAACTTTCAGATTTTTTTTTCGAGACAGGGTCTCGCTTTGTTGCCCAGGCTGGAGTGCAGTGGTGTGATCTCAGCTCACTGCAACCTCCGCCTCCCAGGTTCAAGCAATTCTCGTGCCTCAGCCTCCCGAGTACCTGGTGCACACCACCACGCCTGGATAATTTTTGTATTTTTAGTAGAGACAGGGTTTTGCCATGTTGGCCAGGCTGGTCTTCAACTCCTGACCTCAAGTAATCTGCCCACCTCAGCCTCCCAAAGCGCTGGGATTACAGGCGTGAGCCACCGCACCCAGTCTCACATTCTTTTTAGAGCTGTCTTGAATTCCATCATGGGGACATACCATTGGGATATATCAGTCCCAAGCTGATGGCTATTAATGTTTTTGATCTTCTGCCATCACAAGTATGCAGCTTGGTGTGTGTGCATCTGTCATATTCGTTCGGGTGTCTCTGTAAGACAGACTCCTGGAAGTGGGATTACTGGGTCAAAGGTAGCTAGTAAAGCACGACGGGCCTTGCCAGCCCAGTGTGCTCCCCACCAGACCCAGGATCTAGCCCCAAGTCTGAGTGATGCAGAATTCACGCCCTCACCTCTGTGCCATCCTGCCTCCTTCAGCAGTAGGGCTGGAGCGCATGGTGAGGGGCCAGTTCTACTTTCTGCCTCAGTCAGGATCGGTCCACTTGAGCGTGATATGTGGGGGCCGAGCCGGGAGGCGTTGGAGCTAGCCGAGGAGATGAGGCCAGCCCCCAAACACTTCCAGAACACTCTGAGCCTTCATGAAGGCTGCAGGAGGGAGCATGGCCTCTTGCCCACATTCTCCCCACCTGGGATCTTCTCTCTGGCGGCTGCCTCTGCCTCCCCATCAGCGCCAGAGCAGGACTGGCAGTGGCACCCCAGGCACCAGTGAGCAGGCTACAGGGTCCGTCCCCACCTAGGGCTGCATGGTCAGACCCCTTGAAGAGGGAATGGCAGAACCTCAAGACCTTGGGTGGAGGGCAGCCCAGGAGAGCCAGCCCCAGGCCATGCCATGGCTCCGTGGCTCATGTGGGCAGCCCCCCACTGGCCCTCACAGAGGCAGAGCTGAGTCAGCAGCCAGGGTCGGGGTGCCTCTGAGGCCCAGGCCTACTTCACTGGGAGGTGTCCCTGCACAGAAGTGAGAGGGCTCAGGAGGGGCCTGGCTCTCTGCCTCTGCTGCTTCAGGAAAAGTCCTGCTCCTTGGCTGAGCCCTCAGGGTCCTTCTCCAGCCCCCTGCCCACCGCCTGCCCTCCGGTCTCCTACACCCCCTCACACTCCAGTCAGTCATGTGGAAATGCTTGCAGTTCTCCACATGGGTTATTCCACTGCCTGCCTCCACGCCTCTGACCACGCAGCTCCTTCTTTTCCAGCTAACTCCCACTTGTCCGCAAAGACAATTCAAGAGTCCCTTGGAGCAGCCTGTTCGCACCTATGCACTCACACAGCACCTTGTTTGTTTAGACCCGCCCAGTGCCTCACAGCAACCCCATCTGGGTTCACTGTCAGAGCTCTGAGCCCACGGGGCTACTCGTCCCAAAGGCATACAGCATGTCCCAACATCTGACTTCGAAGCTGGGACAGGCCTGGCTCCGGGAGGGACAGAGGCTTCTACCTGGGGTAGCTGAGCTGTCCAAAGAAGTTTCAGCCATGTCGAGCCCCTGGCGTTGCCGAAATCCCCCACCCCACGGTGCCACAGCACCAGGGCAGCCCCTAGGAAAAGCCAGCCCCTCAGAGGCCCTGTGCTAAAGACCAGAAATTGCCCCTGGGTCTCCGCAGGAGTTCTGCAATGGGGAAGTGAGCCCTCCTGAGGCCTGGCTGGCAGGAGGCTCTTCAAGGCCAGCATCATGTGGACTTCCCCCAACCACTCGCGTTTCTGCACAGCAGCCACGGAGACCTGGGGGCTGCTGAAAAACGAGATCAGAAGGCAACGTCAGCCTGAGTGGGCTGAAACCTGAGATGAGGAAATGAGAAGACGTCAGGGGGCTGGAGGACATGGGTTTGAGGACAGCCAGCACCCAGCACTGCAGCTGAGGCCTCCTGAGGGAGCCAGAGGGAAAGCAAGTCCCCTCCCTGCGGCCTGAGTCTCTGCCAGTGCCCAGCACTCCCAAAGGATCCACCCCAACCTGAGAGACCCCAAAGACATTGGAGCAGCCCCAGACACCTCCTCCCAGGGCCACAAAGGCCCCTGACAAGCCCACAGCAGTCCAAGGCCTCCAACTGGAGTCATCTTTGGTAAATCTGGGGCCCATCAGCACCCACTGCCCTTCCTGGTGCCCTAAGCATGCTGGCAGGGGGACTGGAAACTGCATCCCAGTTTGCAGTGGGTGTATGTCTCATACACCCACAATACCTGATGTGGGCGTGACTCACCTTGGGGACCTGTGAGTCAATAAGGGTGTATGAGTAAGGGGCAGAGCATTTCAACTTAGTCCCATAGCACATGAGCTCACTAAGCAAACATTACCTATGTCTAGATTTGGGGCCAGTCACTACCCACTGGAGGCTGTGGGCTCCAAGGTATGGCAGCAGGGGAGGCCAGCCAGGCTCTGCCCAGCTTGCCCCTCCTTGTGAGGACGGACCCAGCCAGGCCTCCCGCATCCGCCCTTAGACTGGGGGACCCTGGGTGGGGGTAGAAAGGGGGACTGAAAGTGGTGTCTGGAGTTAAGCCCATCTCCTCATCCCCCACCATGGGGATCAAGATGGGGGCTAAGAGTCACCCCACCACCACCCCAACCCACTCTGAACGCAAAACAGAAGGGGACAAGCAAAACAGAACTGAAACTGGGCAAAGGAGAAACAGGTCTGGGCCCGCCCCAGGGACCTCTGTATCTCACCCCTTACCCATACACATCCTGACCAGGGCCTCTCCCCCAGCCTGGGAAAACCTTTCAAGCTTGGCCCTCTCTCACCTGGGCTCTCTCAGCCTCCTGCCCTCCCCCATCTTCCCTGCTCCCAGCCTCATGCTGCCCCAGGCCTCACCCCATCAGAGCTAAAAGGACCCCAGGCTGGGCATCTGTAGATCAGGGATCTGGTCTCCCTCTGCCACTACCTTTTGGGATGACCTTTGGGAAGTCATTCCCTTCTCTGAGCCACAGTTTCCTCATCTGGCCTGGGCTGTGGGCATAGAATCTGCAGGTGAGGGCTCTAATGGGTGAGTTTCAGGCCAGGCTGAGACTTTTCACATTATAACACTGAGGCACCCAGCACCTTGACTACCACTCATCCTGGGGACTTGGGAAGGGACAGAGGCTGGGATTGGACAGTAACAGCCAAGACCTTCCCAGGGCACAAACGCTGCCTCCCTGAAGCCTGCCCTGACTGTCCATGCAGGTCACTCCCATCACTTCACCTCCTCCTTCCCTCCACTCAGCACCAGCCACCACTGGGTCACATCTATGTCCCTTTGGCTCTGCAAGAGCAGCCTGGACCCCTGCATCCCCTACCCCAGCACAGGCCTGACACCAAGCAGGGGCTCAACAAAATATGTGTTGAAGGCCAGGCACAGTGACTCATGTCTGAAATCTCAGCACTTTGGGAGGCCAAGGCCAACAGATCTCTTGAGTTCAGGAGTTCGAGACCAGCCTCGGTAATGTGGTGAAACCTCATCTCCACAAAAGATACACAAAATTATCTGGGTGTGGTGGCATGCACCTGCAGTCCCAGCTGCGCGGGAGGCTGATGTGGGAGGATTGCTTGAGACCAGGAGACGGAGATTGCAGTGAGCCAAAATTGCACCACTGTATTCCAGCCTGGGTGACAGAGCAAGACCCTGTCTCAATGTCTCTCTCTCTCTCTCTCTCTGTGTGTGTGTGTGTGTGTGTGTGTGTGTGTGTTGAAAGAATAAAGGCAGAGAAAATAACAAGTGTTGGTGAGACTGTGGCAAGATTAGAGCCCTCACACTCTGATGGCGGGGATGTAAAATGGTATCACCTCTGTGGAAAGCAGTTTGTCAGTTGCCCAAAACGTTGAACACAGAGTTACCATGGGATTCTGCAGTCCCACTCCCAGGTAAATAGATGTTCCAAAGAGTTGAAAACATCTGATCACACAAAAACTTGTACACAAATATTCATACAGCGTTATTCTGGATATTATTATAACAGCCGAAAAGTGGGAACAATGTCCATGTCCATCAACTGAGGCACAGATAAGCAACATGGCCTAGCCACACAATGAGCTCTCATTCAGCAGTGAGAAGATGGGGCGTCCTGGTTCAGGCTACCACATGATAACCCCTGAAAACAGTATGCTAAGTGAAAGAAGTCAGACACAAAAGGTGACATGTACAATTCCATTTATATGAAATGCCTAGAAGCTGGATGCAGTGGCTCACGCCTGTAGTCCCAACTATTTGGGAGGCCCAGGCAGGAGGATTACTTGAGCCCAGGAGTTTGAATCCAGCCTGGAAAACATAGCGCGACCTCATCTCTGAATAAATTATTTAATTTAATTTTTTAAAAAATGTCCAGAAGAGACAAATGCATAGAGACAGAAAGTACATTAGTTGGGGGACAAGGAAAGGGGAAGTAACTGCTAACAGGCACGAGGTTTCTTGGGGGTGATGGAATGTTCCAGAGTTAGCTAGAGGTAGGTGTCATAGAGCATTATGAATATACTCAAAACCACTGCAATGTGCATTTTGAAATGGCAAAATTTGTGTTATATGAACCTTTACTCAATAAATACATAAATAAATAAATAATAAATAAATAAATAAATAAATAAATAAATAAAAAGGCAACAACAGCCACCCCAGGGACAGGTTTGGAAAGCCAAACTTGTCTGACTGGCTGGGTGGCTTGTCTATTTGTGTGTTTCTTAAAACAGCATCCTACAGGAGAACTATTCTTTGCTCAGGGAAACCCCCACCCCCTCACTCCACTCCTACCTCGAGACAAGGCCTCTGAGGAGCAGATGGGAGGAGAGGGGCTCTGGGGAAACATAGGGGGCATTGCAGTGGGGTGCTGCCCTCTCCTTGGGCAGGTGCCCCCATGATGAGCAGACTCAAGGTCCAGCTACAGTCCCAGCTCTGGTACAGGTCCTGTCCCTTTCCTCAGTTTCCCCATCTGCAGTCTGCCTCCCGGGGTCTTTCTGAGGTCAGTATGTAGCATGACAGAGCCTGAGAACTGCCAAACTGCCATGTTCTCTCAGAGACCCCTTTTTGGCATGCATTCCAGATGTGGGACCAGAGGTTGGGAAGTTCTTCCTTTGGTCTGACCACAGTATTCCACTTGGAGACAGCAGTGGGAAGAGGCCTTCCACTGAGTCACCCTGACTCAACTTTCATCAGCTTCAGGCCCCCCGTGGGGGTCCTTCCCCCACCGGATGCTCACTTTGCTGTAATGGGGCAGGATGTGGGTTCCCTGCTGTGGGAGAGCAGCCCCCACAGCAGCTGCTCCCTAAGATGGTTCTGGCAGGAACCAATGAGAGGAGAAAGCTGATCCTCAACCCCTGCAGGGGCCCTGCAGCCCAAGCAGAGGGCCTCTCAGCCCACCTCGGTCCCAAGTAGGACAGATTGACAGGTGACCTCCCTGTCTCAGAGCCTCAGGGTGTCTTGGAACAAGTGATCCCATCATCTTCCTCTGAGGTCCAAGACTCGGGTGCTAATGGACTCTGTGTAGGGAACCCTGGTCACTGGGGCAGACTCTGTCCCAGACCTGATCTTTGCCATTTTGCCAGAGTGGCCCACCTGACTGCTTCTCTCTGCTGTGTGTATCACTTGTATTAACCGCGAACCCAGCAAAGAGAGCAGGAGCTTGGGCCGGGCACAGTGGCTCACACATGTAATCCCAGCATTCTGGGAGGCTGAAGCAGGTGGATGACTTGAGGTCAGGAGTTTGAGACAAGCCTGGTCAACATGGTGAAACCCCGTATCTACTAAAAATTAAAAAAAAAAAAAAATTAACCAGGCGTGGTGTAATCCCAGCTACTCAAGAGGCTGAGGCAAGAGAATCACTCGAACTCGGGAGGCAGAGGTTGCAGTGAGTCAAGATCGTGCCACCGCACTCCAGCCTAGGCAACAGAACAAGATCCTATCTCAAAAAAAAAAAAAAAAAGTAAAAGTAGAACCCCTGTTTCTTGAGGACAAAGATTAGATGCATCTTTTTGTTGTGAAATTTTGGTAAACTACTTACTCTTTCTCAGCCTCAGTTCTTTGAACTATGAAATGGAGACAATAGTAATAGTATCAACCTCAAAGGGCTGGTGAGAAAACTAACCAAGACAATTCACACAAAGTTTCAGAACAGTCCCGGGCAGGTGCGTGACTTACGCATTTGGCTTTTGTTCACCACTATTACTACTTGCTTATTGAAGCTGAGCCAGGTGGCTGAGCAATGTCCCTTTCTGGCAAGGAGGGTGGAGGCAAGTGTCACATTTCAGAAAGATCCCTGGGCTCCTGTTGAATCTGTCCCCACACCAAAACATGCCCGTGGGGGCTCTAGCTCCTGCCCCAGCAGCGAAAGGGGCTCCTCCTTCTCTGGTGCCCAGTCCTAGCTCACCTGCTCTTCACAAGCCTCCTCCCAGCACAGCCTGCACCACACAGGTGCTCAGTAAGGGGGTTGCTCTGAACAGGGAGCAGGCCCACATGCTGAGAGTGGTGGAGGCGTGCAGGCTCTGATGACCACCTGAACCCAGACTCCAGGGCAGGACAGGTCCTTACAGACCGTAAGGGCTTCCTGCCTACCCTCTTCCCATGCAGTTACCTCAACCCTGGGACACCAGGAAGGTTGAGCATTCCAGGAAAGCCCCGACCCACCCAGGAAACCCAAGTACCTGGTGGGGCCTCATCTGGCCCATTGTCCTGAAAGGACAGGAATAAAGGCTCTCTCCTCATGGCCACACACCCTAGGGACGTCCAGCCTCCAGCTTTCTGTGGGTGGGGCAAATGACTGAGGAGGCTTCCCTCCCTGCAGGCGCCTCCCTCTGGGGCCTCCTGTGGTCCAGTCGTCCCTGGTCCCCAGCTCTCAGGTGGGTCATAGGGCATCTCAGCAGGACCACCAGGAAGAGCATCAGGAGGGGAAGGAGCCAGAGAGCCCTCCAGGCCAGTGCACTGCTAACTCAACATCTCATCTTCCTATCTCGTCCCTTCTGCTCACCTCCGGAGACTCCCCCTCCCCTCTCATGCTCTTCACTGGCAGGTTATGATGGCCCAGAGATCCCCACCAGAGTCCCAGATATCAGTGGGGATCCCAGCCTATTCCTCCAAGCTCCCAGTTGCCAGTGACAGGGAGGCAGAAACAGCCTGGAAATTAACTGTGGGTTCTCCCTGAGCCTGTGGATACATGGAAAGAGAGCTTCACCACCACCCCCTTCTCTGAATATACATACAGGATCTGAGGAGGGAGGATTCTGTGTGGATGCATGTGTGCACAGATGTGCATGTTTGTACGTGTGTATGGGTGAGCAGGTCATACGTGTGGTCCCATGTGCCCACCTGTTGTATATATGCATGCTTGTTTTGTGTAAGTGAGCATAAGAGGTCAAGCCAGAGAGAGAAATAGGAACAAGGAGAGACAGAGAGAGAGAGAATAGAAACAGAGACCAACAGGGAAACAGAATGAGACTGAGACAGAGAACAACAGAAGGCCAGACAGGTAGACAAGCCACAGTTCCATCTTCCCTGGTGCTGGCTGCCAAGGCAGACAACTCTCCTCTCACTTCATTGATGTTCTGCCTGTGTTTATACCCATGATTGGGGTGGAGTTCAGGAAAGGATGTATCAGGGCTAGGACGCCCCCACCTCCACACTCACAGGGCCAGTCAGGGCCCTCTGCAGGGGCTGCCATTTCCTCAAGCTGAGGAATGGGCTTGGATCCCTCGGATGCCTTCCAGGGTGCAGGGGCGCTCCCAGTGACTGGGCTCTTGTGGTGGCTGGGGAGGGGGAGCTCCTCTGACAGGCCCCATGCTGGGGGAAACGTCCTGAGACTGACCTATCACGGGCTGACATGCACACCAAGGAGGTCTCACATCTGCTGGGAAATGAGGGGCTGGTGGAGGTGAGAAAACCTCAAGTTCTAATGCCTTCCCAACACCTTCACCTCACCTGAGAAGCTTCTAGATTCCACCCACCCCTGTTTCCTTGGGGGAGGGTGTTGTGTGGAGGTGGGAAGAGGCAGGAGTCCAGGTTCTAGGCCAGGCTCTGAAGGGGCAGGTAGCTCAGAGCAAGAGGCTGGCCTTGCACCTGCTCTGCCTAATGGGACAGTAATGCCCACGATGGCATTCCGCCTCTGAGGGCTGTGGTGAGGCTGTGGAGAGATGTCAGGGACAAGAAAAGGCCTTGGAAACCAGCTGTGGGAAGAACAGCCCATGAGCTCAGCATTTCCCCTGGCTTCCCCGAAAGCCGGCCCCCAGGAGAGGAAGGTGACTGTGACTTCTGCCGCCACCACTTCCTGCAGCTGGGACCCTGCTCACTCAGAATGTGGAACCGTCATGGGCCAGCAGTGTCACCTGCACACTCACTCCTGCCACCAGGAAACCCTTCTGCAGGGCAGGTCCCCAAGCCCCGTATCTCAGGTTCTGACCAGGATGTGTCCTCAGCAGTGGTCGCCCGACATTGATGGGAGGGACGGGTCCCAGCTGGGCATCAGGATATGGAGGGTTTCATTCCAGCTCTGCCACCAAGGTACTGGTTGCCTCGAGGCATTCCCCTTGCTGGACCTCATTGAGGAGACTTCCTGTATTGCTAAGCAGGCAGGAACCCCAGAAGCTCAGAGCCGGAAGGCACCAGGGCTTCCCACAAGATGTGGAGGACCCAAAACAGGGAGACAGGCCCTGGCACCTAAGCGTTCCTTCTGGGCTCTACACAAGGTGTGGGTGGCACCAGAGCTACTGCAGGCTACTTGATCCAAGGGGCAGTCCTGCTCCACCGTGGGCTGGACGAAGACATCATCTACTCCAGGGCATCCACGCGTGGGGTGGGAGCCAACAGACCTGCGGTGCTGCCTTCCAGCTTGGGACTGGCCCCCGTACTCCATCCCGTGCACCCAGCCCTTCCGGCTCACCCCTTCCATGGCATGTTGTGCTCTCTCGCACCCCATGCTTTGCATGTGCTGGTTTCATTACCTGCAACACCTTCACCCCACTTGTGTCTGGCTAGCGTCCCCTCCAGAATGGAGAGTGGACAAAACATGGGGTCTGGAATTCCAGGGGTCAGGGCCCAGGCTGTTAGGAAAGGCAGAGTGTGAAGCAGACCCTCAGCAGGCCTCACAGCAGGGAGTGCTGAGCTCAGGGTTCTCAGGGGCCAGGATGGGACAGACGCCGAGGAGATGGGGGTCGGTAGCTGGGGCAGATTGTGCAGACAGTCTGGATTGTGGAGGAGCTGCCGGGCGCAGGGCCCCACTTGGCGCGGGCGGCTGTGGGGGAGGCTGAAACTGCAGACTATTTTTAGGCTCCTGCTGAATTGAGAGATGAGGATGCTCTGGGCTACAAGCCCTCATTCGCTGGGGAAAGACTAAGGGGGCCCCAGTTCCCCCGATCTGCCCCCAGAGCTCAAAGTCTCCAGAGCTTCCTCTTTTGTCTCTAGGGACCAAGGGCTGGGGTCAGGAAGTGGACTGGAAGTATCCCCAGCACCCTAGATAGGCAAACACCCACAAGAAGTGATTTCCATACCATTTGCACACTGCCCTGCTTCCTGATCAGAAGGAACGGAAACGTTCCCTTTCAGAAGACCCTCAGCGGAGCAGTGCATTCACCAGAGTCCACTTTCACCTGCCCCACTGGGTATCAGGAGAGTCCCAGGAGAGCGACACAAGCTCTAAAGTCAGAAAGCACAAACGGGGGTTGTTAGCACTGTGGTGTAGCATCCGCTAGGCTCGGGGTAGCAAATAAGTTCCATCTGATCAATTGCTGGTGACTCCTAAGGAGAAATGCTGGTGAGGATCCATTCATTCATTCCACAAATAATTTACTGACCACCTACTGTGTGCTAGGTGCTACTCTAGGTGCTATGAAATTTAGCTGTGAACAAAAAAAGACAAAATTCCCTGCCCCCGCAGAGCAGATATTCCGTAACAGTGTTGTCCAACAGAAATACAATATGAGCCACACACATAATTTAAAATGTTCCAGTAGCCACACTAGATAAAAGTTAAAGAAGACCAGGAGCGGTGGCTCACGCCTGTAATCCCAGCATTTTGGGAGGCCAAGGCGGGCAGATCATTTGAGGTCAGGAGTTGGAGACCAGCCTGGCCAACATGGTGAAACCCCGTCTCTACTGAAAATACAAACATTAGCCGGGCGTGGTGGCGGGCGCCTGTAATCTCAGCTACTCGGGAGGCTGAGGTAGGAGAATCGCTTAACCTGGGAGGCGAAGGTTGTGGTGAGCCAAGGTCCTGCCACTGCACTTCATTCTGTGCTACAGAGCAAGACTCCATCTAAAAAACAAAACAACAACAACAAAAAAAGTTAAAGAAATAGGTGGAATTAATTTTTGTATGTTATCTAGCCAAATATATCTTATATCTGAAATATTATCATTTCTTTTTTTCTTTTTTTTTTGAGACAGAGTTTCATTCTTGTTGCCCAGGCTGGAGTAAAATGGAGCAATCTCAGCTCACTGCAACCTTTGCCTCCCAGGTTCAGGCGATTCTCCTGCCTCAGCCTCCCAAATAACTGGGATTACAGGTACACGCCACCATGCCCACCTAATTTTTGTATTTTTAGTAGAGACAGGGTTTCACCATGTTAGCCAGGCTGGTCTCAAACTCCTGACCTCAGGTGATCTACTGACCTCAGCCTCCCAAAGCTCTGGGATTACAGGTGTGAGCCACCACGCCCAACCTCTAATATTATCATTTCAAAGTGTAATCGATGTAAAAATTTAAGGTCATTTTTTTCATATTATGTTTTCAAAATCCAGTGTGTTGTTTATACTTACAGCACATCTCAATTCAGATGAGCCCTATTTCAAGTGCCCAGTAGCCCCCAGAGAATGCAAGTTCTGAAGAAAATCACTCATATGAGCTCAGGAAAGGAATGCCACAATTGATCAGCAATGCCTGCTCCAGGCATAGGCTACAGCTGAATCAAGCTGCAAGCCATGTGTTTCCCCACCATGATATAGGCTCAGCCCCAAAGGACGTGTTCACCTCTACCTAAGCCCTTCTGAGCTCATTTATTTTGCCCAACTTGAAAGAACTGCCAGAGTTCTGGGACCTTGACTTGGTTCGAGTGCAGCGGTTCTGGTGTGAACACCACCCTACAGAAACGCCCCAGCATACTAACAGGGCCAGCGCCTCCCGAGTGTGGTTCTGTGCTCCTTCCCTTGGTGGGGGCTGACTCATGGCCATTGGTGACCCTGAGAATGTGGATTTTGTTTTTGTTTTTCTCCCAAGGTCTCTTCCTCCCAGAGTTAACCAATATTGAGATAAAAGTGTTTCCGAGCCAGATTTAGCCATTTCAGCCCCATTCCACTGGCCCAAGCCTACAGACCTCCTGTCTGGCACTGTAGCCAGGATGGCTGCACTTTCTTTTCCAGTAAGCAGAAGGCTAAAATTGGACCATTTAAGGAGCTAGAAACACCTGGAAATGGTGAGGAGTGGGTCTTTGGTGTAAGAGATGGGGTGTAAGAAAACACGGATCTCAGGCTCCCATTATCCTCACCATTATTATCATTATCATCTACCCCACCCCTGCTCAAAATCCTTCAATTGCTCCCTAGTGTCTGCAGGATAAAGATCTTGCTTTAGTTCCCAGGATCGGGAACTGCTGGAGTCATCCAGTCTCACCTCTAGATACTCTCCCTTCTCTCATCTTATTCATTCATTCAGTAAGAATGTCCTGAGCACCTAATATGTGCCAGGCACTGTTCTAGGTACTAGAGATACAGCTGTGAACAAAACTGCCAAGGATTTCTGGCTTCATGGAGCTCACTTTACTCCAGCGAGCCCATAACACCCCAGGCCCTCTCACACTCCCAGGCCTTTGTAAATGCTGTTCCCTCTCCATTCAGTCACTCTCCTCCTGGGGAACTTCTACACATCCTCTAAGGCCCTACTCAAAGCCTTCCCTGAGCACTCCGCTCAATGGGTTAGGTTCCTCCTCTGAGCTCCCACCTCCCACCTAGGACCGTCACACGTATGGTCACTGTCCAGCCCACAGCCCTTCCCTACCAGGCTTTAAGTGTCTCCAGGGCAGGGGCTGTGCCTTCTCCCCCAGGGACCCCAGAGCTTGCTTCCAGGTGCACCCTCCCAAAGATCAGGAGTGAACAGGCTGAGGCATTAGTGTAGGGGGGATCCAGGATTCCTCTGGAGAATTCCATGTCATTCTGAAATCTTTGCCTGGGAGCATCTTCCTCCTGGCATTCCAGGGGAGGGAATCACAGGAGCAAATGCAGAGCGGTTCCAGCAAAGGAAGGTAGAAGTCTGAGGAGAGATGGGAAGGGTATGATTTGATGTAGCAGAGAGACAAGAGGACAGCAGCCTTCCCTCGGGGAGAGAGGATGACAGGACATGTGGATGGGGGATAAACCGTAATGACTCTACATTCCTAAAGTGGGAGGGAGGCAGAACGAAATCTGCAGTTCCCTGCTGCCTTCCCCAGGAGAGCTGAGCTTTCAGTCTCGTCCCTCTTCCTCCTCCCCAACGAGAATGCACAAGAGAGGGGAGAAGGATGGGCCTGGTTCCTGCCCCTGGCCTGGCTCTGGTCCCTGGCCTGGCCCTCAAGAAGCCAGTGCTGGGACTGTGGATATCGTGTGGTTATGGCTAGAGCAGATCCTCCCACCACCCGGGCCCAGCCTAACCGTCCTGCCCACACACCGCCAGCTAGAGGCCTGCTGTGCTGCTTGTCCATTGGGGAAAACAGGGCAGGAGGCTTGTGCCTGGCTGGCCTCATCCCTGCCAGCTCATTTACATGGAATTTACACGGGCTCATTTCATGCCTTAATGCACACGGCTTCCCTCCCAGCCCAGCCTCTCCTGGTGCCTCCACAGAGACAATGGAGTGGGTTCCATCACTCAAATCCCCTGCCATGGACCCATCAGAGCACCAGGAGCATCTCTGGAAAGAGGGAGGCTGCTGAGGCCCAGAGAGGACAGGGAACTCAGTGGAGACCACCAGCAGCACTCCAGGAGGGACCAAGGCTTAAGCCCACACTTTGTCCACTCGCCGCTCAGACCATTTGGGGCTGGAATTCACTCCCATCCTTTGCTTTGCCACCAGCCTCCAGCTTGCTGAGCAGGAGCCTGTGAAACCCCCATCCTGATGCCGATGCTTGGCTGTGCACTGGAATACAGACGGACTGGGACAGACGAGATGTGCAGGAAAGGGTCCACAGAAGCCCAGGTCCAGCCCTGCCTTTTACACAGGAGAGAAATGAGGCTCGGGAAAGGCGAGGGTCTGCCCAGGACCACAAACGCCAAAAATGGTGGCAGCAGCCCCAGGTCTCTGCCCCAGCTGCCCAGGGCTCTTCTGGGTCCCCCAAACTCCCAAAGACCCCTGGTCCCATGTACCTGCTGAGACCTTGGTCCCCCAGGGCATGCCGAGTGTTGGGGGAGAAAAGGATGGGGAGAATCCTCAGGAATGGGCTGGCTATGAGAGTGCAGAGCAAACTGAAGTGGGAGGGAGCACTATGGGTGGGGGCAATTCCAGTCCTGTGGGGTTTGCCAGAGCCAACCAGAAGCTGGGCTCGGACAGAGAAGTAAACTGCCCCAAGTCTGCCATGGACCCCTCCAGCAGTCACTGCTCAGGAAAAACGCCTAGCAGACCCCAAAGGCCTAGGTCCTTGCCTCCAGGGACAGGGGACAGAGAAGGGAACAAGGGGGAGGGGAGGCCTCTGGGCTTCTATCTGGACTTCTATCTGCAGTGCTCCCTACTGTCCCTGCCCTTCATCCCAGGACCACTGCTCTCATCCTGACCTCCACCCGCCACCAGACAGCCTCCTAACTAACTCCCCTGCATCCTTCCACCCCAGCCTCAGAGGCTCCTTCCTGCATAAACTTCTGTGTTCTAAAACCTATTTACTTGATCTTGGAGGGAGTCCTGAGTTTCTACAACTCAAATCCTACCTCATCACTCATAAACCCTCCCCACAGGTCCCTCCCTACTCTCCAACCCTCACCCAGACCCCTACCCTGCCTGGAGCAAATCCCATTCCCACATCTCTTCAGCCGGCACCAGCCTCCTGCACACACACTCAAGGCCACAGCATCCCACAGGGTCGCATTTGATCAGCTTGCCCTCCAGAACTGCCCCTTGAAGGCAGGGAGTCCTGAGGCTGTTTCTAGCATGACCCAGGCCAGGCCTTCCAGGGGGAAGTGGTGGGAGGTGAAGGCTGGGAATGGGGAAAAGGGGTGCACGTGCTATTGGGGCTCTGGGGTCAAGGCTCGAGCAAGCAGCACGCTGCTGAGGAGTCGTGGGTTCAGGTCCCCATTCCTGCCTCTCACTAGCTACAGCCCTGCTGAGCTGGCTCCTGGGCCCTAACCAGGACATGAAAGAATGCATGTGATGCTCACGCAGCCAGGGGGTGGCGAGTAATAAACAGGAGCCCCCACCAACACCCCCTGACCAGGACAGCTTTGCAGGCAAGGAACAGGCGCAGGTAAATAAATAGCTTGTTTATTAGTAATATGTTACATTATTAAAGTGCATTGAGAAGAGGTGCAGGGGCCAAAGCTGGAAGGCCACTGGCCCCAGCCACTGCCCTGGGTGGCCAGACACAGCCGGAGAAGGGCCCAGCTCCCCCCTGAAATGGATGGACAGGGCTGGGGGCAGGGCCGCCTGCCTGGAGAGCTCGGCCCAGGCCATCCCCACCGGAATTTTCACAGTTTAGCCTAAGTTATAACATGTCCTGAGCGAAGGTGGGAGGCTAGGAGCATGGAAGCACAGCCCCTGGGGAAGGGGGCTGAGAGGAAGGGAGGAGGCCCCCCGCCCCCCAACCCTCAACGCCAAGGGCAGAGTCCTGGAACCTCCCCCTGAGGACCCGGCTCGTCCTTCCAAATGAACACGGTGAAACTAGGGCTCAGTTTTCTCCTTCATTCTCCCGTTTCCCTCACCCCACCCCCTCCCATAACCACCCCCAACACTAGGGGCTCCAACAACGTCCCCCTCAGACCGGGCTCCCAGGGCAGAGCCAGCTCATGCCACTCTCCAAGAACCCATGCCCGTCTCCAGACTCTTATCTCATCCCCGGGAGCCTCAGACTGGGATCACCCCCGCTCCCCAACCCATCCCTTCCCAGCCCCTCCCTTTCCCACCCACCCCCCCGCATGTAGTTTTGGTATTTTCATACAGATGCAGTCGGAAGTAGCTATACATGAAATAAGCCTAACATAAAAATAGAGCTTTTTCCGTCCTTCCGTCCGGAAAGCAAACATCCTTCAATAAACATGCAAGGCGGCTGTCCTGTGGGACCCAGGACCAGAGAGGGAGCTGCAGAGGACAGGGCTGGACAGAGGGTAGCCCTGGGTCTTCAGGAACACCAGCCACCCAGCCATGAGAGAGGGAGGGGAAGGAGGCAATGTGGGTACCAAGAGTCCAGAAGGACTCAGGCCTCAGCCCCAGGGTCGAGATGGAGTCCCAGCTCTCCTATCCAAACCCACTCCCCGACCCATGGGCTCTTGGGCTGGGAGCATCGCTGCATTTAGTCAAGTTTGAGGAGTCTGAAAAATATTTTCCAGAAGATAAAGTCTTGGGTCATCGATGCCCCAGCTTCACAGTCGGTGCCCTCATTCTCAGCCCCTCACCATCCGTGCGCCACCTGGGGCCCAGCAGCCGCCTGCGGCTGGACGTCTCCAGGCCTGGCATCCTCCACTGGGTTATTCTGTCCCCTGGAAGAAGTGGCAGGCAAGGAGCTCCCGGGCCAGCCGGCTCTGAGTGTGAGACGTTCTAGTGCCCTGGGCTGCAGAAGCCTGAGGCATGCCCAGCCTCGGGAGGCCCTAGTGGACCAGCAAGCCAAGAGTGAGTGTGGGCAGCACCCCCAGCCAGAGGGAGGCGGCCAGGGCACAGGCATGACCCAGCAGGTGCTCGGCCATGATGCCGTCCTCGGGCAGCAGCTGCCAGTGCTGAGCCTCGCGGAAGTAGGAGCCCTCCTGGGCCTCGCAGAAGTAGTGGCCGTACTGCTGCGCCGTGAGGTTCTCGATGAACAGGATGCAGTTGGGGCTCTGGTGACCAGGTTCGCAGCTCTGCTCCACGTTCTCCTTGTGGCGCCATGAGTAGGTGGCGTGGCGGGATTCCATGGGGCAGCTCAGGTAGTAGCGAGAGTTTGGGGCCAGGGAAACCTTCTGCAGTGGGGCCTTGTCTGGGGAGGCAGTGGGGAAGCAGCCGTGAGGAGGGACAAAGAGCTCCCAGGGGAGGATGTGTCCTCCCCACGGACTGGGATCCCAGGACAAGGCTTCTGAATGAACGTGGGGAACCCAGCCCTCAGCGTCCTCCTTTTTTCTCCCGTCTCGCTCATCCCACCAAGAGGGCTCCCTCTGCAGGACTGTATCCTGCCCCATGTACCTGGGGCCCACAGGACAAGGCCATGTCTCCCTCAGACCAGGACAATCAGGGCAGGGCAGTACCCCACTCATTGGGCCACAGCCGCCAGCAGGGCCAGATCAGGTACCTGGTTTGGGGTTGGGACACTCCTTGTGTGGCTCGGCTGGATTAATGGATTGCAGCACTGACCTGGAGTGGGAAGGACGAAAGAGGATCAGCAGATACAAGGCTGCAGACCTGACCCTCCTATCCTTACCCCAGTGCAGTTCCAGCAGAGAGGAGGGTCCCACAAGAAAGGCCCAGTACCGCCACCTCCTCCAGCCCGACAACACCTCCCCCTCTCCCATGCCCACCTTCTCCCAGGGACGAGGGATCCCGGCCAACGTACCGTTCGGAGCTGTAGATGGAGATGCAGCGGCCTTGGTCCCAGCCGCAGTAGGGGTCTCGGGACATGAGGCAACCGTGGCAGCCCCCGCCATAGACCTCACACAGGTCCAGGGGCACCTGGCTCACCTCCCACTGGGAGCTCACATACAGCTTCCTCTGGAAGGACAGCAGGATTGGGTCAGGCCCGGGCCCCACCCCACACTCAGTCCTAAATGTCCAGGCCCTAAGGCCTAGAAGCTCTTAAAAGAACACACAAATCACATGCAAAGGAGCCCTGTCCTCAGCTGCAGTCACTGCATAGCCCATGGGACGCAGTGGGGGAAGGCTCACCCGCTCAGCATCCAGCGACATGGTCTGGATGGCAGCCGCGCGGCGGAAGGGCTGGATCTCCATGATGTTGAAGGCGAAGCTGTGCTCCTGCTCCCCCGGTTCCACCACCTTGTGGATAGTGCCCCTGTCTGTGTATGGTGGACAGAGGGTCAGTGGGCGGGAGTCCCACTGAGGGGCCAGGCAGCTTTCCTCTAGGCCGGGGAGGGGTGGGAAGTCACAACTCAGGCAAGGGTCACAGGACTGGTGTGGGCAGGGCGAGGAGAGCGTGACTGGGGAAGAATGTGGGAGCCTAAGGGCAGCCTGGAACCTTCCAAGGCTGATCCAGAGAGGCCATCCCAGGAGGCCCAGGGGTCCCTGGATACGGCCTCCAACATTCCCAAGGCTGCACGGGAAGAACAGAAGCAGGAGCCCCACACCAGCAAGGTCAGTGCGGCTGCTGTCCATGCATCACCTCGTTTAACCCTCCACAGCCCTGCGAGGTGGCTGTCATCTTCCCCACTCCACAGATAAGGAAATCAGGCTCAGAAAGGCTAAGCCACTTGCTCAAGGTCACACAGCTGGTGAGCAGCAGAGACCGAGTTGGAACCCAAATCTGTCAGAGCCCAACCACTCAGCTGCTTCTACAACTCCCCTGCCTCCTGGACTCTTAGGGAATATATTTACTTTAAATACATTTTTTTTTTATTTTGGAGTAATTTTAGATTCCCAGAAAAGTTGCAAAGATAGTACAGAGAGCTCCAATCTACCCTTCTCCAGTTCCCCCTAATGTTACCATCTTACATAACCACGGTATATTTGTCACAACTAGGCAACTGACATTGGTGCATTACTATTAACAAAACTACAGACTTTATTTGGATTTCACTAGTTTTTCCACAAATGTCCTTCTTCTGTTCTAGGATCCAATTCAGGACTCCACGTTGCATTTGATCTTAGGGGATATCTTAATTTTATAAAATCTTAGATCTAAAAAGGATCTTGGATTCTAAATCAAGAGTTCCCAAGGTCTTATAACCGAGCTGCCTGCCTCCTAGACCAATGCTCTCTCCGTTCACAATTAGGGACCAATGGGCACCCTGACCCCTGGTCCTCCCAATCCTACCTCACCTGCTCTCCCAGTTTCTAGAATAGCCTACCTCCCTCTCTCCCTCCCTCCCAATTTCCCAGGGCATCACCTGCCCCAAAAAAGCAGTCAGATGATTGCCTGCCTAGGATGTTTCCTCTACACATCCGTGATCCTCATCTGTGGACTCTGAGATGTGGCCAGATGCTCCTTGGGCCTGATAAGGCCCCACCCCAGCCACTGCCTTCACAGACATACTGCCCTATACCTCCTTCCAAACCAGCCCCAGTAACAGCATACCCTTGGCAAAATTCTCAGGAAAAGAGCCAATACTTCTCCCAGTTGTGAGAGCCTCCCATTCTCTGCAGAGGACTTAGAAAGCTCTATTTTTCAGTCTAGCCCAAATACGAATGATGCAGGCTCCAAAATGGTGCCTCCTCCACTGCCCTTAGAACGAAGACACCTTCTCTAATCACTCAAGTGTGCTCACCTCCCAAGTCTGCAGGAAGGGAATCCATGGCCCAAGTCCAGCCTTCCTTGTCCTAGCTCCTGCTCCCAGTTCCGCACTGTGTGACCTCTCCTCTTCTGCTCCCCAGTGCCCTGCCATCCCTGGCTGACCACAACAGCTGTGCCAGCCACTACTGGAGCCAAGCAAGGATGGGGGCCCAAGGGTGTAGCCGGGATGAATAGGGAGTAAAGAGGCAGGGAATCAGGACCCAGGCCCTGCCCTGTGGGAAATTCCTCTCCCCAAGGCTTCCAGGAGCCAAACAATGGTGCTGGGGTTCCAGTTTCCTACAAGGTCACCAAAGCCGAGACAGTTCCAAGGTGAAGCAGCAACAGGAGATCACATGGGGAATGTGAACAACTGAGGTTGGGCGCCTGGGCCTGAATTGAATGGCCCCAGGGGTGCTAGAGGCCCTTTCCAGTCTCAAGGAAGGCAGCTGGCATGGGAAGCTGCGACAAACCCAACTCAGGACTGGCTCCTCCGTGTCCTGTGGCTTTCCAGAAAGCAGGAGCATCTCCCACGGCATTCCACCCAGCTTCCCCCAGCAGGGCCTACTCCAGGGAAGAAGAGAAGCTGCCCCTGTCCTCTGTGAGATGGCAAAGGTTCTGCCCCCTGGAACTCCTTCCTCATACCTAATTTGTGCCCCATCAACTCCTCAAATGTTTCCTCTCACCTGCACAATCCCAAAGACAGGCGCAGGGCCTGACTCCCTCATTCTGCCTGGCAGAGGCCAGTATCCCTGTGGTTCAGGCCCCTCCTCCTCATTTGCCACGTCTCTTCCTACCATCTTCTTCCCTGAGTCAGACATCTGGACCAAAGGTGCACCTGGCTTTGCTCAGACTCTCCAGATTTCCGCCTCCAAATCCCAGTGCTTGCTTTTCTCCCATCCCCCTTTCCCTCTTGCCCCTACCTCCTCCAGGAAGCTCTCCCTGCCTGACTCTTCCACACCCACACACATTAACCCCTGACAACTCCAGTCACTCAATTATTCCTTCCACATGTAAAGATCCAACCAGATGTTAACTACATTATTCCTTACACCTTTCATGCCCGTTTTTACAAAGCAAACTGAGGGTCCCGGGGTAGCCTCTCACCTGTAGTTAGGTAAAGCACATGAAAGGTCTCCCCGTGGCTGGCTTGCATGCGGTGGACGGCCACTTTCTGGTAGTGGTATTTAGAGTGGAACAATGGCGTCTTCAGAGGCCCCATGGGCTCCACCCTCTGCGCCACCTCTGGGTGACGGTCAGCCACCTGGAAGGTCTCTGTGGGTATCGGCTGCTGGTCTGGGAGGCACTGGGCAAGGAGAGCAGGCCCAGGTCAGTGGGGTGGTGGGAGGTGAGGCAGAAGGAGGGCTGGGCCTGGGCCACGGCTGGTGTCACGCTCACCTTGCCAGGCCGCGGGTTGGGAAGGCTTGAGTGGTAGCCCTTGAGTGAGGAGGTACGGAAGACCTTGTCAATGTCACCGAGGGAATACACACAGACGGCTGAGTAGTTCCTGCAGTGACATGGAGACCAGCTCAATGGGGGGCCCAGAACCCACCCATCCACCTCCACTCACCCAGGCCAGCCTTGTGCCTGGCACTGAGTTGCCAACCACCACTGAAAATGGGGAGGGATGGAGAGGAGGAAGGAGAGGAGTTCAGCCTAATTTCTTTGTGCTGCAATTTAAAACCACAAACTTGTATCCTGTTACAGAATCACTGAGTCTAGAGGCCATCTGCTCTACCCAACCCCAAGGCAGGAGGAACCCCATCATAGGCTGAGCAGTTCTCTAGCCCTCCCTGGGCACAGGCTGTGGGGTGCTGATGCCCCAGGAGGCCAGACCCCCAACCCCTTCCCAGCCTGGGGGACCCCACTCACCCAGGAGCCACAGAGCAGGGTCTTGGCTTCCTCCACTCTATCCCTAACTCTCCCCACACACACCCAACACTTCCGCCTGCCGTGTGTTCAATCAATGAGAGTGATTAAGAAGTGTGAATTATCGGGCTCAGGCAGTGCCTGAGCAGGTGTAATAGCACCCAGCTCCCCGAGAGATGCTTCAGCAGCTTCCTCCTGGGCCCAGTGTCCACTCTCGGCACAAGCAGGTGGTGGGACACACAGGCACAAGTGCAGTCATGAGTGTGCATATAGGGCATGCACACACACCCATGAGTGCAGACTCACTCACACAACAGTACATACATCGCACTGGCTGTCCCCCCACCCCACACCCAGCAACAGCCCAGCCTCTTGAGCCTGCAGCCCCTGCTCCTGCCACACCAGGGAGGCCCTCAGCAGGGCCCAAGGCCTCCTGTCCCTACTGGACACTGAACCAATGCCAGCCCCGGCCCCAGGACAAGGGCCACTCACCAGGGGTTGGAGAAAACACCATAGACCCTGGTGTCCCTCCACTGGCCGCTGGGGTCAGGGAGCAGGAAGACGTCTTGCAGCCTGTTGAAGTTCTTGTTGGTGGCAGCATCACTGCATACCAGCATGGCTTTCAGAAAAGTGTTCCACTTGGAGACTGACAGTGAACTTTCCCCACCCTGGTCCCCCTGGAAGGGTAGAGGGGAGAAGAGGCCCCTCAGCACCTGCCCGGGCTTCCCCACACACCCCAGGAAACCACTGCCAGCAATATCAACACCTGGGCCCAGAGGAGGAAGGCAGGCTGTGAGGGGCCAGGACCTGCCGGGGGTGCCCCAGGACTCAGGGCAGGTCTCCAGATGAGACTCCAGCAAGCAGGCCTGGCTGATCCAGAGCCCAGGGCCAGCAGTGCCCAGGGTCAGGGCAGGTGAGAGTGCCAGGTCCCCACAGAGCAGACGGACTCAGACACACATTTACTGACTCACACACCCACACACGTGGCACAGCACATTCACACAGGCAAAACACACACACACACACACACACACCCCATCATACACACGCTCACACGCCATCATACGTGCACAGGAGCTCAGCCACCTTTACCCACACACAGACACATGATGCTCCATGCACACACAGCTGCTCCCACAGTCCCTGACACAGACCCACTCATACATCCACACAACTTCTACATGCACACGGACACACAGAACTCACCCTCACTCAGGCCTATTCATGCACAGACACGTAGCCAGCAGCCCTCACGCCCCTGCTCACCCTGCACAACTGGGCCACACGGGACACATTGAGAGGAGCCTCAGGATTCTTGTCAGGATTGTCCTCTCGGAAGAAGTAGTAGATCTTGTCATCGTAAGCCTGGTCTTGGTGCACGATGGTGGCTTTGATGAACTGTGGGTCTGCCAGGGACAGAGGCGAGTGGGCGTAAGGCTGGGAAGCTTGCCCGGGAGACCATCCCAACCCTGCACACTCTCCTCCCTCCTTCGGGTCTGCACAAACCATGGCAAATCAGATCTGGAATAGGACTCAGAACATCAGGTCCAACTCCCCGAGGGGCCCTAGACCCTGCACCTCCACCCCACACCTGTTTTGCCCTCTTCCTACAAAGATGTCATCGGCCCAGGAGCAATGACTTCATGCCTGGGGACTGGGGGAAGGTCCCTGGGGGCCCCTATGTCACTTCTGCTCAATTGGCAGAGCCCTGATGAGGAGGGAGTTGGGGGCTGCCTCCACGTGAACTCAGCAGAGGATAAACTTTGGCTCCTGGGGACCCTGCACTGGGTCTGGGGCTCCCTCTGTTTGTGTTCCTGAAGAGGGCTGGGCCCATCCCACTGCTATACCTTGTCTGTTCCTCTGCTCCCAGCCAACCCTAACTTCTCAGGCCTATACCAAGGTCCTGCTTTCCTGCATGGCCCCAGCGGCCCTCAGGGAGCCCTCCCAGAAACATCAGGATCCCATCTGCCACCTTAAGTGCTCACACCCCCTTGCCCACCCTCAGCCCAGCCGGAGCCTGACTCACTCTGCATGACAGTATCACTGGTGTACAGCTCACTCTCGCCCCGGATGCGGCGGAACCGAGGGATCTTCCCATTGTATTCCTGCTTCCGGATGGTGGAATACACCTCGTCCCCTGGGGTCAGTGGGAGGGAGAAATGAGTAAGGGCAGGCAGCTCCTGGAAGTCCCTCCTCCGGACACTGGACAAAGAGCTGACCACTCCTCTCCCAGCCCAGTTCAGAAGCATCCCCCTGGGGCGCCTGCTCCAGCACTGCCCTACCTTCAAACAGAACCAGGGAGTTCTCGTCCGGGCTGAAGGGGGCGTAGCCTCTCATCTCGCCAAGTGGCACCACAGTGCCATTCACCTGTGGGAGATCCAGAGGGTTGGATGGCCACATAATCCCACAGCCACTGCCTCCCATGACGGCCAGTTTCTCGGCCAGGAGCCCCATCCTCCCAGGGCAAGGCCAGCATTGGAGTCTCGCCATCTCCTTCCCACCATGAGGGGCAGAAGCCCACGCAGTAGAAGGTGAGCTGATCAGGCACATGGGGAGCAGCCTTCTCACCAGGTTCCAGCAGCTGGGGTGCCGGGCGTTGGTGCCACAGGCCAGCAGCCCCTCACTCCGCCTCTCCAGGAGAGTGATGTAGTTCTCGCAGTCCTGCCCGGGGAAGAGAGAAGGGAGGAGAGAAATTGGTTGCTGGAAGGCCCTGGCAAGCCTAGCACTAGGACCCCCAGGATCAGGGAAGAAGGTGTCAGAAGGGCTTAGCATAGGTGACAGCCTCCCGGGACAGCCCAGAGTGTGTGCAGCTGACGCCATCCCCTAAGCACAGAGGACCACGTCTCCCCATCAGTCTGGGACTCGTGGGGCAGGGCCATGCTTCCTTCCTTAGACCCTCAGGGTCTCCTCTCCCTTTACCAAGTGGCTCAGACCCCTCCATACCCCCTCCCCCACTCACCCGCTTATCCAGACAGGACCCCTTTGTGGAGCCGATATTCACCTGGGGGAAGGGGAGAAGCATTAGTTCAATCTGCCAGGGGTGAGGTACCCCTGAAATGCTTTCCACACAGCCTCAGGATAAGCCCCAAAGGAAGCAACCATTATTCTCATCTGACAGATGAGCAACTGGGGCTCTGAGAGGGTGAGTGATCTACCTGAGGTCAAACAGGGTCTCATATCCAGAGCTGAGGCCCAGAGGGTTCAGAAGACCAGGCATGGGCTCTGGGGCCCAGCTTCCAGCCTGGGCTTTCCGCAGCAGCGCTGCCCAGCTGGCCAGGCCCATTAGCTCCTGTTTTTCTCCACACCGCCCCAGCTCCCCACTCCAATCTGGACTACCTTTAGGGAGCCTCCCCCAGGAGCCATTTATAGGATACGGAGGTGGGGGCAGTTTAGGAAGAGAAGCCAGCTCCCTCGGATTCCCTGAGGACCCTTGGCAGGGCCAGAGGGGAGATAAGAGGGTAGGGGGGGTGTTGGGGGAAGAGAGAGGCTCACCGTGCGCACAGATGCGTTCTTGCCCTCGGGGAAGTCAAAGAGGTAGACCTTGCCACGTCCTCCCACCCACACAGAGGAGCTGCCTGGCTCGTGGAAAAGCACCGTGTGCGGCTCAGTCTGGCCAAAGTCCACCCGGTCCTGCCCTACATGGCCTGAGGAGGAGACAATTAGTAGAAACATTGAAGCCAGGTCCCGAGAGAGAAGACTCTGGGTCCCCTCCACATGGCACACTGGAACCAGTGCTTGGTGCTCAGGGTCCTGGCAGGGCGTCAGACAAGCTCTGGGCTGGGGTGGTACCCAGACTCAGAGAGTCAAGGACAGGAGAAGTAAGAGATCCTCCGGTGGGCTCCAGCAACCAGCTGTCCTCACCCACAGCACGGCCCCTCCCCTAGTGTGGCAGCCTCTCCTTCCTTCACAGTATGTGTGATCTCAGAGTGGGGAAGGATTTAGGGACCTCTTGGGGGAACAGACCCCCTCCTCTGGCACACACTTTTGAGGGCTGGGCTAAGGCAGGAGGACCAGGGCTCCTTGGCCATGCTCTGGGAGGTTCTCTGCTGCCCTAAGCCAAAGCAAGCAGCGCCCCCCAACCCCGGGCCTTTCAGCAGGCAGCAGGGCCTTCAAGCACCCCCCTTGGAGTCCAGGTTCCCAGGAATCACAATGCTCAGAACCCCTTCTCCTCCTTCAGGAATCCCTCTCCAACCTCTCCTGGCCCATCCCCAGCCCCTTAGTGAGCACTAGACTAGAGGAGGAAAGGAATCTCAACATCTACTCCGTCCCATTTCACAGATGGGAAAACAGAGGCCAAGGGAGGGGCAGCCCAAGGGCACACGGAAGCAGGTCAGTAGCAGACCCTGAACCAGAGCCTGCACTCCTGCCTACCAAGCTGGACTCTATTCCATGGCCCACTCTGGCCTGGTTTCACCCATGAGGATGCTAGCTCTCCGGGGGGTGAAGATCGGCTCTTCCTCCCCAGCAACTCTGGGACAGGGGAACCTTCACAGAGCACAGCCTGGGACTTTCAGCAGAAGGGCTGACCGGGAAAATTTTCCCCAAAAAAGAAACTGACTGCAGCCACTGCCTCTGGGGAGGTGTCTCATCTCCAGTGACACTGCTGAGGTTGTCCTGGTTGCAGGAGTAAATTATAGGGATGGGATGGCCTGTGGTTGTGCCCCCAGCAATCAGCCACACCCAGCATCTTCCCACCTCTGACCAGCCTGGGCCTCACCTAGGAACTGGGTCTGACCACTGTTTTTTCAGCTGCAGGAAACTCTGGGGCAGCCAGCTTGGCAGTGACACCCAAGCTCCAGCTCTGACCAAAAAGAACTACCATTTCCTCAACTCTGCCCCCGATCCCTCTTATTCCCATTGGAGCCATCCCTATTGATTCTGCATTTAACAGGGGCAAGGAGCAGCTGGACCACACACTGTGCCACCACACCTTCATTCTTTAAGAAACATCCCTTCATGGCCAGGTCACCCCCGGAAGTGAGCATTCTTCACCTCTTCTGTGGCCTGGCGCACTGTGCAGAGAAGAATGCTGAGGTACCCTGGGAGACATGCCAAGGTCACACCAGCAGGCAGGACACATTAGCTTGTCCCAGGCTGCAGTATCAGTTCTCAGCAGCATGGCAGGCTACAGAGAGAAGTGCTGAGCTCACTGTCCTTGGGTGGTGTGGCTCTCCTGGTGCACATCACAAACAGCCCAACTGAACAGCTCCGGGGATATCAGCCCTCCCTGGCCCCCAAGCCTCCCTCCCTGTAGGCCCGAGATGTGCAGAGCAAGGGCTGAGAGGTACTGGCACTTCGGTGGGAGGGAGGGAGAGCTGGCAGGTCTTGGGTGCTGCCCTGCTCCCCCTCCCTTCCTGGGATAAAATTAGAGTGCTGGGGTCACAGACACAGTCTTCCTGACTCAGCTCCCGTAACTCCCCTTCCACCCGCAGCCCAAACTGCAGCCACCATCCTCTGTGGCCCAGCCAGAGATCCAGACAGTCTGCCGCCCCAACTCCCCTCCTGCTCCCCTCCCATCCACCGATAGCCAGACTGGCAGCCAGGAAAAGGTGCGTGTCTGCATCTAGAGATGCTGGGCTAGGACCTGAGATCCATAGTCCCTGGGAGTCAAAGCAGAAAAGTTCTAGCCGTCAGACTGTGCTAGCCACCTTCATCAGTCACCTTAGCCCCACTCCTGCACCAAGGCCACAGGCCCAGGTCTCCGAGGGGGCCGGCAAGGCCAATGTACAACTACTCAAGGGAAAAGAGGCACCAGACAGGACTCTGGGTGGGGGCACCCTGGTCTAGGAATTGCAGGGCTGTTGAAGAGAAGAGGAAAACAGTCCTGCCCTGGGGAGTCGAGCCTGATGGCAGAGACATGACTGGGTCCTGGAGAGCAAGGTCTGAGGGGGAGGTCTGGCCCTACCCTGGGAATACATCTGAGGGGTCAGACAGCCACACCACAGAAAACTTCCACAGCTCTCCAGCAAAACTGTCTTAGCATGGACCCCAGGGCTGCCCACAAAGTATCTGCTGAAGACATGAAGGGAGGGTGAGGGCTGCTGGCCCCTGGGTAGGAGCTGCAGCACTAGGGCCCGGACAATCCCATGCGGATCTGCAAGCCTGAGCCCAGTTCCCTTCAAACCCTAGCCACAATGGCTAGGGTGGAGGAAGCAGGGACTGTTCGTCCCATTTTGCAGGAAAACGAACAGGAGCCCAGGACCACGGCCTCCCATGACCCCCAGGTTCCTGGCCCTCCCACCTCTGTTCTTGGTGATGCGTATGGACTAGAGGGAATGACACCAGCTCAGCCCCAGGACAAGGCCTTGGCCCATTCTCCACCCCAGCCCCAGCCTGGGCTCCCGCACCGCCTGAGGCCCTCAAAAGGCCTGATTGTGCCCGGGAAGTGTCGAGCAGCAGCAGCTCGATGAATACATGAAAGGAAGCTTTGTTCAGGTTGGCAGGAGCGGGGGCTGGGGGCTAAGGGGCAGGAGGGCTGCCTGGAAGTGAAGGCAGCACCAAGCCATCAGGGCCAGGCCTCGAGTCTCTGCCCAGGCAGGGGCTGAGCAAGGCCAGGGGCTACCCCTAAAAAGGCCAGGCCAAGGGAGTATGTATCATATCCCTGAACATTTTCTTTGTGATGCTTTATGAACCCAAACGGAGAGGTGAGGTAGATAAAAGCTGGATGGGCCCTGAACAGGCCGGGAGGGAAAGCCAGGCAGAGGACGCAACCTGAGCAAAGGTGGGGAAGGTGGCTGTATGGAGGACAGAGGCCATGCGCTGCAGCCTGGCAGAGTCCTAATGAGAAGAATCGGGAAGGTGAGCTGAGGCCCACGTGTGATGGGGGAGGGAAGATGCAGCCTGTCCAAGGACACACTGACCCACTGCCCACCACTCTCCCCTGCTGCCTGAACCTACGAGCAGGGCCAGGAGTGGAAAATGCCTCCCCATCCTCTGGCGTCCCCCACCTCCTGGCTCCCCCTGCTTCCCATCCTGCTTGTCTAAAAGGAGCACCGTCTGGCACCGTGTCCCCCCCTCACTCCCCAGCCTGACGCATTAGTGGCTAAGTGGTAGCTAAAAGCTCCCAGAATAACCAGGGGCTCAGGTAGGGGAGGGGGCTAGGGACATATGGGGAGGGCATAGCCCAGAGGCAGGCCAGGAACAAGACAACCCACCTCCCGCCCCATGTGATTCCGAGCCAATCCTCACTCGTGCTGGACCAAGAAAGCACATTCAGGCTGCCCCGTACCCAGCCGGACTCCATAGTTCCCCTGAGTACCATTTCTCATGGTGGCAGGGCCAGCAAGGCCCAGCTCCGGCCAGATAGGAGGGCTGCAAGGATGGCTGGGTTGTAGGAGATAACCTCCACCAGACACAGCCGCAGGGCCGGGTGCTCACAGGGCTCTGATCCCATTGGAAAGAATGGGGCCTGACTCCTTAGGGACCCTACCCTCGATCACCACCCCAGCAGCTGACCGACTGTGGCAAGTCTGGGCCTCTGGCATGCATTTCCTAACTCAGGCCTGCCTGGTGGAGCACGTTTCCTCTTCTCATTCACTCTGGTGCTGTCACCGTCTGGCCCGCTGTCCCCATACTCTTGTTGTTTGTGAAAGAGGAGTGCAGCTCCAGGGGAGGGCAGAGTGGGAGGTGTTGTTGTCCATGAAGGGGCTGGGTCCCATGCTCTGGTCTGGCAAAGCCAGCCTTGCAACCTGACCCACTGACCCAGTGGGCCTTGAATGTAACCTCAAGGAGCCTTTTGAAAGTGGGCAGAGAGTCAGGCTCTGAAAATGGCAGGAATGTGGGCACCCCCACAGAGAATGCCTAAGTCAGGCAGTCAGAGAGGCCCCGGGCCAAAGAGCAGAAAGCAGGCCGACCTCAGGTTGGAGAGCCAGCACATCTGGCAGGAGCGTCCTCCCACAGTTGTGCCCCCACCCCTGCACTGCCAGGCCTACCTCACACCCTCGCCCAACTACGTGTCTGGAAAAGAGAGTAGAGGGAAGGCCCACGTGATGCCTAGGAATTAGCCTGCAGCCTCTCCACCCTTTGGAATCCCACATCCACATGTCAAGGTGGAAGGGAGAGGATCTAAACAGTCATTGAACTGAAGGACACAGAGGCCAGAGAGGCTGTACCACCGGCCCAAGGACACAGAGCGAGGGAAGCTCCAAGTTTCCAGTACCCATTACCCAGCTGCTTCTCTCCAGGATCACATCCTGGGCTTCCTGGAGAGCCTCTGATTTGCAAAAAGCTGTATATTCAGCCTCTCCCTACTTCCCTGAATCATCCCTACTCTACCCTTCCCTCTCTTGCTCACTAGGTGCCGAGTCACTAACCTGATAACTAAAGGGAATCACCCGCCCACCCACCTTCCAGGTGAGGCCCTGATCTCCTAGGGGCCTTTAGTGATCAAAGCCTTAAATCCAAAGGAGTGACTAATGGTGGAAGTGTAGGTGCCGTGCATGTCAGAGTGGTAGAGGAAACCCTTCCACTAGGGGTGGGAATACAGGAACAAATGTTTCTGTCTCTCCTGATATGGCCAGGAAGAGGGTGTGAGAAGCCTGGTTTCCAGGGTGGCACCGGCTCGGTGCTAAGGATAGGTCATGGTTGCAGGTGGGTCCTGGCAACTCTCAGGCAGGGTTAGGTTCTAGATTAGCTAGTCGCCTGGCAGGGGCAGAGCCTGTGTGCTGGGGCAGGTGGTGGGGCCTCGAGACAGCACTCAGCTCATGGAGGACTGAGAAGTCTAACTTGTTTATGAGCTATGAGAAGAGCGAGCTGTGTGCTGGGCCAAAGGGGAGCATCCTCCCACCCACCAAGGTCAGCTGTGGGTGGGAGGGGAGTATATCTCATGTGTGGCTCAGCCCTGGCTCCAAGAAGCCTCATTATCTCTTTGGTGGCTGGACAGCTGGCTGGCTGTGACGGTGATTGGGGCTGGGCCTTCCTGGGTTCATTTTCCTCCCTGTGGATTAGCTGGGTGCGAGTCAGGGTGGGTGCTGGTACTTGTTTGGGCCTGGGTTTTATGACCCACCAGGATTCTTGAAACAAATCACAAAACAATCAGGGTGAAGTCCATGGGTCTTTTTGGGAAAGTGTGACTCTCTGAGTGCCAGAGAAGTCAGACAGTTTTCTGGAAGTGGAGGCAGCAGAAGAAACTGACATTCTCATCTGCTTCCACTGACCAGCCCACCAAACCTCCAGCCACCCTGCAAAGAAGGCAGGACAACCTGTATTGCCGTTTTACAAACAGGAAAACTAATGCCCTTCCAAGCCACCAAGGTCTGGATGCTCTCCCCATGGCACCACTGTGCTCAAAGGACCAGAAGAAGGTTTGGCTATTGGGGAGACTGTCTGGGGCAAAGTCCTAGGGAGAAGGGACAGTGTGGAAAGCAAGCCCCTTGGTGAGAGGCTGTGCTGAGCAGGATTCAGGGACTCAGGGAAGGAAGGCTGGCACTGAGGCCCAGCTGGAGTGGGTAAGATGCCCTGAGCCCACGCCCAGGGAAGGCCGGAAGCCCAGGACAAACATCATGTCCCATCTACCTTCCAGCTGTTCTCCAGCCCAGCAGGTTCCAAAAGCCCCAGAGTGGGGCCGAAGTCGCTGGTGGCTCCTTCAAAGCAGACAAAGGGTAGCGGTGCAGGGCCTGCCCTTGGGCCCACAGCCAGGGCAGGGGTCGGGGAGAGGGCGGAGAATGGCTACACAACCCCAAGTGGAGGGAGGGAGGCAGGTGGAAGACTGCTGAGAAACAGAAGGTTCCCCAGTCTTAGCCTTAGCCTGAACCAGCAGGGGAGACTGAGCAAGGGCAGCCAGCCAGCAAAGCCCATTAGGGAGAACTGGCAGGGGCTGGGCTGCCAGGGCTGCATTCCATCAGAAACCAGAGATGCCAGAGGAGGAGGAGGAAGATGATGACGACGATGATGATGCCCCTACCACCCAACCCTTCCATCGCATTTACTACGTGCCAAACACTATTCCAAATGATTTTTAGATATATTAACTCATTTAATCATCACTGAACTCTCATGAAGTAGGTTCTTTTATTATCCCCATTTTGCAGATGAGGACCATGAGACACAGAGAAGCTGAGTAACTTACCCAGCATTACACAGCTAGTAAGGGGTGGAGCAGAGGTTCATACTCAGGCAAGCTGACTCCAGAATCTGTGCTTATAACATCGTATTCCAGAGATGAGCCCTTGGAGGCTTCCAAGGTCAGCCCTTCCCAGACAGATGAGGAGACCAAAGCCTACCGAGGGTGAGGCCCAGTTAGAGGCTACTTGGCTAATGAAGTCCTGACCTCTGCCCGTAACACCCTGAAGACAGTGTGTGCAAGTGAGCACAGGTGTGCAGGCCCAGGTGAATGTAGTGAATTCCTATGCTTTGATGTTGCCCTGGCATCCGTTTTGAATATAAGCTGGGTTTTCTCACACTAGAAGCAGGGCTCAGTCAACCTTGACACCGTTTCCAGCTCCCCACCTCCTCCCAGTTCCTCCATGTGCTCAATCCAGATATCTACCGTAGACAGTCGTCTCCTGGTGACTGCTTCCCTGTGGGATGGCTACATACAGCCCACTTGATTGGTCCTGCTGACCTTGTCCCACAGCCCGCATGGACTGTGCAGATAGGCCAGTGACCTTGTCTCAAGTCACAACATGACCTCCTGGAACTCATGACTGCTTGCTGTAAACCCACCAATTAAAACTCCCCATGGAGGCCAGGCACAGTGGGTCATGCCCATAATCCCGGCGCTTTGGGAGGCTGAGGTGGGCAGATCATTTGAGGTCAGGAGTTCGAGACTAGCCTGGCCAACATGGTGAAACCCCATCTCTACCAAAAATACAAAAAAATTAGCCAGACATGGTGGTGTGCGCCTGTACTCCCAGCTACTTGGGAGGCTGAGACAGAAGAATCGCTTGAACCCAGGAGGCAGAGGTTATAGTGAGCTGAGACCACGCCACTGCACTCCAGCCTGGGTGACAGAGCAAGACTCCATCTCAAAACAACAACAACAACAAAACAAACTCCCTGTGGAAAACTTGTTTTAATAACACCATGGACCCCATAAAGATGCTGGCCCATAGATCCCCCCACCCTGCACATGCTCCCTGACCTCCACCTGTGTGTGGCTTCAGGTACACCAGGTATCCCTCAAGACCTGTTAGTAACAAAATCTTTATTTCCACCTGCCTCTCTCTTAATCATGGAAGAGGTGCTCTCCATCTTAAAGATCCTAAGTTACAACAGTGGGGCAGGAATCTTCTCGAGGTGCAGCGTGGGGCCCCGGTCCTGAGTGACTGATTAGAAAGACAAGTCTCCCAAGATCTCGCTCAGAACATAAAGTACTCTGTGGGGCCGGGTGCCATGGCTCATGCCTGTTATCCCAGCACTTCGGGAGACCAAGGCAGAAGGATCACATGTGTTCAGGAGTTAGAGGCTGCAGAGAGCTATGAATGCACCACTGTACTCCAGCCTGGGAGACAGTGAGATCCTGTCTCTAAGAAAAAAAGTACTGCATGCTCTGAAGCTGACCACAGTGAAGGGCAGAGTGTGCTCACCAGCCAGGTCCCCACTCAGCCAGCCCTGGCGAAAACACTCACCTCCACTCCTCAGCTCAAGGACCCACCATGGCTCCTAACTGCCCATCCAAGCAGGGCCCAAAACCTCAGGGCAGGGCAGTCAAGGCCCACCTCATCTCTGCACAGCTCTGCCATGGCTCATTTCCATCTCTGCACTTTGCTCCTGTTCTCCCCTCCCTGGATTGACCTTCCTCCTTTTCTCTGTGCACATGGATCTTACCTGTCCTTGAAAATGTAGCTAAATCCCTTGGATCCAGGAAGTATTCCAGACTGCTCCAGCCCTCACTGCCCGTACCTTCGACCTTGTACCACAAACCATCTGGCACCACCATCTTCGCTCAGATCATGCTGTCTGATGGGATTTCATCTGGCCTATGGGGCCCTGAAGGTGAGGACCAGGCTTCCTCTTGCTCCAAGTCTTCCATTCCCAGGGAGCAGCTCAGACAGTGGAGAGAAGCAAGACTGGGGCAGGCCAAACTCCCATGCCAGAGGGACAGGTATCTTAGAACAGATTCCTGGGCCACCAATGGAGTGCAGAAGTCATCACAGTGACCTTCCTTCCTCGACAGGCTGGGCCAGAGCTCCTGCCTCAGCCTCCCAAGTAGCTGGGATTACAGGCGTGTGCCACCACACCCAGCTAATTTTTTTGTATTTTTAGTAAAGACGGGGTTTCACCATGTTGGCCAGGCTGGTCTCGAACTCCTGACCTCAACTGATCTGCCTACCTTGGCCTCCCAAAGTGCTGGGATTACAGGCGTGAGACTCTGTACAAACAACAATATGAATAGCTGTCTATGCTGCACTCTGCCCCCACCCTATGCTCCTGCCCCTAGCTCTAGCCTGGCTCCTCCTCCTCCCCCAGGAAGCCTTCCTTGATTGCACCATCCCACACTGACCTTTCCTGCTCTCACCTCCTGTCACAGTCCTAGGCTACATCTGCAGGTCATTCCTGACCTCCCCAGGGGTCCGCCCTACTTCACAGGCAGAAGACTCACCTCTCCAGGAATGTGGGGGCTCCCCAAGGGCAAACCCAGGGCTTCTCTTCCTGCCTCTCCCCCAGAGGAGCCGAACACAGACCTAGGCTGGCTGCCCTCCATGATGAGGGGTCACCCAGGGGTGCTGGCACAGAGCCCAAGCCTCTGGCTGGAAGCATGGGGTGCAGAAGGCATGGCAGGATCAGCATAATCCCAGGCTGTCATGACAGTTAAAACCTGATTAGCCCGAGCCGGGACACAGATCAACCTGTCCTTGGGACCTGAGGCCCAACCCACCTGAGGAAAGACCAGAAGAGGTATATGGAGCTGGTCCAAATCCAAGGTCCTGAAGAGAGGACACTCACAGCTGGTGTGGCTCCTGGGAACAGACAGCACTGGGGCGGGAAGAGTCTGGGCCCAACTGGGCTAGCAGAGGAGGAAAGGCACTGAAGGGGCCCCCAGCCTGGGACAGAGTATGATGGCAGACAGAAAGCTGGAAACAGGCTGAGAGCTGGGGCAGAAGCAGGCTCAGACGACTCAGCCCCGGTCCCAGCTCTGCCTCTTTGGGTGATCTCGGGCCAGTCCCTGTCATCTCTGAGCCTCAGTTTCCCCATCTGTGGAATGTTTGGCTGGCCCAGCTAATCTCTGACATTTCTTTTCTGACATCCTAAGCTCGCGCTGTCAGGCTGTGTGGGTTGGGGTCATCCAAGAAGGTTCCTCAGAGGAACTGAGAAAGAACCAGCAGCCTCCTTTCTGGGCAGAAAGGAGGAGGAGGGTGAGTGGGGTGCAGAGAGGAGGCGGAGCCAGGGAGCAGTGAGGGAAGAACTGTGGGAGTCTAGGAGGCAGTGGGGCCAGGCCACCATGCAGGGCCTGGGGAAGGCGGCAGCTGTGTGCCATGTGTTCTGGATGGGGTGCAGCATAGGGACAGAGGTCCTCCGGGAGGCTGGGCACAGATCTGGAGAGATGGCAAGGCCAGGGCCAGGGAGAATAAAGGGCTTGGAGAGCCACCCCATACCATTCGGGGCAGAGAGGGGACAGTCCCTCAAGGCCTGGCTGGCTAGGGAAGGGGGAACTCTGTCCTCTGAGGAGGCAGGGCCCAACAAGGTGCCGTGGCCCTCCATCCCCCTGCTTTCTTTCTGGCCTGCCTGGTTCCCTGAGGACAGGACAGCTGGCCATACACCTGGTGGCTGGCCCTCCCTGCAAGGGTACGGAACCCTGGCTCTTCTGAAGGCAGGACAGGTTAAGGGCCCCTTCCTCCCCCAACCATGGCGAAGGAAGGCTCCTGGGGCAGCCACGCTGGGCCAAAAAAGGAAATCAAGAGAAGTGGAAACTTTTCAGTCCAGAGCTGCCGACCAAAGCAGGGGAAGTGCAGTCAGTCTCTTGTGACAGAGCCGTGTGAAGCTGGGGGTGGACAGGCTATCAGCTAGTGGCCCATCTACTCCAGCTACTGCCCCCTGAGGGCTGCCAGACCTGCCCCCTGGGCTGAGCTTCACATCCCACCTTGCTTGGCCCTCCTCAAAAAACAGAGCCCAGCTTTCCCTGCTTCCCCCAGGGCGCCACCCTCAGCCCAGATAGTGACCTATCCATGCCACCCCCACCCTGCCACCTCCATGCTCCTTCCATCTCTGCAGAGGAAGAGCAGGAGAAGACAGAGCTGAGGGACAGACCTTCTCACCTGGAGACTGTCCTGCGGTCAGGAGTCAATGGGGAAAGCCATGGTCTCCCTGGACCCAGAGCCAGCCTCCCACCAGGGAACTGTGACGGGGCTATGGCCTTGCCAGCACTCGAGAGGCCTTCCCTGCCTGCCACGGCCCTTCTCCAGTGGGTGCGTCCTTCCTCCTCACTGCTGCGCCAGTCATAGGATGACAGGTATCCCCTCACCTATGCCCATCTGGACAAGTTTCAAACTTTTCGGGAGCCCCCAGGCCCAGGCTGACTCAACGCCTCTTCACATGGGGGCCCCTCACATGGCTTCTCTCCTCTCTGTGGTCCTAGCTGTAAGTTCTTGGGTTTAAAATCCTACTAAGTGGGGTGCTTCCTCCTGTTCCTTCCCTCCCCCAGCTGGCTCCTCCTCCTGCCATTTCAGCTTGCTCCCTCTTCCAGGAAGCCCTCCCTGATTGGGAAAATTGGGTTAGGCATCTCCTCAGTGCCCATAACTGCTCTCTGTTACACATTCTGTTGTACCTGCAGGTTTATCTGCCCATCTACATCTACACTGAGAAGTCTACAAGGGCACGGAATCATCTTGTTCCTCATCACCAGATCCCCAAGCTCATCCCCAAGACCAGCACAAGGGTGGCCCCGGCAAATGTTTGCTGAATGAATATGTCCACCCTTGAGGGCACATGCTGATGATCCATTTCCTCCAAATGATCCTCAGCCTTTGGCCCACGAGAGAAAAAGATAGGAAAGAACGCGAACTTAAGGGTTTCCCCTGACTTCCCAGGTTTCAATTTCTCCTCCAGATTTCTCGAAATCTAAGATTTAAACAGGCCACCACAGACTCTGCCCAGCCCCTCCCATCCCAGAGAGAGAGAAATCCTAAGACATTAAATCTCAGAAAAGGATGAGCCCCCTCCCCTACCCTCTTTGGGCATTTGGGGAAACTGGGGTTCAGTAAAAGGCAAAGACTTGCCCAGTCACAGAGCAAATTAGGTCACAGCCTGAACCAGGCTCCCGACCTCCCAGCTCTCTCCCCTATACCATGGTCATCATTGGACCTGTGCCAGCGTCCATTCCACCGGACCTGCTCTCAGAATCTTCACTGTCCAGGACAGAGGGGTCACAGAGCTTGGTAGGAAGCTCCTGGTGACCTCACCAAGCATCTCTCTTGGCTTAGGAAACTCCCCCTCTCCTCCGGGGAATTGCCCCCCCACCATGAGACTCTGTGGAGGGAGTTCACCTTGAAGGTGATGAACACATCTAAGTCCCCAAGGGGGCAAGGATTTCCACTGGAAATGCTGATGCTTGGGAAGCCCCAGATGTGACCTCATCCCCTGGAGGAGGTAACAACAACCTCCTGCCCTGGGGAGCAGCCCCAGAATGGCTCCCCAGCAGCCACCAAGTCAACAATAACATCCCGTTGTTTCACTGGACAAAAGCGAGGGAGGGCAGAACCAGCCGGGCAGGTTGAGACTGGGGATATGGGTTCTGTTTCCCCATGGACAGGCTGGTTCACCTCTGACCTTGGGGTTCCAAGCCTTCTTTAGCTCCTCCAACCACTGATAAAATGGAAGAGGGGTGCACAGCTTACAAACGCATGCCAACCTCCTGCTAAGCCCCAGCCCTCACCTGCAATCTACTCCCTTACAGTTCCTGCTTACAGGAAGATCAGGACCACACATGCACATCCTTGACTGGCCCATGTGTCAGTGACAGCCCTTGGGGGACAATCCCTACAGCCTTTCTTGCTCTGGCAGGCTCTAAGGGTCAAAGACAAGTGTGGAGCTCAAGGACACCCAGCAGGTACATGATGGCCCATCTCTCTCCCTGGCCTGAGCTACGCTGTGCCAGACTTTCATCAAGCTGCAGAGGCAGCAATCTCCCTGATCAGTGCAGGCTGGGCCCCTCTCAGAGTTCCCTGCTTTAATCTTTCTCTAGAACTTGGGGATCCAAGCAGCAGAAAATAAAGAACTTTCCATACCTATTCCAGTCCCCACAGCTGTCCTGACTCAAAACTAAAACCCCCATCTATGCCTCATAGAGAAATGGCTCCAGAACCACCACCATCCCTGATTTTGTCATTCCTGGATACCACCATACTCCCACCCACCACTGGTAGACAGAGCTCTAGGCTTCCAGAAAGACCCCCTCTTACCCTGTTCCTGGGTTTGTCCTACCCAAGCCCATTCCTGTCCGATTGCCATGTGTCACCCCACAGGAGACAGGAGGCAGCTGTCAGTCGGGCACACCATCACCAGCTGGTGGCCCTGGGGGTGGGGGGCAGGTGAATGGCAGGGCCTGTCTGGCCAGTGGGGCACCTGGCACTGGTGAAGGAGACCACAGACTGTCGTTGGACAAGACTGGTGAACGGTTGGCAGACCCCAGCCAGCGGGGCTCAACAGTGCATTACTAAGCAGAGGGCACAGCCAGTGTGGCTACAGCAGTGAACTGCGGGCGGGGGGGTAGGCCATGGAGCTGTGCTGGGAGCTTCGAAAAGTGGGTAAGAGGACTGAAAGCAACTTTAAATAGCCTCAGGGTGGGAACTAAGTGCCCAGGATGGGATGTATGCATTAAGTGCTAAGAAGTGGGTGTGCATTAAGTGGGGTGGGGGTGGGGGGTCATGGGAAGACTTTGGGACAGGCAAACAGAGTCAAAATGCAAGGGGTTTGATGGAGGGAAAGATTCCAGAACACTCAGATGTGGCCATTTGTCCCCTCCAGAGTGCCCACACGCTATGATGTCCAAGACAGCCAAGGAGACTGAGGGAAGGCAAAGCTGCTGGGAGGGCAAAGGAAGCTTGGGCTGGAGCTGGGATGGCAGAGGGGTGTGCAGGCCTCCTCCATGTACAGGCGGCCGGAGCTCTAGCAGCACTGCTCGGCTTCCTCCAGGAGCACCTCAGGCTGGGTAGCCGAGCTGGTCCCCAGAGCACCTCATTCATGGTCCCTGAACCACCTAAATCCTTCTCCCCTCCCTAACCCAGAACCTGGACTGGTCCTGTGCCAGATCAGAGCCCCTGCCTGCACCTGGGCTCCCACACTGCTCAGTGACCTTGGGCAAGTCACATTCCCTCAGCTACTGCGGCAGTTCGGGCCACTCGTTTTGTGTATGGTTTTTTTTCCCCTCTGCTAATAATACCTGCCCCAGATAATGCTCAGACTCCCGCAATCCCTGCAAACTGCCAAAGGCATCAAAAGGCTCCCGGTGGGGCCAGACCCGACCAGTTCCCCCAGCCCCCACTGCGAGTCCCCCACCATCACGACAGGGGGGCCGCAGACACGCCAAATTTGGGGACAGAGCCGAATCGGACTGGGGGCGGGGAGGCATTTGTGTGCAATGCAGGGGAGGGGAGATCAGTTCCTCGCGGCAGAAAGCCTCAAACCCC
The DNA here is from genome assembly GCF_000001405.40 of Homo sapiens. Classification (NCBI taxonomy): domain Eukaryota; kingdom Metazoa; phylum Chordata; class Mammalia; order Primates; family Hominidae; genus Homo; species Homo sapiens. Next base: position 262,142 of record NW_021160016.1, read on the forward strand.
CGCCTAACCGGCTTTCTGTCCCATAGTACAGGGTCTAAACTGAGGTGCCCTGGGGGAGACTCCAGTCCCCCAGGTTCTTATTATCTACCCTGGCCTAAAGGCTGCACCCCCGCCCTAGATCCACCGCCTGGGGGTCCCAACGGCCGTGCCCCACCCAACGGGCACTGCCCCCCAACGCTGGAGCCGATTTCTGGTGACAACTGCCACGTGCGGGCAAGGGGGGAGCGGCCGGTCCCGGCATTGCTGAGGCAGCGCCCTGGTACCCCAAGCCGCCGCACCGCACCATGTCCCGCCGCTCGCTGCAGGATGCCCACCCCCTTGCCTGGCCCGAGCTCCGGGCCGGGGCGGGGGCGGGGGCAGGCGGCGGGGTCTTTGTTCCCGCTGCCGAAGCGCGGCGGCGGCGGCAAGGGGTCCGCGCCCCCCTTGCCGGCCCAGCCTGCGCCCCGCGCGCCAGCAGAGCCCGCAGCTCAAAAGGAGGGTACCCGGGTTGGGGTCCCAGGCGGGGAAAGGTCCTCCGCCGAAGCCCCCGAGCCAGAGGACCCAGAGTGGCTCGGGGCCGAGAGAGGGGCCCGCCCCCTCCCCTGGCGCCCGGGCGTTGCGGCTCCTGGCTGCCAGGGACTTGGTGCGACTTAGCCGGGGCTCCGGCCCCCGCCGCTCGCTCGCCGCAGCGTTACAGCCGGCTCTGGTGTGCCAGCGTGTACACTCACACACACTCACCCAAACCCACACGCTCCACGCGGGGACAGCGCGGGGACAGCCCGGGACCCGCAGAGCTGCGCGCACGCACTCCCTCCGGGTGCAGCACACTCCGCACCCGCCCCGCGCAGCGTCTGATCCCGCGCCTGACCGGCCGCGCGGCGCCGCCTACCTTTCCAGACGGCGAAGATGCGGGGTCCGCTCCTTAGGTGGCCCTGGGCGGAGGCGGCGGCCGCCCAGAGCAGCAGCAGCAGCCGCAGCCGCAGCGGAAGCCCCAACCGAGCCGGCGGGCCAGGGACGCGGGCGCGCGGTGCGCTGGGGGCGGCACGTCCGGGCGGAGGAGGCGTCATCCCGTGGCCCCGGGAGCGACAGCGGCAATCAGCCGAGACTGAGCCAGCGCCCGGCCGCAGGCAGACCCAAGCGCCAGGAGGCGGAGCCAGCGCTGACCCCACCCCGCCCCTCCCCCCGCCCCTCGCAGCCTTTTCTCGCCTCACTGGCTTTCCTGAGCGAGAGCGGAACTGCTGGGGGAACCTTCGCCACCCTCTCCCGGGCAACTCTACGGGGAAAGCCCAGCTGCGGACAAGCCAGACTTGTGGTCTTCTGCCAGGGGCGGCAGGCCCTATCCCCTCTCTGGGCCTCAGTTCCACTCCCCGCACCCCGTAAAAAGATTGGCGTAGAAGTCGTGGAGGACCTCTCTCCAAGGGCGCAGAGGAGTCCAACACCCAACAACCTTGCTATGGCCAGCTAAGTGGTTCGCACCCTGAGGACTATGGTCCTCGGAGGATGCGTTCGCCTAAGTGGACACGGCTCCCTGCTGAGCCTACCAGCAGGCACAACGATGATATGTGGGGAGCACTCAGGGACCCGCTGTTGCTTTGCCTGGGAGAACACTGGAAATTTTTCATCTTGGCCTGGCTCCTTCCCCTCCCTCTCCTTTCTCCTCCCTTTCCCAGCCAGCAGCCTTCTGGGCTGCCTCCCCCCAAGCCAGCTGGTGTACGCTCAGAAAATCCAAACTCATTTCCATGTGAGTGGAGGGGGATATAATTAGGAAGGCCCCTTCCCCAAGTAGAGAGGGGAGCATCCCCCGTGCCCCACTCACTGTGGGGGAGGGAGGGTCAAAGCAGCTTAAGGGGATCTCTGCCCGCAAAGTGCCTAGGGCTCAGCTATCTCAGGCAACCTGACCATTCAGTGGGGACTCCCTTGGGGGGTCCAGGCCCAGACCCTCTGCAGTTACCTGAGCAGTCCAGCCAGCTCTGCCATCAGCTCCTCCTCTCAGAACTACGTGCCTGCCCTTTGTAAAAGGGTCTCCTCTCTCTAGACCAGACAGGGCCCAGACCTACCACTTCCACTTGTGCCCCAGGGAACCATGAATGGAAAATCCACCCAGCTCAGTAAGTACTTATCTAGTGTTTACTGGATGTCTAGCTGCACTGAGAGGAGACAGGCCGAGGAAGGAGTAGAGGTGAACATCCAACCTTCAGAACTCACAGACCTAGACACGATTCACGCACTGCAGACACCAGCAAAGGCGGTGGGCTGGCTGCCCTCTGCCCTCTGCCCTGCTCCATGGGGCCAGGACCATTTGGTTGTTGTTTTTACCTCCTGGAACCAGGAAAGTTTTGCTACCAAGAAGTTTGGCTTTACCATTCTACATTTTGCTTCCAGTTGTCCCCTCCTTCTTCCCTCAGAGTCCTGAGGCACCCCAGCAGGCCAGGAAGGTAAACTCAAGGTACCTCCAGAGACAGTGCAGAGTGAGGTTCCTGGCCCACTGGGTGAAGCCAACAGCCTCCTGATACACAGGGGCACACTGCCCCAGAGAGGGAGGCTGTGGACAGTCTAAGAGCTCCTCCTCAGGCCTGCACCTAAGCCTGTGGCCCTGAAGCCAGCAGTGGAGCCTGGCCCAGGCCAGCCTCTAAGATGGACATTCGGTTTCACCTGCTAGACAGGTATTGCCCTCAGTGTCTGTCCTCTCTATGCAAAGCTAGGGCAAACTAAGAAATCACCTGTCTCTGCCTTTTGGAACTAAGAATTCAAATGGATTCAAAATCAATGATAACACTGCCCATGTGCATGGCAACTCACAACACATAACCCACATTCACCTACCTCATCTCTGCCAGTCCTCCACTCTCTTCCTCTCACTGAGGGAGGGAGCGTAACTCCACTGCAGAGAAGAAAACTGAGGTACAGGGAGGGACAAGGACGGACCTGCCCGAGGTCAACCGGTAAATGGTAGAACGAAGATGGGTTTTCTGACTGCAATAACAATTGCTAACACTGTGGTTCCTATGTGCTGTGCCATCTCATAGCCTCTCCCAACTCATTCAATCTTCGCACTCCTATGAGATAGGAGCTATTAGTCACCTCCCTTTACAAATGAAGAAATCAAGGCACAGACAAGGGATGTGAAGTGCCAGGATCGCACAACTAGAGGCAGGACGGATTGAAACTCAGGTGGTTTCTCAAGGACCCACACCCTTGACTTCTCTCTGTGTGATGTACCCTGGCACTGCTGCCTCCTGTCTGTGGCTGAAGTCTGGGTCCAAACCATCCCCAGAAGGACCTAGATAGGGCCCAGGTCACCAGGTGCTGAGTAGGAGGGCAGACCAGGGAATGGGCTCAATCTCCCAATCAACAGAGTAGCAGATGGAAACTGGGGTAGATGCCAGATAATTTTTTTTCCAGACTGGGGGGTAGGGGGGAAGGAAGTAGTACTTAAGACCATCCTCCCCACAAGCCAGCCAACCTGGGGACAAAGGGCCAGGCGAGATGGCAGCCCACTCTCTCGGTTGGCTGCAGGCAGCCAGGGGAGGAGAGAACTAAGCCCATGACTTGAGGCAATAACTTTATAAAGGGAAAGGCAGCTAGACTGTGGGGCAGGCACTATGACCAGAGTTTAGGCATGGACTTTCCTGCCTCAGGCAGCATAGGAAAATCAAGTCAGAATGGTATAGGTGGTGTCAGAGGCCTGCCTGCCTCATTGGAGGCCAAGGCTGGCTCTTGAGCCTGGACCAAGAACAGGGGCACAATTCCCACTCACAGCCAGTGATGGGAAGTGGACCAGCAGAGGAAGCAACACATGTGGATGCTGACACGTCTGATGGGGAGGCACATTCTTGTCCCTCCCTTCTCCATGATTCCACATTCAGGGGAGGGAGGAAGAAATGATGCAGGGCTTCTATCGATAAGAAAAATACCTTGAGAAGGATCACTTCCTGAGCCCCATGGACAGCTGAGGCACAGCCCAATCCAAGAAGGCTCCTTTTGGAATGAAAGAAATGGATACACACAGACCTGAGATTCATGGTCTTGAAGCAGTGGCAGAAGCCCCGGGCAATCCCCCCAACATTCCAACTAAAGCCTCTCACCTTTCAGGGTCCAACTTAACTCATCCTTCCATTCTCCAGAGTTATCTGACCTCCTCCTCAGCCCTGATTCCATGGCTACACATGGCCTTCACAGGAGTGACCCACCTCAAACAAGAGGCCTGTGGGAGATAGAAGGATTCCGTGAGGAGATAACATATGCAGACGTGAGGTCACCCACACACAGTTCACTTCCTTTCACAGATACGATGATCCAAGAATCCCAATTCTTAGGATTAGAAGTAGCTCTCAGAGGGCATTCAATCCCCAACAGCCCCCTCCATGCTAGATCCCACCCCTTCTTTGAGGCCTCAGAGCTTGGTGGCCATTCAGACCTCCTGGCTACTAACAGCAGCAACAATTCCTATTGCCTACCACCATTACTACCTATTGCAGGGGGCAGAGACTTGGAACTGATGAGAACGAGGGGAGTGGGTGGGCTGGGGTCTGCAGAACCCTGTGCTGTCTATAAGGCAATTTCGACTCAGCTCCAGCCCATGGAACCATGAAGAAGTAAACCCAGTAGTGAAAGGTAGTATGATTTTCAAGAGAAGCTGAAAATTGAGGGCTGGGCACGGTGGCTCATGCCTGTAATCCCAGCACTTTGGGAGGCCAAGGCAGGTGGATCACCTGAGGTCAGGAGTTCAAGATCAGCCTGCACAATATGGTGAAACCCCATCTCTACTAAAAAATACAAAAATTAGCCGGGCATGGTAGCGAGCGCCTGTAATTCCAGCTACTTGGGAGGCTGAGGCAGGAAAATCACTTAAACCCAGGAGGCGGAGGTTGCAGTGAACCAAGATCGCACCACTGCACTCCAGCATGGGACACAAGAGTGAAACTCTGTCTCAAAAAAAAAAAAAAGAAAAGAAAAGAAAAAAGAGGCCAGGGGTGGTGGCTCACGGCTGTAATCCCAGAACTTTGGGAGACCGAGGTGGGTGGATCACAAGGTCAATGATTTCTGTCCTAATCATTCTACATGCATTTTTATCTGACAAGGTCAGGAGTTCGAGACCAGCCTGGCCAAAATGGTGAAACCCCATTTCTACTAAAAATGTAAACATTAGCCGGGCATGGTGGCACGCAACTGTAATCCCAGCTACTTGGGAGGCTGAGGCAGGAGAATCACTTGAACCTGGGAGGTGGAGGTTGCAGTGAGCTGAGATTGCGCCATTGCACTCCAGCCTGGGTGACAGGGCGAGACTCCATCAAAAAAAAGAAAAGAAAATTGACTCTTTGTTGAAACTCTCTCTTTTAAAATATTGGCAAATAATTCAAAAGTTAAGGAGGATGGATATGGGCAAATAAAAACAGGTCTGGGGCCCATATCTGGGACCCCCAACATACCATGTGCCCACTGTGACTATCTCACAGGCACAGGCACGACAGTCACTATACCTGGCCCAACTCTTGGCAGACCATGTCAGGCAAGGAGTGCCAAGAAGACACTTCTCAGGCTGCCCAGGCCATGCCTCACCCTCCCCTCAGTGCTCTGCCTGCCTCCAAACCTCAGCCAGGACATTCCCCTCAAGTGCCTGCCTCTTCCTCCTAGACCAGTTCAGAGATCACCACCTTCCATACATCAGTTCAGCCCACTGTGAATGGAGAACTTCTCAGAACTGCCACCACCTTCTTAGCCCTGAGGGTCGTGCTCCCAGCAGCATCCCATGCCTACATCTCTGCTTTCTATCCTAATCATTCTACGTGCATTTTTATCTGATCAACCCTACCTAAATTGCTAAGATCTAAGTAGGGCCAGCCAAGTTAAGTAAGACAAAGGAAAAATCCAAAGAGGAATATTCAGTCAGCAGAGAAGAGACAGATTTTTTTTCCTTCTAGCAGGGCACTCAGCTCACCTGAAAACACTACAGGTCCTGTGCCTTCCACAGACAAATCAGCAACATCCTTAGCCCCAAGCCCCAAACTTGGCCAACGTGGCACTGGGCTTGTGGTGGGAGTGCCACCTGGTGGCCACTCTGGAACAGAGCCGAGTCTTAGCAAAGACCAAGTGCATCTCTGCTCTCTGTTCTAGTCATACATTCTACATGCACTTTTCTGTGATAGACACTCCCCAGACTTTCTGGAGACAAACTTCTCCCTCCCATTCCTATGCCCCTAATCCATCTCTGAGCCTCTATTCTCACTGTCCAAAGCCTGAGGCAGGGCAGAATCTCATGGATGTCACATAGAATCCATCTAGACTAACAAAATCTCCTGACTAGACATGGCTGGGAGGCCAAAGATGAAGTCTCAGCCTGGATACTGACTCAAGCAAGGCCCTGACCCAGTCCAGGCCTCTGTTTCTTTGTGTACAAAATGAGAAAGAAGAGCTAAAACTCCATCTCTTCTCCTGGTCTATCTTCTCTCTGTATCAGAGAGAGACAAAGCTTTCTCATTCCATCTTCTGCATTTCCTTCTATAGGATGAATTAAATATGCTTTTAAATGATGTCGGCCAGGCATGGTGGCTCACGCCTATAATCCCAGCACTTTGGGAGGCCGAGGCAGGTGGATCACCTGAGGTCAGAAATTCAAGACCAGCCTGGCCAACATGGTGAAACCCCGTCCCTACTAAAAATATAAAAATTAGCTGAGGATGGTGTTGTGTGCCTGTAATCCCAGTTACTCAGGAGGCTGAGGCAGGAGAATCACCTGACCTAGGAGGTGGAGGTTACAGTGAGCCGAGAGTGCACCATTGTACTCCAGCCTGGGCAACAAGAGCAAAACTCCATCTCTAAACTAAACTAAACTAAAATAAAATAAAAATAAAGTGATGTCTATAGGAGAGAAGATGTCCCAGGACCCTCCCAGCTCTGATGTGATCCTTGGGCCTGCTGAGGCCACTTCAGTGAGGAGATACACATGCAAAAGGGTGGTTACCCACAAACAGTTCACTTTCTTTCATGAATATAATGATCCAAGAATCTCAATTCCTGGAGTTAGGAGTAGCTGTCAAAGGGGATTCAGTCCTACCTGAGAGCCACTCACAAGACTCCTTATGGTGGCCATGCAGGTTCTGCTTACATACCTCCAGTGATGATGAGCTCCCTCACAAGCCAGCGTTGCCCATCTTGTTTAGCTCTGACACAGAGCTTTCTTCCCCAGTGGAAGACTCCCAAACAGTGGTCCTAAATCTGCCCTCTGAGGCAACAAGGACATGTCTAATCTCTCTTCCTGGAATACGGCCCTTCAGTGATTTCACAGAGGTCACATCCTTCTAAATCGGCTCTTTATTCAGGGTAAATAACTCCAGTTTCAAATAGATCCCTCATGGGGCTTTCCTTGAGAGGCTCTCTAATCCTGGTTGATTTCTAAGACACGATCAGTCCGTCATTTAGCAAACTTTTACTGACCCCTCCTAGGTGCTAAACAGTCCAGATTGTGTCTCTCTCTTTCAAAGATCAGGCCTCAGATCAGAACACAACACCTAGTGTGGAGGCTGAGCAGTAAAGGGCTGAAAGACTAGCTTCCTTCCTCCTTATTCTAGCACCTCTAAAGGCACTCTTAATGGGTTGAGACAACACGTTGTTAAATCCTCTTGATCTCAGCCCAGGGTTATCCCTGGGCCAATTCTCAACCATCAGTAGTGGCTCTCTGGGATGCTCATTTGAGAAAGATTATTGAATCTGGGCCCAGGAGAAGAAATGAGACTCGATTCTGCATAAGAGCAATTAATTTTCTGGTCCCCCTTGGCCGGGCGCGGTGGCTCATGCCTGTAATCCCAGCACTTTGGGAGGCCGAGGTGGGCGGATCACGAGGTCAGGAGATCGAGACCATCCTGGCTAACACGGTGAAACCCCATCTCTACTGAAAATACAAAAAATTAGCTGGGCGTGGTGGCGGGCACCTGTAGTCCCAGCTACTCAGGAGGCTGAGGCAGGAGAATGGTGTGAACCCGGGAGGCAGAGGTTGCCGTGAGCCGAGATTGCACCACTGCACTCCAGCCTGGGTGACAGAGTGAAACTCTGTCTCAAAAAAAAAAAAAAAATTTCTGGTCCCCACTGCAGGACCTTAGACTTTCTTTGCTTCTGTCCTTGTTAGGGTTACTTCATTGTCTGGGCCCTGATGCCATCTAGAACATTCACTGGCCCAGCTCTGAGTGCCTGGCATCTCTGATACACATACTCAATATCCACTTATAGAAATTGAGGGAAAACGTCAAACAAGGCACAACTGACGCTCCAAGAAGTTAGGTCATATGTGGAAAAGCAATCTAAACCTCAATCTGACTTAGAAGCCTAAGTCCCCTCCAAGACCTGAGCTGCCACTCCAAAGGTAAGTGGTTAGGAGACCCTTCGGCCAGCCAGGCACAAGGCCCCAGGTGGGTGCACTGATGGAATCATGCTGACACAATCCCACCCAAGCCCTAGAAAGGCCACTTCCCCAGCATACAGGAAGCACTCCTCTGTACATGGGGCTAATAATATCTAGTTTTCAGAGTCGCTATGAGGATTAACTAAGATGGCACATGTGAGTGCCTAGCTCAATGCCTGGCACAGAGAGGATGCTTGATAAATAAGCACTACTGTGCTGTGTAATGTACTATTAATATTAGCTAGTTTTGCCAAGATAGAGTAGGCCAGTGCCTGGGTTGCCACGAAAGCATTTCTAGCATAGAAGTTGAATTCTATTCCCAGCGATCTCAGAGCCTATGAGAACGAGACAGGCCCAGGCCCAGAGGAACTAGGGGCACAGCTGAACTGACCTGAGCCCAGCCCAGGGCCAGAGGGGACCCCACCTGCTGGAGAGGCTGGGTAAGCAGAAAGAGGGAGGCCTGAATAAACTCCCCAACATCCTCAACAAACACCCAGGGCCAAAGTCTGTGGCAACAGCAACAAGAAGCCACCTCAGGGTAGGGCTCTGTGAGCTTGGTCTGGGGCCCAGGCCAGATGGGACTGAGGCGAGGAGCAGATCTGGGGCCCATGTGCCCAGCAAGCTGTGCCAGCCCAGCCCATACCAGCCCAGCCAAATTTGAGTTATATCAGGAGAACGGATCTGTTAGAAAACTCACCCATCTCTACATATTTGCATATTCTATTTTGGGGTCTTTTCCTTTTTTTCCCTCAGCTTCCTAGAAAAGTTCTTGTGATCACTTCCAACTTCACCTCTGCTGAACTGCAAAAACTCACACTCAATCCCATCTCTCCTCTAACTACTATCCTCTCCCTCACAAGCAAGGTCCCCTGCCCTCTCTGCATCCACTGCCCCTCACCTATTCAGTCCTCAACCCCTGCTATCTGGCTCCGGTTCCATTGGAATGTCTCCCCAAGGTCACCAAGGCACAAGTCAACAAGTCCAAGGTCAGCCCTTCTGTTACTAGGTTTGTCTGTGGCATCTGACCCCACTGAGCATGCCCTCTTTGTCCAGGTCCTTTCACTCCCTCAGCTTTGCTGACTCCTGCTCTCACCTTCCCAGAAGCAGCAGATCCTGCGCCCGTTCCATGCCTCACATCTATCAGTCACCATTTTCTATAAAGCTGAACTCCTTAGTGGGTATCCCTTTTCCTCTACCTTTCTCTGAAAAGCTTAATTGCCTTCTCACATGACACAGGCCCAGTGTTCAACTTAGAACTTCCTGATCACTACCTCAGCCCAAAGACATCCAACTGTCTTTAATTATACACATCCCCACCTGGCTGTCCTATGGCACCTCATTCCAAATTGTCACCCCAGTCCCTTATTCTTACTGCTGCACCACCATCCGCCTGCTCACATCCTGCCTGCCTCCCCACTTTCAGCCCCCAGAGCTAGTCTGTCCTTCACACCTAGCAGCTCCCCTCCACCCAGCTCCCCTGCAGCAGCTCCAGTTGAGGCCCCCTCCATGTCCCATCTGGAGGATCCAGCCAGCCTCCTAGCTGGTCGCCTACCCCATCTCACTTCCCACAAATCCAGCCTCCACACAGCTGTCAGATTATCTCACACACAGATCTGGTCCCCCACTGCCCTGCCTGCAGCTGCCTCAGGGGTGCTCTTTGCCCTCAGGATAAAGCCCTAGCTCCTCAGCCGGATCTAAGCCCTCATCATCTCCCATTCCTCCACACTTCAGAGGCCAAGGGCAGTGGGAGGAAGGGCACCAGCTCTGGAGTAAGACAGACCTGAGTTTCTGGGACCACTTGTCCACTTCCTGCCCATGAGACTGTGGGCAGATGATTTCAACCCTTGGAACCTTGGTGTCCCCATCTGTTCAGTGGAGACAACAGTATACTCGCCTTTCCCAAAGATCTGGTATCAATTCTAACTCCTAAAGCCTCTCTACCTCCTCCTCTCCTTCCCCACTGCCACGCCGTCAGGTCAGCCTACCAGCAGCTCTAAGTGGATCACTGCCACAGCCTCCTCCCCGGCTTCCTCATGCCTGCCCTCCCTCAGTCTTCTACTCCCACTATACTCACCACACAGCAGCCAGAATGACCTTTCTAAAACACACATTGGACTCTCTCCCGATTGCCATTCTGTGACTCCCATTGTCCAGGGTAAGTCTAAATTCCTTACATAGCTTCAAATGATCTAGCCTCTGCCCACCCACTTGCCTTGCAAGCCACCCTGACAAACAGGGCTACAAAAGCCAGGTTTGCTCCCCACTCCCAGCCCCCTCAGTACATATACCTTCGTGCCCAATTCTCCCTTACCCTTCAGGTCTCAGCGTAGTGCCACTTTCTCCATGAAGCTTTCCCTCACCCTCACACCCCCACCCCTAGCCCACGTTAGCCCCCTCTCCTGTGAGCGCCACAGCCCCTAGACTTGCCTCGCCCAGTTCTCATTAGGCTTTAATGCAATCATCTGTTTGTCCATCTTACCAACAACACAGCATTGTCAGAGCAAAGATACCGTCATGTTTATCTGGCAGAGAGTGGAGGCTCAGTCAATGTTTGTTGAAAGGATGAAAGGAGGCCCGGCGCGGTGGCTCATGCCTGTAATCTCAACACTTTAGGGGACCAAGACAGGTGGATCATTTGAGGTCAGGAGTTTGAAACCAGCCTGGCCAACACGGCGAAACCTCATCTCTACTAAAAATACATAAATTAGCTGGCTATGGTGGCACATGCCTGTAGTCGCAGCTACTTGGGAAGCTGAGGCAGGAGCCCAGGAGGTGGAGGTTGCAGTGAGCTGAAATCGTGCCACTGCACCCCAGCCTGGGCGACAGAGCGAGACTCTGTCTCAAAAAAAATAAATTTTTTTAAAAAAAATAATAAAAATAAGAAGAAAGGATGAAAGGGACAATGGTGAGGAAAGAGTCCTTGGCTCATGGAAAGCCCCAGGCTCAGTGGGGGCACTTATCAGACTCAACATAGACTACTCAAAACATGGCCACAGGAAGCAAAGCCAACTTGCCAAGCCCCTGGAGGAAAGAGCCAACAAAGAAGGGAAAGGGAAACCGTGGGGACGGCTCTGTTCTGGGAACTGGTATTGGGGGTTGGTCCAAGGGATAGGGCAGGGTGACCCAAATGTTCTGCAGCATAATGGGATAGGGGAGTTAAGGAACCCCAGCACCTTTGAAGGCAGTCCTCAGAGGCAGGGTGAGAGCTGCCACAGAATGGAAACGAGCTCTGGGCAGGCTGTATCATGGGCACAGGAAGGGCTGTGTCAGCCCCATTTGACCAAGACAGACCCATGAGGATAGGACTGGCCTTTGTTTCCACCACAAACAAGCAAGAGACACTGTGTACAAAGACAGAGCTTCCTGGTCTTTGCTCTCAACCACAAGTAGGCAGCTGGGCTCCAGGCAGACCACTGAGGCACACAGAGGCCTGGCATTGAGAAGCCCAGTTCTGAGTCTTTTCTGTCAATGCACATAGAGAGACTTCTCAAATTTTCTGGAAGAGGCAAAGAATAACATCCTGTTCGGGCCATATCTGGACGTTAAGAGTATCACTGATACACTGGAGGTCATCCAGAAAAACGAACAGGATATGCTGGGAACCAAAACCATGACAGGTCAAAGGGGCAAGTCAATGACCCACCATGGCATTCCGTAAATAACTAAAGCCCTGCTAAGGTAGAAGAGGAAGCAGGCTTGTTCCGAGTGGTTCCTTAGGGCAGAGAGGGGACCAAGGGGTAATGCCCTGGCAAATAGTTAAAGGACAGAATAGGTTGTAAGTGGTAAATCTTTTGTTCCTGGAGGAGACAAGCAGAAACCAAATGACCATGACTGGGAATGGTGGAGATGAAACGCCTGCCAAGGCAGAGGGCAGGAGCACATCTCTGAGCCCCTTTCCACCCATGTTATTCCCAAATGAACCAAAACACCATCTGAGGGGAAGAAGTGTTCTCCCAACGAAGTATTCAAAGCATTTAAAACCCACTTTCTCAACTTGGACATGTCTGCGATGCCGCAGGGAACATCACAGGGAACGCCATGCCAAGGGGAACATGAGTGAGCACAGGCAGATGGAGCAACAGCTTGGGGGTTGGTGCCCTCTCTTCAATATTAAAGCTGAGCCCTGTTCATGTTGGTGTTGTTTTTTAGTATTGCTATTTAACTGCTCTTGTATTTATGCCTTCAGGACAAGGAGGGCCCTACCTCCTGGCGAAGCTCTGAGGCCTGGATTCTGGAATCATTACAGAACAAGCATCAAAAAATGCTTGGTGAGAATAGACTGGTGGGGTGGACAAAGAAATCTGTGGAAGCCATTGAGAGAGAGAGAAATGTGGAAGGCAAGCTGCCTCCATGTGCTTCCCCTGAAAGTCCACCCAGCCACTCCATAGACTGGACATCTCGGAAGCATAAGCCTCTTCTGGGCACAGCTGTAATCCAGCAGCCACCCTGAAGATTGGGTGATAGCTCTGCCTAGACTTCGGCACATCCTGAGGCTCCCAAACTCCAAAGCCCCAGAGAGTCTGGGGGCTACGGCTGGAAACTTCTCCCAGAAGTTAACATGGGTATCTCACAGCATCCCATGATGTAGGGTCTAACATCCTCCATCCAGGGCCCAGAACTAGGGGCCAGCCCTGCTTTGATGCCACAGCATCAAGACCAGCACACCTTGTTTGCCCCACTGCCTCCACCAACTCAGATCAGCCAGAAAGGTCAAGAACTGGACAAAGCAGGAGAGTTGACCATCAGGTATATTGGGGAAGGGAGAGATGGAGGCACCTTCATGAGTGCCTCCCAAGGGCAGTAGCCTCTGCAACTTGCTGGGGGTTCAGGGGAAGCAGGGAGTTCATGGGGCTCCTCCAGCAAAGATGAGCTCCAGGGCTGCTTGGATGTCCCCACCGGTGGCCTGCAGGGCCCGCAGGCTCAGCTCATCGTCCTGGATGCCCATGTCACGTAGCTGCTGCAGCTGGGGCTGCCACTGGCTCTGTGGAAAGATAGGAATGGGCAGAAGCTGTTAGCTGGGATCCAGTGAAGACTCACTTAGGTCTGTGCTTTCCGGGGAAGGAAAGGAAGATGGGGGAGTCCTCAGCAAAGCTGCTGATGCTGAGTTCCACAGAACACGGTGCTTCTAGGAAGACTAAAAGATAGGCTTGAGGGTTAAGAGAACAAATCCAAAGTTTTACAATAAAAAAAGGAAATTCTTGGCATAAGGATCAAAAGAGAATGTACAAATTATTCACTGTCTGAATTCCAAGAGGCTAAATTACTTTCTTTCTCTTGCTATGTGTACACACACAACAGCAAGATTTTGCTCTTTATGTGATGAGTGTTACAGATTTTTTTCCCAGTTTGTTAGCCTTTGGACTTTGCTTCGGTTTTTTGTTTGGTTTGGTTTGCCACGCAGAAATTTTCACCTTTTTTTAAATGTCTTAAATTTTTGTGGTATATAGTAGGTATATCTATTTGTGGACTGTAAGAGATGTTTTAAATTTTTCGCTTTTACAAACCCAAAATGCATAACTTTTATTTAATGGCTCCTGGATACTGAGTTTCAGCCAAGAAAGCCCTTCCCTACTATAAGGATTTGAAGAAATTCACCCATATTTTCTTCTAGTACTTTCATAGCTTCATTAATATCTCTATTTCATGACAGCAGGGATGAGCACAATTTAGGGAAAACAACGTGTTCACATGTGGGAAGAAGGCAATGCAAAGGGGAAGAAAAGCAAAGTCAAAGAGGCAGGCAGTGATGAGAACATGGAGGGCTTAAAAAAAATGCACACAGATCAATTTGAATTCATTTTACAGGCCAGGTGGAACCAGTGAAAGCTTCTGAGCTAGGGAATAAAGTAAACAGGCATCTAGCAACAGGGGAGATGCAAGAATGGAGAAGACAAGTTGTTCACGAATCCTGCTTCTGTTCCCTCACTGTCTACAAGGACCACATGGAACAGTGAAAACCACACAGGCTTGAACCCTATCGTTACGACTTCATGGCCTTATGACCCCAGACAAGTTCCAGGGATGATGCTCTACCCATAGGCTTACTATGTGGAATAGAGGAAAACAGACGTGAACCAAACTGCTCATGCATGGAGCTGTGAACTACAATGCTGGCCCCTCAGGTATTCCACTTAGCTGCTAGGGTGACCTTTCTCCTCCTTAAAGCCTCCCATGGGCCAGGTGTGGTGGCTCACACCTGTAATCCCAGAACTCTGGGAGGCTAAGGTGGGTGAATCGCTTGAGCCCAAGAGTTCAAGACCAGGCTGGGCAACATAGGGAGACCCCCCCATCTCTACAAAAAATACAAAAAATTAGCCAGGCATGGTGGTGCATACCTGTAGTCCCAGCTACCCGGGAGGCTGAGGTGGGAGGATCACCTGAGCCCAGGAAGTTGAGGCTACAGTAAGTTGTGATCACACCACTGTACTCCAGCCTGGGTGACAGAGTGACACCCTGTCTCAATCAATCAATCAATCAATCAATGCCTCCCAGGGATCCCTGGTGACTGCTACATCAAGTCATCAAGTCTAATCTCCGCAGGTTGGCATGCAAGCCCCTCTCGTAGGCTCCTGCTCTTTCTCTGGCCCCATCTGCGGATCTTCTACACTGGACACTGCATCCTAGCCTTGTAGTTTTGAGTATGTCACATATACCTCCACACATGTGCACAAACAGGTAGCTGTCTTCACCTGGAAATCAGCCCCTTCCTACCTCAAACCCCCTTCCCTGGCTAGCTAACTTCTAACTAATTCTTCTGACAATCAGCTTAAATACCCCTCTCTCAGAAAAGTTTTGTCTGACCTAGGCCCTTACTTCAAGCAGCTGGGTTTCTTGCCTTGTTGCTCCCCAGCTCAGTGCCTGCCTGGTGCCCCTCCATGGCAGGGATGAGAACCAGCTTGCCACTAGCCCAGCATCTGGACTCAGGCCTAGTATACACATGCTCAGTCAATGATCACTGAATGAATGAATGAAATGGCCATGATTATCTAAGCCAGGTGGTCTAGGGAGTCAGGCCATGGTCACTAGGGGCAGGAGAAGCCTAGTGACCACTGTGTATGGTCTGAGAGTGTGCCCTTGCTAGGAACACTCTGCACCTGTCCCACTGCCATGCTCCAGCTGTTCCTAGAATGAAGCATGCCAGGTGTGAAGGACCGCCAGAGAGCAAAACAAAGGCTGGGCATCCAAAATAACAAGGAAGCCACATGGAAACCAAGACGTGGGGAAGACTGACCTGAAGGCTGGGCTGCCCAGAGGCCTGAAGGGCATGCTGTAGGGCTTGGCTGAAGAGATCATTGGTGATGGGCGTCCCTGACTGGACACCAGAGGACATTGGTGAGGTCCCTGAGGAATGACCCTAGAGACAAATTAGTGGTCAGTGCCACCCTCAGCGCCATCTCAATCTTATAGCAGATGCTCGCTGTTGTCATATCACCTCACAGCACTCCTGAGGTACCCAACTTCTGCCTCCCAACAAAGACCTGCCATAAGACAACCAAACAAAGGTAACTAGAAGCTCTCTATGTGGGCAGGAAAGGTTCCATTCTCTTCTGCACTGAGCCCCTTGTCCCAGCCTAGGACCCCAGCACTGCAGCACTGGGAGAGATGGCCTTGAAAGCTGAAGTGACTTGTCACCCAGAAATGCTTAAGCTGGTGATGTCTGCTCCCTGTCAGGGATGAGGAAGGGCATATTGTGTGCAGGAAGAGTCTTCTGAACTAATAGGGGGGACTACACGGGACCATGTTAAAATCTAGACTTCTGAGTCCTCAAGGCAAGTGAAGGGGAGGTCACTCAAGCTGCAGTAAGAAATCCCCACCAGGACTCCAGGGTTCAGCTTAAACTAGATCTAGCACCAGGGTCAGCAAAGGCAAATCTACTCTACTGCTGGGGAGCTTGTTCCTTGGGGGCCCAGCCTTGATCTTCCCGGCCCCGTCTTCATACCTGGGTGCCAGGAGTCGGTGTGTGAGAGCTGCTCTCCGGAGTGCTGGCCAGGGCCAAGGCGGTGGCCAGCTCACTCTGGGTGATGGGCCGGGGCCCAGCAGCTCCACTGTACCCCAGGGAGGCTGGGCGGGAGCTGGGAGTACTGCTAGAGGGTGTGGACCTGGTGTTCTGGAGAAAGAAGACACTCAGAATCAGGGAAGCAGTACTGTGAAACTCCCAGATGAACTCCACCCACCTCCAGCAATAGTTCTTGGGGAAACTCTTAAGTTCCCAGGTTCAGAAAGGAATCCAAAAGCAGAAATAGTATGACATGGTCTTGGCCCCCCAATGGCGTATGTCCATCTCCCAGCCTTGGGAGTGCCAGGTCCCAGGATGCAGCTCATTCCCAGCACCATCTCCCCCACATGTCAGCATGTCAGGCAGGCAGGCAGGCCACTTACTGGGTGAAAGTCATCCTCATCATCTGAGAGCCCTTCAAACAGGAAGCCACCTGGAGGAGGACGAACAGATTTCAGGAGGAAGAACAGAAAGGCACAGGCGCAGCTCCAGAATCTCAGCTCAAGTTACTCTCCAAATTCATATTTTCATCTCTCCCCTCGGAAAATTACAGGACAGATGCACTTCCTGACTCAAACCGAGAGTTCCCAAGGAACGCCCTCTGCCAACGCTATACATAGCTGCTGAGTAAAGCAAATTCCTGGGCCACTGCCGGCTCCTGAGGGGCCCACATTACACTTTTCAGGCGCTCACCTGGCATATCCCGGTATGAGCTGGAGGGCATGCTCCGGGAAGAGGAGTCAGTCCCAGGCATTGGGGCACTGCCTGCTACGGAGTGCAGAACCAGGACAATGGCATTGACGAGGGCTGGGTGAGCAGGCACCAACCTAGGATAGAAGCAGGAAGAAACCCAAGGGTGACTCCAAAAGAGCACCCTCAGCCATAACAGGAGTTCTGGGTGCCCCCTCACAACAATGCAGCCACCTGTGCCTGCTCTCAAATTCCTCAGTCTTTAGCATCTTCCACCAGGAAGCTTTATCCTCCTGCTGATCTGCCCCCAGCAACGGGTGCAAGGCCTTCAAATTCCTGGGGTCCGCTGCAGATTCTTCACCCTCTCCACAGGCAAGGCATGATGGGAAAGGTGCAGCCTGGGAGGCTCAGGGTTCTGGCCTGAGCACATGAGGAGTGTCTGGTCTAGGCACCACTACTACATCAGGCAACCCTGGACTGGTCCCTTCTCTTCCCAGGGTGGGGCTGTTTTCTTCACTTGCAAAATGAGGACATGTCCCTTTTAGCTTTGACACTTTACGGATCTGTACACCTGCTTCTCCTTTTGCCAGCTTAAAATCCTTGAAAAGCTCCCTAATTTCTACCACACGAAACCTAAACTGAGCCTGGCAGACAAGACCCTTTCCCTCAGAATCCTGCTTCCTCCCAGCACTCTTGACAAAAGCCCTGCTCTTGGGCTTTGCTCTTTCTCACCCCCTGACGTATCTAAGGGGTAGACTTGGTGACAGACTATGGATGGGCTCCCAGAGCAGACTGCAGGGTGACAATTAGGCTTCTGGCCTGAGCACGAGGAGAGAGAAGGTACCCTCTAATAGGACAGGTACACTTACGTATCAAGCATATTGGGATCAGCGAAGACAGAGAAGAGGTCCTTGTCCTGGAGAACCCCTGAAAAAGAGCAGAGCTCACCTCAAAGAAAGGAAATCAGCCAGATCCAGGAGGGAGAAGAGGCTTTGCGTCTCAGAGCAACCAGCTCAACAGGGACACAGGACAACAAGCCAATCTTCATGAGAAGTAGAGGAAGCAAAGCGCCAAGCAATACAATTCAGGTACTCCTCATCTTGGTCTAGTGAGGATGGTCCCCTGCTCTCCACCTCCCCTGCACTTTAGTCACATCACAGACTGGGTACCAAGACACCTGTCTCTTTCTCCCGTATCTCTGGGTTCTTCCCTTACTCAGGGTGTGCAGGACGCCTTCCCTGATTGCTGTGATGTGGGCTAACTGCTATCCTCATTTGGCATCCTCATACCCTTATTTACGATGTTAGTTAGGCCATTATCTCTCTGTGGGACTGAGAGCTCTTAAAGGGCTGGGGATATCAAACACACCTTGATTACTCTCCCTCTTCCCACAAGACCAGTCATTCTTCAAAAGATAGTCCAAGTCTCTTTAGAGGAATTGTCTTCTCCTGTTTTCTCCTTTTCCGACAACTCCTATTTCCTCAAATTCAGTCCTGCACTTACCAAGAGCAATAGGGTCACTGCTGAGGCCTGGGGTGGCCACAATGATCTGATCCAGAGACTCCTTATTGCTGAGCATCTTAAAGACCTGCAGGAGAAATGGCGGGGGCTGAGCACTCCAACCAGCTCAATGTACTCATCAAATGCCCACACTCTGCCAAAGGACTTCCTCCCTCTAAGTGCTTGCATGTACATCACCACAATGGAACAATAGCCCCAGAAACAGATGAACCTCTTTTTGCTCTAAGATCTTAGCTTACTGGAGGGGAAACAAACAATTTAAAAAAAAAAAAGGCAAGACCACAGTAAACCTTCAAATCTCTGTGCTCCTTTTCCCCACCTACAGTTTAGTGCTTCCAAAATAAAAGCTCTCATTACAAGCCCGGTAACAAAGGTTTCTCTAGGTTCCAATCCAAAAGTCCTTTTCAATCTCTGTACAATTACTATTTCATATTTGTATATATCGCTAAGTTCACAGCTATACTAATTTTGCCTCTCAACTCTCCTACAGAAAGACATCAGCCCACTTCCCCAGTGAGGACATCTAGGTCAAGGGGCAGTAAGCAGGCAGTTCAGCCAAAGTCGAAGAATGAGGCCCAGCAGAAACAGTATGAGGATCTTTTGGCTGTCACCATACGGGCAGGTTGTATTATTATCATTAGAGGGAATCAACAACGCCTGACTGAGACAGGCTCTTTGGGGAAAGACAGGGCTCTACTGAGGCCCACAGACATGGCAAAAACTCCCCAAGGAACTCTTGGTTGCCATGGCAACGGGCTTCCAGCTCCCACTCCACACCACTCGCCAGCCAGCGTTCACACCCTCTCCTACAGTCCTGGCTGGGGGCCGCAGCACACACTCACCGCCTCCCTGTAAGAGGAGCTGCTGTGCAGGGCAGTGTGCAACACCCGGAACTCTCTCATGGCAGCCACTTTGTCCACAGGTTCTGGGGGACAAGACATTCAGAGTTACCCTATAGCGCAGGTCCTGTCTCTGCCACAGACATGGCAACATCATTTCAGCATGTGCCAAGGAGCAGCCTGGTCTGTGCATTCCCTTCCCTCATCACCCCTTAAGAATGTGAGTGCCTGCTCAGAAAAACCCATTTGTGCCATGGATGTGAAAACTGCTAGTAAGCATCTTTACATTCACTTGTAAGCATCTTGCACAGATAAACAAACAAATTCAAGTTGCAGCAGAGGAGACTCTTACCACATGAAAAACGGTGCTCTGATCAACATACCACTGCAGGAATTCTAGACTAATAACATTTGTTTTTTGGTGTTTTTGCCTTTGTTTTTCAGACAGTCTCACCTCTTGCCCAGCCAGAATGCAGTGGCGCAATCTCGGCTCGCTGCAACCTCCACCTCCCTGGTTGAAGCAACTCTCGTGCCTCAGCCTCCTGAGTAGCTGGGATTACAGGTGTGCAACACCACTCCTGGATAATTTTTGTATTTTTAGTTGAGATGGGGTTTCACCATATTGGTCAGGCTGGTCTCAAACTCCTGACCTCAAGTGATCCACACACCTCGGCCTCCCAAAGTGCTAGGATTACAGGCGTGAGCCACCGTGCCCAGCCCTGGGTCACACTTTTTAAAGTATGGTTATCCTCACGAAGGACCACTACTTGTGACTGTACTGACTGTGTACTGCCCAACTCCAGGGCACCACTCCCAAAGCAAGGTGAATAGCACCCCTGGGGTTCAGGGTGGCAGCCACATCCTTATCGACAGTCCTGATCATGAGGCTGTCTTTTGAAAAACAGTCATCTTAAGTAAATTACCTAATTTATTCATTCAACAAACATGTACTAAGCATTTACTCCATGCCTGGCTTTAGGCAAGGAACTAGAATATGAAAAATAAGAACCCCTGCCATCAAGGAACTCTTAGGGCAGGAGGAGAAATGAGACTACATCAAATACACAATTACAAAATGCCACGTTGAAGACCTCAACAGAGACGTGGATCCCAGCTAGGGTACCAGGAACACAAAGGCAGACAGGCACCACTGAGAGGGAGGGTGAAGATAGACAGCTGCCTCCCAGAGGAGACCATTTGAAATGGGTATCAAAGAGAGAGCTGATATTTACTGGGGGGGTGAAGGTATTCCAAGCCTGAATGAGAACATGTGCAAAGGCATGGGAGAATAAAAGAATGTGGTGCTTTGAACAAACAGCAAGTCATTCTTTGTGGCTGGAGCTTGGGGTACACATTCCAGCTCAAACAGCAGGTTAAGGTGACGTCCTGAAGGGATTTGTAACCCGCCATGGAGGACTACCAAAGAGATCCAGGTGGGAAGACAGACAACAATGGGTTCTTCTCCTATAGGCCCTAATCTGTGGGAGAACACAAAATGTGATTCCTTTGTGAAGAAAAGCACTCAAGGAGCAAATATCTAAAACACTGTCACAAAACAGTTTCTTTACAGATCTAAAAGTTTATTGTAACCTTCCAATAAAAAGGTCATTTGTTTCAAAAATAATCCTCCAGGTAGAAGGTGGGAGGAAAAGGACTCTTAATATCTTAAGCCATTATTCAGCTAAGAGCCATGGCTGTCACTGTAAGATCTCTGAGCTAAATTCATCCTTTAGAAGTGGAACGCAGCCAGCCCAGTGGAAATGGTTTTCCTCTTGAGCCAGGAAAACCCCTGGTCCATATCCCAGCTCTTGCATTCACTTTCTAAGTAGCTGACCTTGAATAAATGCCCTAACCCTTTTCTTCCTCCATAAGATGCTAATGCTGTTACCTACCCTGCAGGGCCACTGTAATGATTAAATGAGGTATAAAAGGGAAAAAACCTGGCTCACAGAAGCCACAAATGTTATTTTCCTTCTGTTAATGCCCTCCAGCCAAAGAGCTGAGGGGCATATCTGTATTTAAACAAGTTGGGTTTACTGCTCAGTACAGAGAGAAGAATGCACACCACAGGAAACCGTGGGCTGTCTCAGTAAGAGGATATTAGAAAGGACTTTTTTTTTTTTGAGACAGAGTTTCGCTCTTGTTGCCCAGGCTGGAATACAATGGCGTGATCTCGGCTCATTGCAACCTCTGCCTCTTGGGTTCAACCGATTCTCCTGCGTCAGCCTCTCAAGTAGCTGGGATTACAAGCAGGCACCACCATGCCTGGCTAATTTTGTATTTTTAGTATAGACGGGGTTTCTCCATGTTGGTCAGGCTTGTCTCGAACTCCCAATCTCAGGTGATCCGCCCACCTCGGCCTCCCAAAGTTCTGGGATTACAGGCGTAAGCTGCTGCACCCGGCCAGAAAGGACTTCTTACAGGATTTTGGTTTTGTCTGGCTGATTTGGGGAAAAATTTAAAGAAGTGAGGTTTTACTCTGGATAGGATGCTTTCAGGCAGTGGGAGTGATTTTATAATTGAGTATCTTAATAACTCTTACCTAGAAGGAAGGAAAACTAGAGCAAGGTGGAAGCTGTAATTGGCCAAGAAGCAGCTGTTACTCTCATCAGCCAAGATAGAAAGATACTTGGTCACCTTTGTGGTTTGGATAATGCTCATGTTTTTGTGTTTCTGTTCAGCAATAATAGGGATCTTGTTTTTGTCTTAATCCATAGTGGTCTCAGAGTGGCCTTGACTGCTACTGGGGATCTGTACAATTGTTCATGATCCCCAAAAGGATTCCAGGGCCTGGCTGTGAGTGCCAGGCCAACCTCTGGATGTCAGGAACTCTGTTCCTCTTTCTCACTTCCCATCAGGGTATGAAAGACATTTTTGTCTTTTACAGTTAGAACTGAAAGGGGGGTAAATTTCAAACTGATAACTAGTCACAGCAATCATGAACATTATAAAAAGATGTCAACCTGCCAGTGTAACAAAGCTAATCTCTTTTACACAGCTTAGCTTTATTCTTAGGGAGGCTTTTAAAACACACATGCAAAATTTAAATCATGAATTCCAAGCACCTTCTATTTATAAACCAAAAAGGCATCTGAGGCTTTGTATATTTTCTCCAAGAGCTATTTAAATACTCTTTGAATATCTTCAGGAAAATACCAGTATAGCAAGAGCAGTTAGCTAACTGAACAAATCACCACCTGAGGCAGTTTGTAGGAAGATTTGTTAACAAGGGAATAAACTGCAGCATTAGGAAAGTGCCAAAAGTTTCCAGCTTTTTTCTAATGAGAACAACGATAATAACAAAAGGATACAAAGTTTACTTTGTATCACTAAAAAATAAACTGTTAACTTAAAGGAGTTTAAGTAGACACAAACTCCCTGTCCCATTAGGAAACAGTGGATGACAAACTTAGAAAGTGGAGAAACAAGCCAGGAATGGTGCCTGTACTTTGGGAGGCTGAGGTGGGGTGGATGGCTTGAGGTCAGGAGTTCGAGACCAGGTTGACCAACATGGAGACACCCCGTCTCTACTAAAAATACAAAAATTGAAGGCCGGGTACAGTGGCTCACGCCTTTAATCCCAGCACTTTGGGAGGCCGAGGCGGGCAGATCACAAGGTCAGGAGATCGAGACCATCCTGGCTAACACGGTGAAACCCCGTCTCTACTAAAAAACACAAAAAAAATTAGCCAGGCTTGGTGGTGGGCGCCTGTAGTCCCAGCTACCTGGGAGGCTGAGGCAGGAGAATGGTGTGAACCCGGGAGGCGGAGCTTGCAGTGAGCCAAGATCACACCACTGCACTCCAGCCTGTGAGACAGAGTGAGACTCCGTCTCAGAAAAAAAAAAAAAAAAAAAATTAGCTGGGCATGGTGACTCATGCCTGTAATCCCAGCTACTCGGGAGGCTGAGGCATGAGAATCACTTGAACCTGGGAGGCGGAGGTTGCAGTGATCCAAGATCAAGATTGTGCCACTGCACTCCAGCCTGGGCAACAGAGTGAGACTGTCTCAAAAAAACCAAAAAACAAAAAACAAAATGGAGAAACAAATCTTCCATTAGTGATGCCGGCAGTAAGAAGGTCAAAATTGGACTCTGTTTATCAGCATGGTCTAATCCAATAAGTAATAAAGATATCATTTATCATCAGCTCAGTAAATCATCCCTTTGTTCCACCCAGGCTTGTGCCTCAAGAACACACAGATCCTTCCCTTGCGGATATTACAGAAACTCTGCCTGCCTAAGGGCTGCCCCTCACTCACCCGGTTTCTGATCAGGTTCAGGCCAGGACTTTCGCAGAACATGGACAGTGGACCCAGGTTGAATGCCATAGAAGTCAAGTGTCTGGTCATCTTTTAGCTTCCGACCACAGTAGATCAGATCTAAAAAAAGAACTGTCCACTTATATTTTGCTCCTCAAAACAAATTTACATGGTTTTTGTCCCGAGAACCTTATTTTGATTAGATAGCTGGAGAATGATACATGTTTTAAAAGATACTCTTATTCAATAACTTAACAAATACTTTTTTTTTTTTGGAAAACAGGGTCTTACTCTGTTGCCCAGGCTTGAGTGCAATGGCACCATCACGGTTCACTGCAGCCTCAACCTCCTGGGGTCAAGCAATTCTCCCACCTTAGCCTCCTGAGTAGCTGGGACTACAGGCACATGCCACCACACCCAGCTAATTTTTGTAGTTTTTTGTAGAGACGGGGTTTTGCCATGTTGCCTAGACTAGTCTCTTAACTCCTGGGCTCAAGGGATCCTCCTGCCTTAGCCTCACAAAGTGCTGGGATGACAGGCGTGAACCACCATGCCTAGCCAATTAAATACATTTCAACAACTATTTGCAAATATAAACTCATAAAATGGACTTACATCGAATCTGGCCAGATGTGGTGGCTCACACCTATAAACCCAGCACTTTTGGAGCCTGGCCGACATGGCGAAACCTGGGCCATGGCGAAAATTAGGGCCGGGCACGGTGGCTCACACCTGTAATCCCAACACTTTGGGAGGCCGAGGTGGGTGGATCACCTGAGGTCAGGAGTTCAAGGCCAGCCTGGCCAAGATGGTAAACCTCGTCTCTACCAAAAATACAAAAATTAGCCAGGCATGGTGGCAGACGCCTGTAATCCCTGCTACTCAGGAGGCTGAAGCAGGAGAATTGCTTGAACCCAGGAGGCGGAGGTTGCAGTGAGCCAAGATCACACCACTGCACTCCAGCCTGGGCAACAGAGCAAGACTCTGTCTCAAAAAAAAAGAAATATATATATATATACACACATACACACAAAAATTAGCCAGTTGTGGTTGTGCGGGCCTGTAATCCCAGTTATTCAGGAGGCTGAGGCAGGAAAATTGCCTGAACCTGGGAGACAGAGGTTACAATGAGCTGAGATCTCGCCACTGCACTCCAGCCTGGGCAACAGAGCAAGACTCCGTCTCAAAAAAAAAAAAAAAAAAAAAGGATTCACACAGAATCTATCCACAGAAAAACTCTGGAGTTTAACATTGTGGAGGCTGCCCAATTTAAATCAATGGAAAAACAACAAAATAGGATGAACCCAATCCAGGTATGACTGAAAACATCTTTCTTGCCAGTTGGATCCTTTAGCTATTAAAAATTACCTTTTCAGTGTAATTTAATTATATTTAAATTCCTCCCTCCTCCACCTGGACTGCCCACGCCACTTTTTCTTTTTTACTGCCTTTCCTTTACTCAGTCAACCAAGCAAAAATCCTTCTAATCATCCCTGAAGACCTACCTCAAATATACTGAGGAGCCTCCCCTGACCAACTTCTCCTTTCCTAACTCATCCCAAACTTCTGTTCTTTCAGAAAAAGAATTCACAATGTTGGCCAGGAGCGGTGGCTCATGCCTGTAATCCCAGCATTTTGGGAGGCTGAGGCGGGCAGAATCACAAGGTTAGGAGTTCAAGACCAGCCTGGCCAACATGGTGAAATCCCATGTCTCTACTAAAAATACAAAAATTAGCTGGGCATGGTGGTGTGTGCCTGTAATCCCAGCTACTCGGGAGGCTGAGGCAGAATTGCTTGAACTGGGACCCAGGAGACAGAGGTTGCAGTGAGCCGAGATCGCACCACTGCACTCCAGCCTGGGCTACACAGCAAAACAAAAACAAAAACAAAAAACAAGACAATGTCATAAAGAACCTGGTGATAAGGTAGTTCAGTATAATACATGGCTGAAATGGCAACCAATAGTTTCATTATATGATTTGTGTTTCTATTTACCCAACATTCACTTCCCTGGAGTGTTAACATTATGAGGCAACAAATCCCAAGCCCTTACTTTACTCTTGTAATTCCAGAAGTATCCTCCCCCAAAAGAGATCAGAGCAGCAGCCCAACCCCAGTCCAGAGAGACTCACCAATCAGCTCAGGGTCTGGAACAGACTCCTGGAGTTTGCCAGCAATAAGCTGCTTCAGAAATGAAATACTATAGCCCCCTAGCGAGTATTCTCCCAGTTCTGTCTCTGGCAACCGAAGAATAGACTTTGGAGTAAGTGGCTGGTCAGCCAGCTTCACCGCCAGGTGCCAGTCTGAGAGAGACATCCTCTCTCTTTCGCGCTCTCTCTTTCTCCCTGTAAAAGAACAAAACCTCAGTGGTTAAAAGACAGACCACCACTCTACTCCACCCCCACCCACCAAAGGGTTGAATGAAAGACAATTCAATGTGACACTGTTGAAGAGGCATAGGGCGTACCATCAGGAGGCCAGAACTAGAATCTGGGGTTCTCTCTCTACTCATACTGTGATGGACAGCTCTCTAGGCCTCAGTTTCTTCATCCCTAACGTGGACATAAAAACGCCATCCAATCTAATAGGAATGTTGTGAGAGAGATCATCTAACCCTCTCCCTTCTGTATGCCCCTTTTTCCAATTTTCTTCAACTGTTGCTTGAACCAGTAGAACAGCTTTATAACAAGTTCCCTGCCTCTTGCCTCTCCCTATCAAATATCTATGCTGCCACCTAACAACACCCATCATTTTTTTTTTTTTTTTTGAGACGGAGTCTCGCTCTGTTGCCCAGGCTGGAGTGCAGCGGCGCGATCTCGGCTCACTGCAAGCTCCACCTCCCAGGTTCACGCCATTCTCCTGCCTTCCTGCCTCAGCCTCCCAGGTAGCAGGGACTACAGGCACCCGCCACGACGCCAGGCTAATTTTTTTTTTTTTTTGTACTTTTAGTAGAGACGGGGTTTCACTGTGTTAGCCAGGATGGTCTCGATCTCCTGACCTCGTGATCCACCTGCCTCGGCCTCCCAAAGTGCTGGGATTACAGGCATGAGCGACTGCGCCTGGCCACAACCCATCATTCTAAAACACAGATCTGACCAAGTCACTTCTCTGCTTAGAACTCTTCCAATGTCGGGCTGGGCGCGGTGGCTCATGCCTGTAACCCTAGCACTTTGAGAGGCCTAGGCGGGCGGATTGCCTAAGCTCAAGAGTTCAAGACCAGCCTGGCCAACATGGTGAAACCCGTCACTACTAAAAATACAAAAATTAGCTGGGCGTGGTAGTGCGCACCTGTAGTGCCACCTACTCGGAAGGCTGAGGTTGCAGTGAGCCAAGATCACGTCACTGCACTCCAGCCTGGGTGACAGAGAGAGACTCTGTCGCAAAAAAAAAAAAAAAAAAAAAAAAAAAAGCCAGACGCGGTGGCTCACACCTGTAATCCTGTCACTTTGGGAGGCCGCGGAGGACGGATCACTTAAGATCAGGTGTTTGAAACCAGCCTGGCCAACATGGTGAAACTACATCTCTACTATAATAGAAAAAATTTGCAGGGCGTGGTGGCAGGCGCTTGTAATCCCAGCTACTTGAGAGGCTGAGGCAGGAGAATTGCTTGAACCCGGGAGGTGGAGGTTGCAGTGAGCCGAGATAGCGCCACTGCACTCCAGCTTGGGCGACAGAGACTCCGTCCCTCCCTGCCCCACCCCGGCCCCCCAGAAAAAGACCTCTTCCAATACCTCTAAACCATCTATATAAATTAAGTCTAAACTTCATCGCCTGGCTTACAAAACTCCCTGCCAGCCTCATTCCCCAACAGAGCCCTACCCCTGCAAAGGACCTCCACAACATGTAAGTACACACTCATAACAAAGCTCTCCCCTATTTTACACCTCTGCTCATCTAACTCTGCATGTAATTTCTCTTCCCTTTTTGGCCTTTTAGCAAACTCCTACCGAAACCAACACAGATTCAATAACCTCAGTCCCCTCTCTTTCCTCTGTTGTTCCCACATCCCCTCAGAACAAAAGGGCTACAAATATCTGCTTGCCCCCTCCTCCACCCCAATTCTTGAATGCCCTTGAAAACAAAAGACTAAAGTTTTCTTCATCCTTGTCCCCATACCTGGCATACATGGAACCCCAGAAAATAAATCAGAAACTCTGACGGCGGAAGAATCTTGCAAAGCAAGATAAGTTCTTGTTATAGTCATCATTATTGCTTCCAAAGAGACCTCTGATAGAGAAGAGGAAAGAAAAGGCTGTGAAGCTGCCTAGCAGACCTTCAAGCATCCTCAAGGTATCTTCCACCTCAAGTTTATGCCAGAAGGAGGTCGTTTTATATACCATGTCTCACTTAATCCTCACAACGGTTCCCTAAGGCAGGCATTAGCCACATTTTAAAGATGAGGGAAGCAAGACTCAGTAAAATCACTGGCCCAAGGTCACAGATCGCTAGTAATGGGGCAGGAACACTATCCGGTGGCGACCTCACCGCTCCAGTGGGACCAGCTACTTGGCTGACACACATCGAGCCCGCGCTGCCCAGGGCCCCAGCGCCCTCACCCGTCCCGCGGAAGGAACCCGGCCGCACTGCCGCCGGTGTAAACACTCACTCTGGCCCTCTCGCCGGAAACCGGAAATTCCGCGCTGCATTCTGGGAGTTGCAGTTCCCGCTGTGGCCCCCCGCCCCCTTATAAACAGCCAGTCTACAAGAGGCGCTAGTTGCAAAGCTTCCGGTTCTGGGGGAAGGCGTGGCTTCCGCGCTCTTTGAAATGTCCGGCGCCGGAATGTCTGGGTGCTTTGGTTGGAGAGGGTCCCATTTCCAGTCATTCTTCAGCCTGGTGATTCCCGCGCTCCCCTGAGGAGCATATGAAGTACGTCGGTTCTGCCAGGTTGGAACGCGCTGCTGGACACTCGGCCGTAAGGCGGATCCCGGATCCCCTCCCACTCCGACCCTTCCCTCCAGAAGGGCCGGTTCCCAAACGGCCCCTTTAGACACATCCAAGCGGTTGCCGACGGCCCTCACGATGAAAACTGCTGTCCGTTGGTGAAGGCAGCCTCTTCTGTGCTCCTCGCCGCTGACTTCCTGAGGCGGACCTACCTGTGGAGGCATACCAGGAACCAGACGATGACCCCCTCCAAAAGTTGGGTCTTTGAGGAGAGCTACTAACTTGGGTTCCTGGTACACCCTCTACATGCAGTGGTGAAGCTTATCTAACAGTCATTCATAGAATCAGTTTGGGAAGGGGAATTTTCACTGAACTCTCATAGAGAAACTGTGTTTTAGATAACAGAAAGTTCTGCACGGTTAAAATGGAACAGAAATTTTTTTGCACAGAAATTAGGATTACCGAAAATACTGAAGAAAGACTACCTCTGATTGGACTCTTCTCAAGGAATTAATAATTCAAGAACTAAGGAAAGAAAAAAGTGATTATATGAAAATACTGAAGTTGATCGTAGCAGCTGAAGGCTGATCCTGTGTGGGTAAATGTAAACGCTGAATTCCCACATTCCAATGTGCGACCTGGGATTAAGGCAGCAATTGAGCAGGGTAATGTTACTGAGGAGAGCGAACAGATCGCAGGATCTCAGAAGGCCTAACATTAAAGGCAGATCACCCCTCTGTTCTCATAAGTTATATGGGGAGTTTTGAAATGGCTTTCACTGTCTTCAGGGAGTTTATCTTCAGGATAACTCCCATGTATGTTGTGGGCGCATTAGGAACCCATGGCTGTTCCCAAAGTCTCCCTTTCCCATCCTACCCATTTTTAGATATACCCCCTCTTTCAGTAATCCTTCCTAACTAGACTTCTTTAGACTCCTTCCTCTCCTGCCTACTAAGTTACTTGCACCTGAGCTCCATAATTTATCAAAATTATATATTGTGAATACTTTCCCAGTTCATGATTTTTTTTTTACTCTTAATGGTATTAGATAATTTAATTTCATTTTAAAACTTTTTTTTTTTTTTGAGACGGAGTCTTGCTCTGTCGCCCAGATTGGAGTGCAGTAGTGGCCGATCTCGGCTCACTGCACCCTCCGCCTCCCGGGTTCAAGAGATTCTCATGCCTCAGCCTCTTGAGGAGCTGGGGCTACAGGTACCTGCCACCACGCCCGGCTAATTTTTGTATTTTTAGTAGAGACGGGGTTTCACCACGTTGGCCAGGCTGCTCGAACTCCTGACCTCAGGTGATCCCAAAGTGCTGGGATTACAAGCGGTAGCCACCACGCCCGGCCTGAAATTTTGTTGTGATGGTTAGTGCCTTTTGTGTCCTATGTAAGAAATCTTTGCCTGCCCTCGTTATGAAGATACTATCCTAGGTTTTCTTCTGTGTTATTTTATCTTTCACATTTAGGTCTATGATTAATTTCACATTAATCTTTGTATATGATAGGAGTTAGACATCAAGATTCATCTCTTCCATATGGGTGTACAATTGATCCAGCACTATTTAAAAATTTTGTTCCCACTGAATTTCAGTGGCAGCTTTGTCATAAATCCGGTGACTATGTATGTCTGGGTCAATTTTTGACTCTTATTCTGTGCCATGGGTGTATTTTTCTGTCATTGTGCCAATGTCACACGTCTTGATTTCTCTAACTTTAGAGTAGGTCTTGATATCTGCTAGCCTTTTGGCTTTAAGAGGGGCATGGCTATTCTATCACCAATAGATGACAATTGTTAACTTTGTTTTATGCTTCTAAAAGTATAATTTTACTGAATCTTAAATATGTATATTCAACAAAATTTAGATTACACTGTACATTTGTTTAGTAATCTACATATTTTACCTAGCTTGAATATTTCCCCTGTGCTCAAATATTCTTGAGACTTTTTACTTTGAAATAATTTCAAGTTTACAGTACAGTTGCAAAAATATTACAAAATAATGCCCTCATACCCTTAACCCAAAGTCCCCAGTTGTTAATAGTTTACATTTACCTCATCATTCTTTCTCTCTCACTCTCTCACTATGCATATTGTTCTTTTGTTTTTCCACCCGATCCGTTTAAGAGCCAATTACAGACATTACCCAAAGTATTTCTGTATTTCCTGAAAACAAGGATATATTCTATGTCACAGCCACAGTACAACCCAGCAAAATCAAGAAATTAATAAATACAATAATACCATGTAACTTACAATCTCATTCAGCTTTCATCAACCATTCCAGTTGGGTGGAGGCTGATCATCTCTCTGCCATTTTCATAAGTTATGTCATAGATTTTCACATCTGTCACATCATTCATTTCTCCAAAGAGCCTTAGTTCCTTTTAGTAAGGAATGGTATTTAGAAGCCAAGTTTGGATGCTAGGTGTGTTTATTGCTACTGAGATGTCATTATTTCCAGTCTATTTCAGTGACTAGACCTAGCAAATAAATGAATATTGATATACACACCCATTCATCTATATTTCTATGAAATATATTTAAATATGTGTGCATATAGATGTGTATATGTATATATAGATCTATGTATATGTGAGCATATATATGTGCACATATATCAAAATATATATGTATATATAAAATATGAGTTCACACCAATACCTCAAATTCCAATCCAATACCACATATTTTCCTCTAGTCTTCCTCTTCTCTATAATTTTACCTCCCTTCTGCAATAGTAGGAAACTTGATTCTCATTTTCCACAATATACTTGTATTTTCTCATGTTGACATTCATGGTACCTGATATGGTTTGGCTCTGTGTCCCCACCCAAATCTCATGTTGAATTGTAATCCTCAATGTTGGAGGAGGGGCCTGGTGGGAGGTCATGATGTTTGGATCATGGGGCAGACTTCCCCCTTGCTGTTCTCATGACAGTGAGTTCTCAAGAGATCTGGTTGTTCAAAAGTGTGTAGCACTTCCCCCTTTGCCCTCTCTCTCCTGCTCTGCCATGTGAAGATGTGCTTGCTTCCCCTTCACGTTCTGCCATGATTGTATGTTTCCTGTGGCTTCCCCAGCCATGCTTCCTGTATAGCCTGCAGAACTGTGCGTCAATTAAAGCACTTTTCTTTATAAATCACCTGGTCTCAGGTAGTTCTTTATAGCAGTGCAAGAACAGACTAATACAGTACCATAACAATGGAGCCTCCTCTTCAACTTGATTCTTGAGTCCTTTTGACATAACCCTGGAGGTTTTTGATAGCTCCCTGCTATCTAGCATGACAAGAGTTCCTAGCTAATCTTGTACTTCCTGCCCTAGGCATAAAAATTAGCCATTTCTTCAAGAAATTCATATGGTTTTCTGTGGGAAATGGTATATTAAGACCACAATCTGGGCACTAGGGATGCTTATTGCTACTGAATTGTTTGTTACTTGTAAGCCACATTAGTGGATGGAGCTAGGGGGAGATCTATATCCATAGAGATATAAATAGAGAATATTTATACTGCTACTTCAAATTCAAGACTACAGAGGTTGGGTTTGGTTTTGGCTTTTGGTTTTATGGGTTGCTTTTTGTTTTGTTTTTTTTGAGACAGGATCTCCCTCTGTTGCCCAGGCTGGAGTACAGAGGTGCAATCATGACTCACTGCTGCCTCAAACTCCCAGGCTCAAGCGATTCTCCCACCTCAGCCTGCCAAGTAGCTGGGACTACAGTTGTGCACCACCATGCCCAGCTAATTTGTGTATTTTCTGTGGAGGCAGGGTTTCACCATGTTGCCCAGGCCGGTCTTGAATTACTGGACTCAAGCAATCTGCCCACCTCAGCCTCCCAAAGTAAGACTGCAGAATTTTAATTTAATATTTTCTATATTACATCTTTATTTCCTTTCTTCCACACTGAGAATACTAGTTCTCAAGAACATAAGGGACAACAGTATTTAAATATCTATTTTCATTTCCTTTATCCCATATCACATACCCAACTGTCTCAAAATAACAATACTAATGATACTATCACCACCAATATAATTATTGAGACGTTTAAAAAAATGTTTGCATATGCCCTTCTCATTCTATCCCCTCCATTCATTCTCTCCATTTTAACAGATGTGCTGTATATTATCTGAGCCTATACTCATTACTCTACCTTCCTCTTTTTAACTCTCTTAATACTACAAAGAATTCCATGTTTAGGCCAGGTGCGGCAGCGCACACCTGTAATCCCAGCACTTTGGGAGGCTGAGACAGGCAGATCACCTGAGGTCAGGAGTTTGAGACCAGCCTGGCCAACATAGTGAAACCCTTCTCTACTAAAAATACAAAAATTAGTGGGGGTGTGCTGGCGGGCACTGTAATCTCAGCTACTTGGGAGCTTGAGGCAGGAGAATTGCTTGAACCCAGGAAGTGGAGGTTGCAGTGAGCCGAGATCACACCATTGCACTCCAGCCTGGGCGACAAGAGTGAAACTCCATCTCAAAAATAAATAAATAAATAAAATCAGAATTCCATGTTTAATGCTTTCCACTGGTTTTTGTTGCTGTTGTTGTTGTTGTTTTGTTTTGTTTTCTGACACAGAGTCTCACTGTATCACCCAGGCTGAAGTACATTGGTGCAATCTTGGCTCACTGCATCTCCACCCCAGGTTCAAGCGATTCTCCTGCCTCAGCCTCCCAAGCAGCTGGGATTACAGGTATGTAGCACAATGCCCGGCTAATTTTTGTATTTTTAATAGAGACAGAGTTTCACCGTGTTGGCTAGGCTGGTCTCAAACTCCTGGCCTCAAGTGATTCACCCGCCTTGGCCTCCCAAAATGTTGGGATTACAAGCATGAGCCACTGTGCCTGGCCCAGTGGTTTTTATTACTGAACCCGTTCTTTAGTGGATTTCCTGGAAGGACTACAATATTCTCTGTGAATGATATTCCCTAAACTTTTGCATATTAATAGCAGTTTATTTCTGGCCTTTATGCTTGAAAATCAGTTTGCTAAATATAAAATTGTTGGCTCACATTTTCTTTCTTAAGATATTTCATTTTCATCTGATGACAGAAATCTAATTTTCTTTCCCTTACAAGTTACTTGCTCTTTTCACCAGGTTGCCCAAGTAGTTTTTAAAATTTTTTGTTTAATTTCCAGTCATTTTACCTGACTACATCTTGGTGCTGTTTGTTTTAGGTCAGTAGTCTCAGTTATGTGGTATTCTCTTCCAAAATGTAATTTATATTTTTTTTATTTCAGTAAAGATTGATTTTTGAATTACAGGTTTTAGAATAGTTCCGTTCTCTTGCCTTGGTTTGGTTCTTAAGAGGACTCATGTTAGCCATATGTTGTATCTTTGTTGTTTCTCTTCAATATCTGCCACTTTTCTCAAATCTTTTCTCTTTCTTCATTTTTAAAAATATTTTTTAAATGTTCCTCCTTTCTACATTCTACTTAAGGCATCATCTGTTGTATTTATTTCTTCTGTGTTCCTTTTGCTTTAGTCTTCATTTTGTATTTATTTTTTATTTTTTATTTTTTGAGACAGAATTTCGCTCTGTCGCCCAGGCTGAAGTGCAGTTGCGTGATCTCTGCTCACCACAACCTCCACCTCCCGGGTTCAAGCAATTCTCCTGCCTCAGCCTCCCAAGTAGGTGGGATTATAGGTGCCTGCCACAGTGCCCGGCTAATTTTTATATTTGTTAGTAGAGATGAGGTTTCACCATGTTGGCCAGGCTGGTCTCAAACTCCTGACCTCAGGTGATCCACCTGTCTCAGCCTCCCAAAGTGCTGGGATTACAGGCATGAGCCACTGTGCTTGGCCTATTTTTTTTCTTTTATTTATAAGTTTCTTTCCTGAGTTCTGTCACCTCATTTCTGAGTTCTCCAAGTTCTTTTTGATGTTGTGTTTTCATATATCATTTTCTTTCTTTTTTTTTTTTTCTGAGATGGAGTCTCATTCTGTTGCCCAGGCTGGAGTGCAGTGGCACGATCTCAGCTTACTGCAACCTCTGCCTCCTGAGTTCAAGCGATTCTCCTGTCTCAGCCTCCCAAGTAGCTGGGATTACAGGCGGGCATCACCACACTCAGCTAATTTTTGAATTTTTACTAGAGATGGGGTTTCACCATGTTGACCAGGCTGGTATCAAACTCCTGGCCTCAAGTGATCCACCCACCTCAGCCTCCCAAAGTGCTGGGATTATAAACGTGAACCACTGCACCTGGCCATATCATTTTCTTAATACATTTCAGTTTATTTTGAAAATAGATGATTATAGTTTTTATCTGTTCTCTGTTCACATCTTATTGGTATGCTTTTATTATTTATAGAAATATAATTCTGCTGCTTATTCTCTTATCATAATTTTGTATGATATTTGGCTTATATATTTTCTGTTATTCATTTTTGTGTGAAATTACTTTTCCTATGCTTTTAAAAAGAGATGTGGTTCAGGGTAGCATTTTGAACTTGAGAGAGCTTCCTCCTCTATTGTTTTCATGTAGTGTTAAAAAATATGGCAGCTTGCTTTCTGAGATTCTTTAGCTCTATTAGCCTTCCTAATTTTTTTTTTTTTTTTTTTTTTTTTTGAGACAGAGTCTCACGCTTTCGCTAGGCTGGAGTGCAGTAGCAGGATCTCGGCTCATTGCAACCTCCACCCTCCCGGGTTCAAGTGATTCTCCTGCCTCAGCCTCCTGAGTAGCTGGGGCTACAGGCATGCACCACCACACCCAGATAATTTTTGTATTTTTAGTAGAAACGGGATTTCACCATGTTAGCCAGATGGTCTCCATCTCTTGACCTCGTGATCCGCCTGCCTTGGCCCCCCAAAGTGCTGGGATTACAAGCGTGAGCCACCGCGCCTGGCCATTAGCCTTCCTAATTTTTATCTGGATCTTCTCTTTTCTTCATCTTTATTTATGTCTGTCCTGATCAATTTTGATTCCATTTCTAGCAGTTTTTCCTCAGTATGAGACCCTGTTCTGGAGGGAAACCCTGGCATGCCAGCTTTAGGATTCACATAGGCCGAGCTGCTCTAGTCCTTTAAGACGTTAAAGCAGTTCCCTTGCATTTAGTCACTATTGGGCAAAAAACCTCCCAGTTTCAGCTGTTGTTCGCAAATTAGTCAAGCTTTCTAATGAATGCCTGCTGGCTAGTTAGAGGAATTCCTATCCTCAGATCTGTTAGCTGTAGCGTTGCTTCCTTCTGCTTCTTTCTGCACAGCTGATGATGCCACACAAGTCTTGCAGCTGCCGATAGTTTGTCCTCACCAATTTGGATTTTGCAGTTAATGGGGATATATCATCACCTGATATTAGTCTGTTTAGGCTAATATAACAAAATACAGACTGTGTGGCTTAAACAACAGAAACTTATTTTCTCCCAGTTCTGGAGGCTGGAGAGTCCAAGATCAAAGTTCAGCAGTGTTCAATTTCTGGTGAGGGCTCTTTTCCTGGCTTGCACATGGCCACCTTCTTGCTCTGTCCTCATACAATCTTTCCTTGATGCCTGTAATGGAAGAAAGAGAGATCTTCCCCCTCTTATAAGGCCACCAGTCCTATTGGATTATGGCCCCACCATCATGACCTCATTTTTTTTTTTTTTTTTTGGGACGGAGTCTCGCTTTGTTGCCCAGGCTGGAGTGCAGTGGCGCAAACTCGGCTCACTGCAAGCTCCACCTCCCGGGTTCACGCCATTCTCCTGCCTCAGCCTCCCAGGTAGCTGGGACTACAGGCACCCGCCATCACGCTCGGCTAAATTTTTTTTGTATTTTTCGGTAGAGACGGGGTTTCACCCTGTTAGCTAGGATGGTCTCAATCTCCTGACCTCATGATCTGCCCACCTCGGCCTCCCAAAGTGCTGGGATTACAGGCATAAGCCACTGCGCCTGGCCAACCTCATTTAATCTTAATAACCTCCTACAAGCCCAATCTCCAAATCACATTTGAAGTTACACTGGGGGTTAAGCCTTCAATATATAAATTTGTGGTGGGTAGGGGGCAATTCAGTCCATAGCACCTAGGTTTTTTTTTTTTTCTCTTTTTTTGAGACAGAGGCTTGCTC
This sequence comes from Homo sapiens, assembly GCF_000001405.40. Taxonomy (NCBI): domain Eukaryota; kingdom Metazoa; phylum Chordata; class Mammalia; order Primates; family Hominidae; genus Homo; species Homo sapiens. The sequence goes on from NW_021160016.1 coordinate 298,750, forward strand.
TGTCACCCAGGCTGGAGTGTAGTGATGCAATCCTGGCTCACTGCAACCTCCACCTCCCGGGTTCAATGATTCTCCTGCCTCAGCGTCCCGAGTAGCTAGGACTACAGGCATGTGCCACCACACCTGACTAATTTTTGTATTTTTTGTAGAAACAAGGTTTCACCATGTTGGCAAGGCTGATCTCAAACTCCTGACCTCAAGTGATCCACCTGCCTCGGGCCCCCAAAGTGCTGGGATTTCAGGCCATAGCACCTAGTTATTTTGTAAACACTGTCCATGGATTTTTTGTTTTGTCACCCAGTTGCTATGCTTTTAATTGTGGATCCAGAAAGATTAAAAAGCTTGGCCGGGCGGAGTGGCTTATGCCTGTAATCCCAGTACTTTGGGAGGCTGAGGCAGGAGGATCACTTGAGCCCAGAAGTTTGAGACCAACCCAGGCAATGCAGTGAGATTCCATCTCTACAAAAAATTTAAAAATTAGCCAAGCATGGTGGCATGTGCCTGTAGTCCCAGCTGCTTGGGAGGCTGAGGTGAGAGGATTGGTTAAACCTGAGAGGTCAAGGCTGCAGTGGGCCATGATTGTGCCACTGCACTGCAGCCTGGGCAACAGAGCAAGACCCTGTTCTCAAGAGAAAAAACTATGTCACTTAATATGCTAAGTGAAATAAGCCAGTCACAAAGGACAAATACTGTATGATTCCACTAATGTGAGGTACCTAGAGTAGTTAAAATCATGGAGACAGAAAGTAAAATGATTGTCGTCCAGGACTGGGGTTAAGAGGGAATGAGGAATTATTTTTTGTTCAGTGGAACAGAGTTTCAGTTTCGGAAGATGGAAAAAGTTCTGGAGATAGACATGGCGATGGTTGCACAACAATGTGAATGTGCTAAATATCACTGAATTGTACACTTAGAATGGCTACAATGGTCATTTTTGGTTATGTGTATTTTACTCTAATAAAAAAGGAAAAATAGAAACACATACAACAGCAGTCCCCAACCTTTTCAGCACCAGGGACTAGTTTTATGGAAGATAATTTTTCCACAGACCAGGGTAGGGAGATGGTTTCAGGATGATTCAAGTGCCTCACATTTATTGTGCACTTGATTTCTGTTATTATTACATTGTAATATAAAATGAAGTAATTATACAACTCACCATAATGTAGAGTCAGTGGGAGCCCTGAGCTAGTTTTCCTGCAAATAGATGGTCCCGTCTGGGGGTGATGAGAGACAATGACAGATCATCAGGCATTAGATTCTCATAAGGAGCAACCTAGATCCCTTGCATGTGCAGTTCACAGTAGGGTTTATGCTCCTGTAAGAACCTAATGCTGCCACTGATCTGACAGGAGGCAGAGCTCAGGCAGTAATACGAGTAGTGGGGAGCAGCTGTAAATACAGATGACGCCTCGCTCACGCCGCTCACCTCCTGCTGTGCAGCCTGGTTCCTAAAAGGCTTCAACCCCAACCCCCTGGGGTTGAGGACCCCTGACATAGAAGACCCCAAAAAAGGACCCCATCAAAATTTGAATGATTCCACCCATCAATCACTGTGCTGGGATTCCACCAACCCTTCACTTGACTGGAGAATAAAGAATAAAGACTATGAGTCCACTAAAATGATTGTGAAATATAAAGATAGGTCTTACCACATCTGTAAGTCTTTTTCTTCTCCTGTAGCCTGAAATAAAAATAGACAAAGAGACTGGGCGCGGTGGCTCATGCCTGTAATCCTAGCACTTTAGGAGGCCAAGGCGGGCAGATCACGAGGTCAGGAGTTGCAGACCAGCCTGACCAACACGGTGAAACCGTTAAGTTAGGAAAGAACCTAACTTCTTGATTTTGTATTCTCTACTGAAAATACAAAAATTAGCCAGGTGTGGTGGCACACACCTGTAATCCCAGCTACTCAGGAGGCTGAGGCAGGAGAATTGCTTGAACCTGGAAGGCGGAGGTTGTAGTGAGCTGAGATCATGCCGCTGCACTCCAGCCTGGGTGACAGAGCGAGACTCCATCTCAAAAAAAAAAAAAAAAAAAAAAGGACAAAAAAGAAATGTCTACCTTTATGGCTGAAGTTTTATTTCACAAATATTCAAGTGCCTATTATATGCAAGATATTATGTCAGGAGCTGAGGAAAATGTGAGAATGAAGCATATACAAGAAGCTCAGAATCCTGAAGGGGATATGTACATGCATAAGTTTTTCCATGAATAATTTTAATACAAGAGAAAATATGAAGTATGCCCTGTTCTGTGCCCCTAAGGTGCTCTGTGATCACAGCTCACTGCAGCCTCAACCTCCTGGGCTCAAATGATCCTTCCACCTCGGTCTCCCGAGTAGCTGGGACTACAGGCACATGTCATCACGCCCGGCTAATTTTTTTATTTTTAGTAGAGATGGGGTTTCACAATGTTGCCCAGGGTGGTTTTGAATTCCTGAGCTCAGGCAATCTGCCCACCTCGGCCTCCCAAAGTGCTAGGATTACAGGCGTGAGCCACTGTGCCCGGCCTGATGCAAAGTTGTTTGTTGTTGTTGTTGTTATTGTTTTTGTGGTTTGAGACAGGGTCTCACTTTGTCACCCAGGCTGGAGTGGAGTGACATGATTTCGGCTTACTGCAACCTCGACCTCCTATGTTCAAGCTATCCTCCTCCCTCAGCCCCACAAATGGTTGGGACTATAGGCGCACACTACCATGCTTGGCTAGTATTTGCATTTTTTGTGGAGACGGGGTGTCACCATGTTGCCCAGGCTGGTCTTGAACTTCTGAGCTCAAGTGATCCACCTGCCTCGGCTTCCCAAAATGCTAGGATTACAGGTGTGAGCCACTGTACCAGGCCTCAAAGTTCTTTTTCATCTTTAGCATCTCTTGCTGTGAGCCTCATGACCTGCCTAGCTGCCCTTCTGATCTTGTAGAAGAGTCTATGAAGCAGACTTGAATCTTACATGAACAGATACTTCACCAAAAAGGATATCTAAATGTTCATATGGAAATTTACTCATGCTCACTAGTCATAAGAAATATGTAAATTAAAACAAAAATACTACTATACACCCATCAGAATGACTACAATTAAAAAGATCAATAATACCAAGTGTTGGCAAGGATGTGAAGAAACTAGTACTCTCGTGGTTCTGGTAGGAGTGTAAATTAGTACAGCTACTTGAGACGTTTGGCAATATGCACTGAAGCTGAATTTACACTTATCCTATATCCCAGCAATTCTATTCCTAAGTATGTAGATAACAGAAATGCACACGTGCTCACAAAAGACATGTGCAAGAATATTCATTGCAGCACCATTCCTGATAGCGCTAAATGGGAAATAACACAAATATTCACCAATAGTAGAATGAATGAATACATTGTGTTATATTCAAACTATGGTGCACTATAAAGTAATGAGAGTTATGGAGCCACCCCTATTCACAATAACCTGGAAGAATCCCATTAATATAATGTTGAATGAAAGAAGCTAGACACAAAAGGCTATAGATGGGGTCAGGCACCATAGCTCACACCTGTAATCCTAACACTTTGGGAGGCCGAGGTGGGTGGATCGCTTGAGGTCAGGAGTTGGAGACCAGCCTGGCCAACATGGTGAAACCCCATCTCTATTAAAAATACAAAAAAATTAGCCAGGCATGGTGGCGGGTGCCTATAATCCCAGCTAATCTGGTGGCTGAGGCAGGAGAATCACTGGAACCCAGGAGGCGGAGGTTGCAGTGAGCCGAGATCACGCCACTGCACTCCAGCCTGGGCAACAGAGTGAGACTCTGTCTCAAAAAACAAACAAACAAAACAAAGCAACAAAACACATGGAAAGCCAAATATAATCACAAGCCTGCCTGGAGAGCTAGAATCAGAGCACCACAATGGGAGAGGGGGTCAAGGGAGAATAAGAGTGTGCTTTCAAGACCCTCACAGTAAAGATGGATCTGCCGCTAGAATTGCACAGGATGTGACTTTGGCCCAGGGCTCCCTCTCCCCCAGCAGTGTTCAGATGAGCATCACCAGTGTCACCTCAGGGACTGTCCTGGGTTCAGCCTCTCCAGTGGTAACTCATCCCCTTTCTTGTCTCTTACTTCAGCTATGCTGGAGGACATTTGTTGGTTGTCTTATCCATTTTCCCACATCACTCCCAGAGATCCCTGGCCTCTTTTCAACAGACCATACTTTCCCTTTGGGGATCAATCCATGTAGTTCCTGGGATGTGGCTTCACATAAGCCAAGCCATTCAGCACAGTCCATCCTCTGAGCCCAGTGATGGGTTCAGCATGTTAGCCACAAATGCTAGGATGCTGAAACTATATTTTTCACTGGGCATGAATGAGAAAGCACATAGCCATGGGGGCTTTCTGAGGACTGTAAGGGGAGCCAGCCTCAGAGTATTCTCACATGGACTAAGGCAGAAGGGAGGGCTGGAAAGAACCTAACTTCTTGATGATTTTGGTAAACTGCTGGATCAAGTAACAACAACCCCTCTGAACTTTTCAGTTTCTTAAGCCAAGAAATTACTTCTTGTGTATAAACCAGTTTGTAGTGGTCTGGCAGACCTAGTTGACTATGCAATATCTATTCTTATTTATTTATTTATTTATTTATTTTTGAGACAGGATTTTGCTCTGTCACCCAGGCTGGAGTGCAGTGGTGTAATCACAGCTCACTGCAGCCTTGACCTCCTGGGCTCAAGTCATCCTCCCACCTCAGCCTCTCAAGTAGCTGGAACCACAGGTGCACACCACCATGCCCAACTAATTTTTTTTTTTTAATTTTCTGTAGTAGGCAAGGCACAGTGGCTCATGCCTATAATCCCAGCACTTTGGGAGGCCAAGGCAGAAGGATCACTTGACCCCCAGGAGTTTGAGCCCACCCTGGGCAACATATCAAGACCCCATCTCTGTAATTAATTAATAAATATATGTTTTGCAGTGATGGCGTCTCAATATGTTGCCCAGGCTGGTCTCAACCTCCTGGGCTCAAGAGATCCTCCTACATCAGCCTCCCAAAGTGCTGGAATGACAGATGTGAGTCACCACACTGCCTGGCCTATTCTCTCCTTCTCACAGAACCCCCATTTTATTTAGAGTTTTTAGATATTTATCTCCCCACATTCTTCCAGAGCTAAGGATGTCAATGTGGCCAATAAGGTACAAGTGAAAGTCACTGGGTGGTATTTTTGGAAAAGCAATTGATTACCTGATTCAAAAAGAAGAAGAAGCCAGTCTCAACTGGCACATGCATTCTGCCTTCCCCTACCCACTTCTTCCTACCTGCAAACCAGAAGAGTTACAGCCACCTTGTGATCATGAAGCCAAAAGACACACACTAAGGATGGCTGAAGAAGATAAAAAGAGCCAGATTCCTTGAGCTGCTGCGAGAGTCCTGGACTGCCTATCCCAGTCTCCTCGTAATGTAAAAAAAGTAAACCCCTTTCTTGTTAAGCCTTTGCTTTGCTGGGTTTGTTAAGTGCAGCCAAGCGCATTCCTATCAAATAGAGAATTAGGTCCACTGAAGTGGGGTGCTGCACATAATATCATCTGAAACGTGGACTTCGTTGAGTGGTAGAGACGGAGCTTTGGGCAGTGGGGGCACAGATACTGCAGACGGGAATGCTGACAACCCTGCTATGCTGTGGGAAAACATTTGGTCGATCTGCTATTTTATGGGAGACACCCCACATACCAGCCAAGTCTGTAGTGATAGGGTAAATGGCTAGAATAATTCAGAATGTTGGCACATGCTGGTGACTTCATTCCACTTTCGATGAATTCTTGAAGGAGACCAGTGAACTTGAATTATCCAGGCTGAAGGAAAAAAGGAAGGCAGTGCTACTTCACTAAGTAGTACTTCTGCCTATGGCCTGCAAATCTACTTTGAAGGAGCATTTCATAATTTGGAGAATTGCAGGGCTGAAAAAGACAATTGCTCTGGGCCAGGCATAGTGGCTCATGCCTGTATTCCTAGCACTTTGGGAGGCTAAGGTGGGCAGATCGCTTGAGCCCAGGAGTTTGAGACCAACCTGGGCAACATAGCAAGACCGCGTCTCTACAAAACATACAAAAACTTAGCCTGGTGTGGTGGCATGTGCCTGTAGTCTTAACTACTTGGGAGGCTGAGGCAAGAAGATCACCTGAGCCTAGGAAGGTTGAGGCTGCAGTGAGCCGTGATCACACCACTGCACTCTAGCCGGGGCAACAGAGCCAAACAAGACCCTGTTTCAAAAAAAAAAAAAAAAAAGATAATTGCTCTTTTCTCCATATAGGAGTAGTGGCTGCCAAGCAATATGGTAGAAGAAGGTAAGACTGGTTGGTATCTTGGGCCTTTCCTAAGCACCTTCCTCTAAGAATTCATTCAGCAGAGGAAGTGGAGTCCGCAAAGTGGTTTCTTCCCACTAGAATCTTTTGTTTCAAATTGTCTCAAGTCAATAATCATTAAGTTAAAGGCTAAAGGGACAGGCAGGACACAAAGGCCAGTAGCCAACAAAGGAAGGTTTTCAGGTCTAAAAGACTATGGCCATATAGGAGATTTGGCTATGGCGACTCAAACGTAGGATCAACCAGAGGCAAATACACTGAGAGCCTACAACAATTTTTAAGGAATCATATCACCAAAAATGAAAATTTAAAAACCTGGCCAGCAAAAGCGTATAATTCTTCAATCCCAGGTTCCTAAACTCACACAACAGAAAGCATATTCTCCCCAAAGTTCACTTCAGATATGGTTAAGAGGATAATGAACAAGAAGCCGTCTCAAAAGAAGATGGAACTTGGACCACAGAGTACAATAGAGAAGGGAATTCCTCCTAGAGAATAGGTTGGCTGAACAAGGAAATTATTCCCTGCCTGGAAGGGAGTCCTGGCCACTCCTGTCTAGCAGGATCTGACATTTGTTATAGATCCAATATTTGCAATAGCTTTGACATGCTTAAAACAGAGAGATTCTTTCCTTTATTCACATTCTTCCTTGTCCTACATTGAAGTTTTATTCTGTTCCTTCTCCATTATTGTATATGAGACATGCTGGGGGAAGATAACTTGCCTTTTAGCTTACAGATTACTGGACTGTGAAGATTCACATCAAGACTAAATGGAGAAAGCTGTATATCAGCTGCAGATTCTGGGTTTTGAGATGGATGTAGGCTCTGGGTGAGACTTTGGCACTGTCTACCTTAGAAAGGGAGTATATTCTGTGCATGTGAGGATGGATAGCCAAGGGTGGGCTATGGCAGTCACTGCTTTCCTTCTACCCAATGACTGGTCTCCTTTTCTTCTTGACTAGTACAACCCTGAATTTGATGGAGGAAGTAATGTGTATTTGTCCATTTTTCATGCTGCTGATAAAGACATACCCGAGACTGGGCAATTTACAAATGAAAGAGGTTTATTGGACTTACAATTCTACGTGGCTGGGGACACCTCACCAACATGGCAGAAGGTGAAAGGCACGTCTCACGTGGCAGCAGACAAGAGAAGGGAATGAGAGCCAAGCGAAACAGGTTTCCCCTTATCAAACCATCAGATCTCGTGAGACTTACTCACTACCACAAGAACAGTATGGGGGAACCACCCCCATGATTCAATTATCCCCCACTGGGTCCCTCCCACAACATGTGGGAATTTTGGGAGTACAATTCAAGATGAGATTTGGGTGGGGACACAGCCACACCATATCACAATGTGTCCAGCTAAAACATTACAATTCCCTGCCTCCCTTGCAACTGGGGATGACCTCGACCTCTCTGGCCAGTAAAACGCTGCCAAGGTTATCTGGAAAAGCTTCGTCTTCCAGTTGTAGGTGCTACTCCATCTCTCCTTTGCACCCCTTTGCCAGAACCAGATGGAAACTGGAATTTTCAGAAAAGACTGTTGAGCATCAGAAATGGTTAATATGTGCCTAACCTTGTTTAAACAAAGTGAGTGAAGTAAGGACAAATTTATAAATATGTGAAAAGACTACTTTTTCCTCTTAGTTTCTTTAAAATGCATGCAGCCGTTTAAAAATAAGTAGAAGCTTTCTTTTTTTATGCTCTGGAACATTTTAAGTAGCTGTGAAGGTTTGGTAAATTCTCCTGTGAATCCATCTGGGCCTTGTGACTTGTTAAAGAGCAATTCGTTAATTTGTTTAAATGTTCTGTGTTTACCAGGGTCAATTTGGGTAAGTAATATTTTTGTAGAAAATTATTTATTTAATCTAGGTTTTCAAAGGCATTTGTCTAGGCTTGAGAAAAGTAGTATCTTAGGATTTGTAAATTGTCTTCTGTTTCAGTGGTTGTCCTCTTTGTCATTTCTTATCTTGCACACTGATGCCTTTTTCCTTTCCTTTTTTAAAAAAAAAATTATGAATACATAATAGTCATAAATATTTATGGAACGCATGTGATATTTTCATAAAAGCATACAATATGTAATGTTCAAATCTGGGTAACTGGGATATCCTTCACCTCAAATACCATCTCTTTGTGTTGGGAACATATCCTTTTGTTCTTGATTAGGTTAGCTAGCAGTTCGTCTACTTGACTGATTTGTTTTCTCTAAGAAACAGCAGTTCAGTTAATTTATGTTTTTTATATTTTTTCTTTTTTTTGAAACAATCCATTTTTTATTCAAATAGAATAATATTTAACAATCAAGGTCATATGACTTAAAATCTTCTGAGCTGGGTTTAGGATTCAGATAGATAGTTTATTGTCAGTTGACATTAAAACAATGTTCTTGGCCAGGCACAGTGGCTCATGCCTGTAATTCCAGCACTTTGGGAGGCTGAGGCAGGTCAATCACCTGATGTCAGGAGTTCGAGACCAGCCTGGCCATCATAGCGAAACCCCGTCTCTACTAAAAATGCAAAAATTAGCTGGGCATGGTGGCGGGCATCTGTAATCCCAGCTACTTAGGAGGCTGAGGCAAGAGACTCGCTTGAACCCGGAAGGCAGAGGTTGCAGTGAGCTGAGATTGCACCACTGCACTCCAGCCTGCACAAGAGCAAAACTCCGTCTCGAAAAAAAAAAAAAAGAAAAAAAGAAAAAAAATTATTTGCATCAAAGTTATACAAACAGGTTTTTTTTAGTTTTAAAATCAAATTTATGGCCAGACACAGTGGCTCACACCTGTAATCCTGGCACTTTGGGAGGTCAAGGTAGGTGGATCACCTGAGGTCAGGAGTTCGAGACCAGGCTGGCAACATGGTGAAACCTCATCTCTATTAAAAATACAAAAATTAGCTAGGCGTAGTGGCACACACCTGTAGTCCCAGCTCCTGAGGAGGCTGAGGCACAAGAATCACACTTAAGCCCAGGCAGAGGAGGTTGCAGTAAGCTGAGATCATGATACTGCACTCCAGCCTGGGTGACAGAGTAAGACCCTTTCTCAAAAAAAAAAAAAAAAAAAAAACTTTATTTAGGCCTAATTTCCATGCAATAAAATTATTTTAACTGTACAATATGATGACTTTTGACATATATACACAATAGTATAAGTACTACCACAATCAAGATTCAATTATAACTCATGCCTCTTTGTCAGCACTTTTCATCCCCAATTTCAGCAGCTGGTAACTTTAAGGTTTTGCCTTTTCCAGAATGTCACATAAATGGAATCATACTGTGTCCGGAATTGGTGGGTTCTTGGTCTCACTGACTTCAAGAATGACGCCATGGGCCCTCGCGGTGAGTGTTACAGCTCTTAAGGTGGCGCGTCTGGAGTTTGTTCCTTCTGATGTTCGGATGTGTTCGGAGTTTCTTCCTTCTGGTGGGTTCGTGGTCTCGCTGGCTCAGGAGTGAAGCTGCAGACTTTCGCGGTGAGTGTTACAGCTCTTAAGGCAGCACGTCTGGAGTTGTTTGTTCCTCCCGGTGGGCTCATGGTCTCGCTGGCTTCAAGAGTGAAGCTGCAGACCTTTGCTGTGAGTGTTACAGTTTATAAAAGCAGCGTGGACCCAAAGAGTGAGCAGTAGCAAGATTTATCGCAAAGAGCGAAAGAACAAAGCTTCCACAGTGTGGAAGGGGACCCGAGCGGGTTGCCACTGCTAGCTCGGGCAGCCTGCTTTTATTCTCTTATCTGGCCCCACCCACATCCTGCTGATTGGTAGAGCCAAGTGGTCTGTTTTGACAGGGCGCTGATTGGTGCATTTACAATCCCTGAGCTAGACACAAAGGTTCTCCATGGCCCCATCAGATTAGTTAGACACAGAGTATCGACACAAAGGTTCTCCAAGGCCCCACCAGAGCAGCTAGATACAGAGTGTCGATTGGTGCACTCACAAACCCTAAGCTAGACATAAATGTTCTCCAAGGCCCCACCAGAGTAGCTAGATACAGAGTGTCAACTGGTGCACTCACAAACCCTGAGCTAGACACAGGGTGCTGATTGGTGTGTTTACAAACCTTGAGGTAGATACAGAGTGCCGATTGGTGTATTTACAATCCCTGAGCTAGACATAAAGGTTCTCCAAGGCCCCACCAGAGTAGCCAGATACAGAGTGTCGATTGGTGCATTCACAAACCCTGAGCTAGACACAGGGTGCTGATTGGAGTGTTTACAAACCTTGAGCTAGATACAGAGTGCCGATTGGTGTGTTTACAATCACTGAGCTAGACATAAAGGTTCTCCAAGGCCCCACCAGAGCAGTTAGATAGAGTGTGGATTGGTGCACTCACAAACCCTGAGCTAGACACAGGGTGCTGATAGGTGTGTTTACAAACCTTGAGCTAGATACAGAGTGCCGATTGGTGTATTTACAATCCCTGAGCTAGACATAAAAGTCCTCCAAGGCCCCACCAGACTCAGGAGCTCAGCTGGCTTCACCCAGTGAATCCCACACCTGCGCTGCAGGTGGAGCTGCCTGCCAGTCCCAGTGCCATACGCCCGCACTCCTCAGCCCTTGGGTGGTGGATGGGACTGGGCGCCGTGGAGCAGGGGGCGGCGCTCATCAGGGAGGCTCAGGCTGCACAGGAACCCACGGAGTGGGTGGGAGGCTCAGGCATGGGGGGCTGCAGGTCCCAAGCCCTGCCCGGCGGGAAGGCAGCTAAGCCTCCGTGAGAAATTGAGCGCAGCGCCGGTGGGCTGGCACTGCTGGGGGACCCAGTACACCCTCCGCAGCTGCTGGCCCGGGTGCTAAGTCCCTCATTGCCCGGGGCCAGCAGGGCTGGCCGACTGCTCCGAGTGCGGGGCCGCCAAGCCCACGCCCACCCGGAACTCCAGCTGGCCCGCAAGCGCCTCACGCAGCCCCGGTTCCCGCTCGCGCCTCTCCCTCCACACCTCCCTGCAAGCTGAGGGAGTGGGCTCCAGCCTTGGCCAGCCCAGAAAGGGGCTCCCACAGTGCAGTGGTGGGCTGAAGGGCTCCTCAAGTGCCGCCAAACTGGGAGCCCAGGCAGAGGAGGTGCCGAGAGCAAGCGAGGGCTCTGAGGACTGCCAGCACGCTGTCACCTCTCAATACAGTATGTAGCCCTTTGAGTCTGTTTTCTCTCACTCAGCATAACGATTATGATATTTGTCCATGTTGATGTGGGCATCAATTTATAAAAACAATTTTAATGCAAACATTCAATAGGGCTTCTTTCCCATTTTCCCAAGATTTCATCTCTCTCTCTGCTATGGACACAGATGGCTTCACTCCATCCTGTATTCTTCGGACCATGATAAAATTCCAGACTCTCGGTAGTTTTTGCGTTCCAAGAAGTAGAGCCTAGAGTGGTGGCCTATAATTACAGTTACTCAGGAGGCTGAGGCAGGAGGATCCTTTGAGTCCAGCAGTTTGAGGCCAGCCTGGACACCACAGCAAGACCACCAATAAATAAATAAATAAATGGAACATGTTTCCCTGTCATGGTCATTTTCATCCATTCCTCTGGTAGAAGCATCAGATTCCTTCAAGCAAGGGTTTATGTTGGGGTCTCTCAATCTCTGCGTTAGCACAGGCATCCAGTCTTCTTATGGAGGGGGACGGGGAGGTGGAATGGAGAAACGAGAGAGGCGAATCAGAGACCTCACTGCCTTCTGCCCATTGGTGCTGCCCGTGGACGGCTGGCACAGGGGAGCACCCCATGCTTCTGCCTTCAATGGTGCGGGGAGGGGCAGAGGACAAGGAAACGCAGGAAACTAGGAGTGGGGCAGGCAGACATGCTTCAAAGGCTGGAGCCAAGGAGGGTGCAGGGAGAGTTGGGAGTTCCTGGACCAGGCAGGGGTCACCTCCTCACCACAGCCAGAATAGCTCTACCAGTGCCCATGCCATCTCCAGCTCCAAACACCGTTTTTTCTGTTTCCTAATTCATTAATTTCTTTCTTTTTTTTTGGAGATGGAGTCTCACTCTGTTGCCCAGCCTGTAGTACAGTGGAACAATCTCAGCTCACTGCAACCTCTGCCTCCCAGGTTCAAGTGATTCTCCTGCCTCAGCCTCCTGAGTAGCTGGGATTACAGGTACGCGCCACCATGTGCCTGGCTAATTTTTGTATTTTTAGTAGAGACAGGGTTTCGCCATGTTGCCCAGGCTGGTCTCGAACTCCTAAGCTAAAAGTGATCACCTGCCTCAGCCTCTCAAAGTGCTGGGATTACAGGCGTGAGCTACTGCCCCCGGCCCTCACTTATTAATTTCTATTTATGTCTATATTCATTCCTACCTTCTACTTTCTCTTGGTTTACTTTGCTTTTTTCCTTTTTAGTTGATGTTTACTTTTACTGATATGTGTATTTGATGTAATACATTTCCTAACAATGCTTTTGCAGTACCTCATAAATTCAGATAAGCTGTGTTTTCATTATTGTTATTTTATAAAATTCTGCAATTTTGGTTTGTATTACCCTGTTGACTCAAGAGTTGCTCGATCGAGTTCTTTAAAATTTCTAGGCTGGGCATGGTGGCTCACACCTGTAATCCCAGCACTTTGGGAGGCCAAGGGGGGCAGATCACTTGAGGTCAGGAATTCAAGACCAGCCTGGCCAACATGGTGAAACCTCGTCTCTACTAAAAATACAAAAATTAGCTGGACGTGGTGGCAGGCACCTGTAATCCCAGCTACTTGGGAGGCTGAAGCACGAGAATTGCTTGAACTCGGGAGGCAGAGGTTGCAGTGAGCCAAGATCGCGCCACTGCACTCCATCCAGCCTGAGAGACAGAACGAGACTCCATCTCGGAAAAAAAAAAAAAAATTCTAGTTCGAAAAGTCTTTTTACTTTTAATTTTGTTAATTTGTCATTGTATTGCATTTTGTGATCAGAGAATGTTGTTTCTGCTATTGCTAGTTCACGAATGTTTCTTTCAATTACTCAGTAGACAGTTCTCTGATCCACCAATTCTCAGGATACGGTCCTCTCCTTCTGGGGCTAATTCTAGCCAATGCTATCTGTGTGCTGCCACCTCCAGGACCTGGCTGCACTCTGCTGTCTTCCACACAACCCTCCTGACTTCCCGTTCAGAAGTGAGCTCTAGACCTAGCTCTGCTGGTTTCAGATATTTATCTCCCCATTTATATGTAAATTGAAGTTTGAGGTATGCCCTGTCTCCTAGTGATGCTGTGAGGGATGGGGTGATTTATTTAAGTTGCTTTCATTGTCAATCTGTATGGTTTGTGAAGGACTGTGAAGGGATTTTAGGCATCTGCCATTATTCCACGAGAATCAGGAAGCTTTGTGCTTTCTTTTTATTGTATCTTTGCTGCTTTTTCTTCATTCCTGCCTCCCATTGGCTTAATCAAATTTTCTTTTTTGCCCTTCCCTTCCCATCCACATTGAAGTCATAGTTCCATTTCGGTTCTCTCAGTGGTATCCCTTAAAAGCACAGCATCCACATTTAGCTTAGCAAACTCTAAAGTTAATCAGTATCACCACCTCCCTCCCAAACAGTATGAAGATCTTAGAATGCTCCAATTCCCAGCCAGGCATGGTGGCCCATGCCTGTAATCCCAGCTCATTGGGAGGCTGAGACAGGAGGACCTCTTGAGGCCAGGAGGACCCCTTGAGACCAGCCTGGGCAACATAGCAAGACCTTGTCTCTACAAAAAATAAAAATATTTAGCTGGGTGTGGTGGCACGCATCTGTAATGTCAGCTACTCGGGAGGCTGAGGTGAGAGGATGGCTTGAGCCCAGGAATTCAAGGCTGCAGTGAGCTATGATAGTGTCACTACACCTCAGCCTGGAATCCTGTCTCTTACTAAAAAAAAAAAAAAAATTGCTTTTTTTTTTTGAGATGGAGTCTTGCTCTGTCGCCCAGGCTGGAGTGCAGTGGCATGATCTCGGCTCACTACAACCTCTGCCTCCCGGGTTCAAGCGATTCTCCTGCTTCAGCCTCCCAAGTAGCTGGGACTACAGGCATGTGCCACCATGCCTGGCTAATTTTTTTTTTTTTTTTTTTTAGAGACAGGGTTTCACCATGTTGGCCAGGCTGGTCTCCAACTCCTGACCTCAGGTGATCCACCCACCTCAGCCTCTAAAAGTGCTGGGATTACAGGCGTGAGCCACTGCACCTGGCCAAAAAGAATGCTTTGACTCTCATCATCTCCCTCTCACCGTATTATTAATTCAACAAACATTTGTGAGTGCCTACCACATGCCAAGTTGATACAGTAATGAAGAAAAGAAGAGGAAAGGGAGGGAATGGGAGAGAATCTCTGTGCTAATGGATTACATTTTGGTGGGAGAGATAAACAAGATGCAAAATTAAAATCTGTAGTGTGGGCCAGCAGTGGTGGCTCACATTTGTAATCCAACACTTTGGGAGGGCAAGGCGGGTGGATCATTTGAGGTAAGAAGTTCAAGACCAGCCTGGTCAACATGGTGAAACCCTGTCTCTACTAAAAATACAAAAATTAGCTGGGCGTGTTGGTACATGCCTGTAATCCCAGCTATCCAGGAGGCTGTGGCAGGAGGATCACTTGAACCTGGGAGGCGGAGGTTGCAGTGAGCCAAGATCACGCCATTGCACTCTAGCCTGGGTGACAGAGCAAGGCTTTGTCTCAAAAAAAAAAAATTTTTTTTAGTAGGTTGCACAGTGAAAAGTACTAAGGTGCAAAACACTAAAGCAGGGTAGGAGAATATGAAGTGATGTGGCCACGAGAAGCCTCACTAGAAAAGTAAATTTTTGTTGTGTTTTGGAGACGGGGTCTCACTCTGTCACCCAGACTGGAATGTAGTGGTGCTATCACAGCTCACACAGCCTCAACTTCCCCACCTCAGCTTCCCAATTAGCTGGAATTACAGGCACATGCCCCACACTGGGCTAATTTTTCTATTTTTTAGAGATGAAGATTTCCCCATGTTGCCCAGTTGCCCAGGCTGGCCTCAAACTCCTTGGGCTCAAATGATTTGCCCACCTCAGCCTCACTGGGATTACTGGCATGAACCACTGTGCCTGGCCTGAATGTTTTCTTTTCTTCGAGACCGAGTCTTACTGTTGCCCAGGTTAGAGTGCAATGGCACAGTCTCAGCTCACTGCAACCTCCGCCTCCTGGGTTCAGTTGACTTTCCTGCCTCAGCCCCCCGGAGAAGCTGGGATTACAGGTGCCCGCCACCACACCCAGCTAATTTTGTATTTTTAGTAGAGATGGGTTTCACCATGTTGGCCAGGCCAGCCTCAAACTCCTGACCTCAGGTGATCCACCCGCATCGGCTTCTCAAAGTGCTGGGATTACAGGCATGAGCCACTGCGCCCAGCTGAATTTTGTTTGTTTGTTTGTTTGTTTATTTTGAGATGGAGTCTCGCTCTGTTACCCAGGATGGAGTGTAGTGACGCGATCTTGGCTCACTCCAACCTCTGCTTCCCAGGTTTAAGGGATTCTCATGCCTCAGCCTCCTGAGTAGCTGGATCTACAGGCACATGCCACCACGCCCAGCTAGGTTTTTTTGGTAGAGACGGGGTTTCACCCTGTTGGCCAGGCTGGTCTCAAACTCCTGCCCTCAAGTGATCCGCCTACCTTGGCCTCCCAAAGTGCTGGGATTATAGGTGTGAGCCACCGCACCAGGCTTATTTTTTATTTTTATTTTTTTTAGAAACAGGGTCTTACTCTGTCATCTAGGCTGGAGTGTAGTGGCATGATCATAGCTCACTGCAACCTCAAACTCCTGAGCTCAAGGTATCCTCTGTCTCAGCCTCCCAAGTAGCTGAGACTACAGGAATGTGCCACCAAGCTGGCTATTTATTTTATTTTCTGTAGAACCAAAAAAGGTCTCACTATGTTCCCTAGGCTGGTCTCGAACTCGTGGCCTCAAGCAATCCTCCCACCTCAGCCTCCCAAGCACTGGGATTACAGGTATGCTCCACCTTGCCTGGCTGAAAGGCAACTTTTGAATTAAGACATGAAGGAAATGAGAGCTAGCCATGTAGATATCTTGGAGAAGAACATTCTAGGCAAAGAGAATAGCAAGTACCAAAGACTTAAAGCACTTTTTGACATGTTTAAGGAACAGCAAGGAGCCCTATGAGGCTACAGTGAAGAGAAGGAGGAGAAGAGTGATAAGATTTTTTTTTTTTTTTTTTTTTGAGCCAGAGTCTCGCTCTGTCGCCAGGCTGGAGTGCAGTAGCGAGATCTCAGCTCACTGCAACCTCCGCCTCACGGGTTCAAGTGGTTCTTGTGCCTCAGCCTCTTGAGTAGCTGGGACTACGGGCACATACCACCATGCCCAGCTAGTTTTTGTATTTTTGGTAGAGATGGGATTTTGCCATGTTGGCCAGGCTGGTCTCGAATTCCTGACCTCAAGTGATCCGCCCGCCTCAGCCTCCCAAATTCCTGGAATTACAGGTGTGTGCCACCATGCCAGCTAATTTTTGTATTTTTATTAGAGGCAGGGT
Source organism: Homo sapiens (assembly GCF_000001405.40). Lineage (NCBI taxonomy): Eukaryota > Metazoa > Chordata > Mammalia > Primates > Hominidae > Homo > Homo sapiens. Next base: position 315,528 of record NW_021160016.1, read on the forward strand.
TTTGCCATGTTGGACAGGCTGATCTCAAACTCCTGACCTCAAGTGATCTGCCCACCTTGGCCTCCCAAAATGCTGGGATTATAGGCGTGAACCACCACACCCAGCCAGAAGAGTGATAGGATTTTGAGGTCACAAACCTAATATGGAGACCAAAGTAGAATCGTGTGGTCCATATTAAGGATTTTGGTCTTTATTATGAGATAGAGACCCACTGAAGAGTGCTAAGGGACATGGTTTGGCATATGCTGTATCAGGATCATTCTGGTTGCTGTGTCAAGAACAAAATGACCGGGCACAGTGGTTCACGCCTGTAATCCCAGCACTTTGGGAGGCCGAGGTGGGCGGATCACCTGAGGTCGGGAGTTCGAGACTAGCCTGACCAACATGGAGAAACCCCATCTCTAGTAAAAATACAAAAATTAGCCGGGCATGGGTGGTGCATGCCTGTAATCCCAGCTACTTGGGAGGCTGAGGCAGGAGGATCGCTTGAACCTGAGAGGCGGAGGTTGCAGTGAGCCAAGATCGTGCCATTGCACTCCAGCCTGGGCAACAAGAGTGAGACTCCATCTCAGAAAAAAAAAAAAAAAAGAACAATGCTGGAGAGAAAGCCAGCTAGGAAGTTACACTAATCCATGTGAGAGATGATGGTGACCTGCCCAGCATTGGGAAGTAGGAAGGCATGGGAAGTGCTTGAATGCTGAGTGTGTTTTGCAGGCAGAGCTGACAGAATTTTCTGACTGACCAATGGGGTGTGAGAAGTGAGAGGCCAAGGAGGACACCCAGTATTTTGAGCAACTGGAAGAACAGAGTTGCCATTAACTTCTTGTTGACTAGAATTTAATCACATGGCATAGGAGGCAGAATTCTAAGAATTCTTCCTATGATCCTTGCCTTGGCATAATCCCTTTCTTCCTTTTTGAGGATAGGTAGAAATCAACATGATCTCACTCCTGAGATTATGTTCTGTTATAAAGCAAAAGGATTATCCAGGTGGGTGTAATCTAATCACAAGCCCTTGAAAATCAGTTTTTCTGGCTGCTGGGCAGAAGGGGAAGACAGAGAGTGTATTAATCAGGGTTCTCCAGAGAGGCAGAACCAATAGAAAGGATGGATGAATAGATAGATAGATTAGATAGATAGATAGATAGATAGATAGATAGATAGATAAAGGGGGTATTTTTTAAAAAAGAGATGGAGTCTCACTAGGATGCCCAGGCTGTTCTTGAACTCCTGAGCTCAACTGATTCTCCTGTGTCCACCTCCCAAAGTGCTGAGATTACAGGCATGAGCCACCACACCCAGCCAGAAAGTATTTTTTAATTAAGGTGTGTACTATGTTTTTTTTAGGCATAATGAATGCTATTGCACATGTAATAGATTACAGTATAGTGTAAACATAACTTTTACATGCACTGGGAAACAAAAAAATGTGAGCCAGTGCACCTGGCTGAGAGGGGATTTATTAGAGGAATTGGCTCATGTGATTATGGTAGGCAAAAAGTCCCACAATGAGCCATATGCAAGCTGGAGACCCTGGGATGCTGGTAGCATGGCTCAATCCAAGTCTGAAGGCCTCAGAACCAGGGAGGCCAAGGGTGTAACTCTCAGGCCGAGCCCAGAGGCCTGAGAACTCAGGGAGGGGAGCCACTGATGTAAGTCCTGGAATCCAAAGGCCGAGAAGTCTGGAGTTATTGTCCAAGGACGGGAGAGGAAGAGTGTATCCCAGCTCCAGCAGGTAGATCAGCACATTCATTTTTGCCCTGGTTTTTCTTCTCTCCAAGCCCCCAGCAGATTGAATGGTGCCCACCCACATTGCAGGCAGATCTTTCCCACCTAGTCCACTGAGACTCACACACTAATCTCCTCTGGAAACACCTTCACAGAGACACTCAAAAGAATGCTTTAGTAGGTTTCTACGTTTTCCTTAATCCAGTTAAGTTGACACCTAAAATTAACCATCAGAGAGAGATTCCAAGCATAAGAAAGGCACTGCACCAAGGCTGCCTTGAAGATGTAGGGGACTGGCCAGGTGCAGTGGCTCACACCTGTAATCTCAACACTTTGGAAGGTCAAGGAGGGCAGATCACTTGAGGTCAGGAGTTCGAGACCATCCTGGCCAACATGGTGAAACCCCATCTCTACTAAAAATACAAAAATTAGCCAGGCGTGGTGGTGCACACCTGTAATCCCAGCTACTTGGGAGGCTGAGACAGGAGAATCTCTTGAACCCAGGAGGCAGAGGTTGCAGTGAGCCAAGATAGCATCACTGCACTCCAGCCTGGGTGGCAGAGCAAGACTCTGTCTCAAAAAAAGAAAAAAAAAAGAAAGAAAAGAAAAGGTGTAGGGACCACAGGAAGTATCCCGGCAGCCTCTGGGAACACAGAGCAGCCCCCGCTGCTCACAGCCAGGTAGGAATCAGGATCTCAGATCTACAGCCACAAGGAACTGGATTCTGCCAACCTGAATGAGTCTAGAAGTAGATTCTTTTCCAGAGCCCAGCCCATGGACACCTTGGTATCAGCCTTTTGGGACCCTGAGCAGAGAACCCAGCCAAGCCCAGACTTCTGACCTACAGAACTCTGAGATAATAAGTGGGTGTTGTTTTAAGCTGCTAAGTCTGTGGTCATTTGTCACACTGCAATAGAAAACAAACACATATGGCCACTCCTAACTGAGAGAGGTTGGTAAATGGTGTCTCAAGCTGGATATTCATGTGCATTGCTAAACTTGGAGGAGGAGTTCTATGATGAAAGAAAGAGAAGCATGAATATTAGGGAGATGATAAGACATTCTTCCACACACTGTAAACCTGCCCTGTCCAATACAGCACACACTAACCACATGTGGGTATCTTTTTTTTCTTTTTTTTTGAGATAGAGTCTCACCCTGTCGCCCAGGCTGGAGTGCAAGGGTGTGATCTTGGCTCACTGCAACCTCCACCTCCCAGGTTCAAGCAATTCTCCCACCTCAGCCTCCAGAGTATTTGGGATTACAGGCACCTGCCATCATGCCTGGATAATTTTTGTACTTTTGTAGAGACAGGGTCTCGCTCTGTTACTTAGGCCGGAGTGCAGTGGTACAATCTTGGCTCACTGCAACCCCAACCTCCTGGGCTCAAGTGATCCTCCCATTTCAGCTTCCTGAGTAGCTAGGACTACAGATGCACACCACCACGCCTGGCTAATTTTTGTAGAGACAGCCTCTTGCTATGTTTCTTAGACTTGTCTCGAATTCCTGGGCTCAAATGATCCACCAGCCTCAGCCTCCCAAAGTGCTGGGATTGCAGGCATGAGCCACTGCGCCTGGTCTAAAAACACCCTTTTCATTCAGCACTATAGGTTTTAAAAGGCAGTGTTCCCATAAGAAATAATGGCAAAGAAAGGAACTCCCAGTCACATTCAGCAAACCTGTTTTCCCAGCTACATTCATGCACTGGTTGATGCAGGTAAGTGTACAGGGGAGGTTGATGGAGAGATAGGAGGGTCCTGGAAACAAAGGAAGACTGTGACATTAGATGACTGCAATCGTGGAGACTCAGATGGTGCTTGTACTACCACGGTTCATCTTTTGAGTATGGGCATGTCATAGTCTGGACCAGAATCTAAATTCTAGTAGCAAAGCAGGTAGGGTGGTTATTGCATAAGGAGGTATCACAACCTGTCATTTGGGGAGGGTGAGGGAAGGACTGGCTGTCACAGCTTAGCCTCACCAAGGACGTATGTGTAGTGCCCTCTGGTGGCCTGCAATGGCACGCAAGCCAGCCAAATCAGAATCCCCCATCTCTCACCCCCCACACCCCCACCCTCCTCCCAGCCACCCCCATCTCAGGCAAGACAAAGCCAGAGTCCTAACTGGTCTCCCTGCTTCCACTCCTGTCCACCAGAATGATTTGTTAAGATCATCAGATCATGTCACTCCTCTGCTCAAAATTCAGGGTAATTTCCCTTCTCCCTGAGTTATTTAGCCACAGTACTCACAGTGGTCTCCATGGCTGTACTCGGTATGGCGCCTCCCAGCAACCTTTCTGTCTCCACTTCCTGCCCCTCTTCCGGCTGCTCACCCTGCTGTAGCCACACCGGGCTGCCTGCTCTTCCTCTGCCAGCATAACCCACCAAGCACACTCCCACCTCTGCATTTGCTGTCTCCCCCACCTGGAATGCACAGATGACTCCTTCATGTCCTTCATATATGTGTCAAATATCACCACATCATCTTTTGCACTAAATTAAAAAACAGCCCTCCTCCCAGCACACTATATCCCCTTTAGCTGGATTCATTTTTTGCCATAGTATTTAATACCATCTGACGTATTACATATGTATTTACATATATATATGTGTGTGTGTATTTATATTTATTACCTATCTCCTACTACTAAACTTTCTGCTTTTTTGAAAAAGCAGAAACTTTGTTTTGTTCCCAGTTGAATCCCCAGGATCTAGAACAGTGTCTAGCCTATAGTAGGTGCTCAAATATATATGTTGGGGAAATAAATGAATCAAGATCTGAATAATGAGCAGGCATTGTATGACCTTCATTGTTTCTTTCTTGAATATTAAGACACTATCACAAAAAGGACAACTCTACAAATATATATAAAATTCATAAAATTCCTATTATATCCCAGCAGCTGGGGCAAAGAAAAAAAAAGAAAAAAATTCCAGTATAATCCCAACAGTTTTTTTTTTCCCAACCACCCCAGATACATCAGACAGATGGTATACATCTCTTCGTGACTCAATCTGCTGAACGATGCAACTGTCACAGTATCCAACAGGTTTCTTTTTAATTGGATTAAATTATCTGATGATTTATTTGGAAAGAATAAAGTACTTGTAAATAGCCAATAAATGTAGAAAGAAGTACAGTAAGGGTGCACTTGGCTTACTAGATCTCAGAAGACACTATAAAGATACCACAATAGCATCAATATAATATTGGCCTGGGCATAGACAAATAAACCAGTGGAATAGAAAAGAGAATCCAGGAATAGATATCTGTTTTTAAGAACATAAAATGTGAACAGTGCAATTTTAATTCAGTGGGATATGGATGGATTATATAATAAATGATGATATCTGTCAGGAAAATAATTGGACCTCCATTTTATATCATACAAAAACAAGTTCCAAGTAGATTAAATACTAAAACATAGCAGGTACTTTTATTTATTCATTTATTTATATTTATATTTATATTTTTGAGGCAGGGTCTTACTCTGTCACCTGGCCTGGAGTACAGTGGCACAATCACGCTTCACTGCAGCCTCAACCTCCCTGGCTCAAGCGATCTTCCTACCTCAGGCTTCCAAGTAGTTGGGACAGGTATGTGCCACCACGCCTGGCTAATTTTTTGTATTTTCTATAGAGACAGGGTTTTGCTATGTTGTCCCAGGCTGGTCTCGAACTCCTGGGCTCAAGTGATCCACCCACCTCAATCTTCCAAAGTGCTGGGACTACAGGTGTGACCCACCATGCATGGCCAGCAGGTCCTTTTAGAACCCCAACTAAGTTCAGAATATAGTTAATTTGGTCCTCAGGCCTATATGAAGAAATATTACTGATTTCATCAAAGTCACAATTTATAGTGTACATTCTTAATCTTTTGGTTGTAAAAAGTCCCATTTCACAACTGGGCTGAGAGTATGAAAGCCCAGATTGAATGAAGAGGGAGTCCGTGGTGTGGAGAGGGGGACTGGTGGTGGTAAGAATGGGGTGCTGGAGCCCAAGCATGAGGAGAGTTTCCATAGGAAAGTAGGGGTGGTGACTCTAGCTGCCCAGCTGAGAATATCAGAGTCCAAGCCAGGTAAGGAAATGGTTCATGGAGGGGCAGGACAAGAGATTGATCAAATAAGTAAATATTTTGAGAATAATGGGAGTGAAGCTTCTATTTAAAATGAAAGAATAAATATAGTAATGAGGAAACTAGAATAAACCCTGTGGCATTAGACTGGAATTGAAGGTATTGGGGGTGGATTCATGGTTTTCTTTTTTTCTTTTCTTTCTTTTTTTTTTTTTTTTTTTTTTTTTGGAGACAGAGTCTGGCTGTCACCCAGGCTGGAGTATAGCGGTGCAATCTCAGCTCACTGCAATCTCCGCCTCCTGGAATCAAGCAATTCTCCTACCTCAGCCTCCTGAATAGCTGGGAATACAGGCACGTGCCACCACACCCGGCTAACTTCTGTATTTTTAGTAGAGACAGGATTTCACCATGTTGGCCAGGCTGGTCTCGAACTCCTGACCTCAAGTGATCTGCCCACCTTGGCCTCCCAAAGTGCTGGGATTACAGGCGTGAGCCACCGCACCCAGCCCATGGTTTTCATTTGATCTAAATATCTTCACCATGTTGAATCTAGACAAGAGGATACATCAGACAAACGCAGATCAAGGGACATTCTATAAAATAACTGGCCTGTTATCTTCAAAAGTGGTCATGAAAGTAAAGGAAAGACTGAGGGACTGTTCCAGACTAAAGAAGACTAAAGAGGGATGAAAACCAAAAGCAGTGTTTTGATCTTGGGTTGTATTCTTTTGCAAGGACATTATTGGGACAATTGGTGAAACTTGAATGGAGTACATTGATGCGACTGTAGTAAAACATCATTGTCAGTGTCCTAGTTTGGATGGTTGTATTATACTTAGGTAAGGAAATGTTGCTGTTTGTGAGAAATACACACAGTAAAGTATTCTCGTGGGCAACAGGGCATGTTGTTGGCAACATACTCTTAAATGGCTCAAGGCAAAAAAAAATTTTTTTGCCCTTGTCTTGCAATTTTTCTGTAAGTTTAACATTATTTCAAAATAAAAAGAAAAGGAAAAATTATTGTTTTAACTACTAACCCAATGAGGAAATAAACATAAAACAAAGCTGCACATGCACGATTAGAACTTCTAGGCTAGGCAGGGTGGTTCACACCTGTAATCCCAGCATTTTGTGAGGCCAAAGCAGGCAGATCACTGAGCCCAGGAGTTTGAGACCAGCCTGCATGCGAAACCCCATCTCTACAAAAAATACAAAAATTAGCTGGGTGTGGTGGTACATGCCTGTAGTTGCAGCTACTCAGGAGGCTTAGGTGAGAGGATCACTTGAGCCTGGGAGGTGGAGGTTGCAGTGAGCCGAGATCGAGCCACTGCACTCCAGCATGGGCAACAACTTCTAGTTACATGTACCTGTATACATACTTCAATACAAAATAATTGTCAACTCCCAGAAAGAATGATTTGATGTATTTCTAGAAAGAAAGGAGCACTGGGTGCTGAGCGTGGTGGCTCATCCCTGTAATCCCAACACTTCGGGAGGCTGAGGTGGGCAGATCGCCTGAGGTCAGGAGTTCGAGAGCAGCCTGGCCAACATGGTGAAACCCCATCTCTACTAAAAATACAAAAATTAGCAGGGCATGGTGGCGCGCGCCTGTAATCCCAGCTACTCTGGAGGCTGAGGCAGGAGAATCGCTTGAACCCGGGAGGCAGAGGTTGCAGTGAGCTGAGATTGCACCATTGCACTCCAGCCTGGGCGACAAGAATGAGACTGTGTCTCAAAATAATAAATAAATAAAGTAAAATAAAATTAAGCAGAACATTTGTTACTGCCCATTAGTCTATATATATATATTCTAGTTTAAGGTCACTTTTCTTTCAACACAAAGTGGATCACCAAAGTGGATCTCCCAAAGTTCTGCTCCTGGGAGAATTCCCCTTCATCATTGTCTTTCAAGACTGTCTCAGAGTAATGCTGTCCATTGCCCACTTGTTTCCTGCATCTGGATACTAAGCTGACCTGCTGTAAAAAAGCACAGGCTTTTTTCTCCTCCTTCAGCTCCTTCATATAAGACTCCTCATAAAGTCAAAGACATGAATTGAGGGAGAGTAATTGGTTCTACAGTGGTAGGGACCATGGGAGTCTGGGCTACCTGCTCATGCAGCTTTCCCAGGTCCTCTGGTCCTACTTGTGACTGATACTAGACATACCGCATCAATGGTTTTGTTTTGTTTTGGTTTGGTTTTTGGTTTTTTGTTTGTTTGTTTGTTTGTTTTTGAGACAGAGTCTCGCTCTCTGTCTTTCCATGCTGGAGTGCAGTGGTACCCTCTTGGCTCACTGCAACCTTTACCTGATCCTCCCGCCTCAGCATCCCAAGTAGCTGGGATTACAAGCATGCACCACCACATCCAGGTACTTTTTGTATTTTTAGTAGAGGAAGGGTTTCACCATGTTGGCCAGTCTGGTCTCAAACTCCTGACCTCAAGTGATCCGCCCACTCAGCCTCCCAAAGTGCTGGGATTACAGTCATGAGCCACCACACCTGGCCCATGTCACATTCACTATTATGATGGAGTGTTGCTGTGCACTGCTGACCTTATGAATTGGCTGTTCTGAGAGGACTCAAACCATAACGGGAAATTCCAGCTGTGCAGTCATTTGGTCATGATCCACCATTTTGTTTCTTCTAAGGGCCAGTAGCATACCAGAGTTGCTTTTCTGTGGTGTTTTGTTTTTGGGACAGAGTCTCGCTCTGTCACACAGCCTACAGTGCAGTGGCGCGATCTTGGCTCACTGCAACTTCCGCCTCCCGGGTTCAAGTGATTCTCCTGCCTCAGTCTCCTGAGTAGCTTGGAGCACAGGTGCACACCACCACACCCTGCTAATTTTTATATTTTTAATATAGACGGGGTTTCACCATGTTGGCCAGGCTGGTCTCGAACTCCTGACCTCAAGTGATCCACCCACCTCGGCCTCCCAAAGTGCTGGGATTACAGGCATGAGCCACCACACCTGGCCCGGAGTTGTTTTTCAACAGCATGTTTAAATCTTCACTGCAGATGGTAGGGTCTTGCTCCAGAGCCCCAGTGCCACTTCCAAAGCTTGACACAAATTATACATAGCATCTTCTCCCACTTCTGATAATCTGCAGCACCATAGGATATGCTGAATTGTATTGTCCTAGGAGTAGGACTGTTTACACTGTAGCCTGTATCTACTGCAAAGCTCTGTCATGCTCTGGGCCCGCTTTAGGCCTTGCTCAAAGCTTCCAGTCTTTCGTGACACCTGGTATATAGACTACAGCAGCATCCTTAGGTGTAGAATATGCTGACTCTAGAATCTGAAGAGATCCACCAGGTGTTGCGCTTCCTTTTTTGTGGGAGAAGGCATAAAATGCAATAATTTGTCTTTTACTTTGAAGAGGATATCCCAACATGCCCCTGACAACTGTACTCCTAAAAATTTTAGGGATGTTGGGGCTTGGCGCAGTGGCTCATGCCTATTATCTCATCACTTTGGGAGGCCGAGGTGAGCAGATCACCTGAGGTCAGGAGTTTGAGACCAGCCTGGCCAACACAGCAAAACCCCCATCTCTACTAAAAATATTAAAATTAGCTGGGCATGGTGATGGGTGCCTGTAATGCCAGCTACTCGGGAGGCTGAGGCAGGAGCTGGGAGGCAGAGGTTGCAGTGAGCAAGATCGTGCCACTGCACTCCAGCCTGGGTGACAGAGCGAGACTCCATCTCAAAAAAATAAAAAAATAAAAATTTTGCTGGGCGCGGTGGTTCACACCTGTAATCCCAGCACTTTGGGAGGCTGAGGCGGGCGGATCACGAGGTCAGGAGATCGAGACCATCCTGGCTAACACAGTGAAACCCCGTCTCTACTAAAAATACAAAAAAATAGCCGGGCGTGCTGGCGGGTGCCTGTAGTCCAAGCTACTCGGGATGCTGAGGCAGGAGAATGGCGTGAACCCGGGAGTGGGAGCTTGCACTGAGCCGAGATCACACCAGTACACTCCAGCCTGGGCAACAGAGTGAGACTCTGTCTCAAAAAAAAAAAAAATTTATAGATGTAGAAGGTCCCTGAATCTTCACAGAGTGCCCTCTGAAGTGCCTGTCTTATTTACCAAGGCCTTCAGTGTATTATCCATCTCTTGTTCATCTGGCTCATTAACATATTGTCATCAATGCAATGGATCAGCATGAAACTCTAAAGTATGTCCAGATAGTTCAGAGGTGTACAATCTTTTGGCTTCCCTGGGCCACATTGGAAGAAGAATTGTCTTGGGCCACACATAAAATACACTAACACGAACGATAGCTGATGAGCCAAAAAATAAATCACAAAAAAGGCTAGACGCAGTGGCTCACGCCTGTAATCCCAGCACTTTGGGAGGCCAAAGTGAGCAGATCACTTGAGGTCAGGAGTTTGAGACTGGCCTGGCCAACATTGCAAAACCCCGTCTCTACTAAAAATACAGAAATTAGCTGGGCATGGTGACGGGCGCCTGTAATCCCAGCTACTCGGGAGGCTGAGGCAGGAGAATCGCTTGAAGCTGGGAGGCGGAAGTTGCAGTAAGCTGAGATTACACTACTGCACTCCAGCCTGGGTGACAGAGCAAGACTCTGTCTCAAAAAAAAAAAAAAATTATAATGTTTTAAGAAAGTTTCAAAGCTCTCCTGTGCCATGTACAGCCTGCAAGCCGTGGGTTGGACAAGGTTGAGATAGTCCAAATCTCTTCAGACTGTATTTTACATAGAGTGGAAGGCATAGCCCTGGGAGGAAAACCTCACATGTATATTGTTGCCCATTCCATGTAAATGCAAACTTTTTTCTGACTCTTTTTCTTTTTCTGATTAGGATAAAAAAGAACACATTTGCCAAATCAGTGGTTGTATAATATGTTCCCGAGGCCAAAGTAATCTGCTGTAGCAAAGATACTACATCTTACATAATGGCTGTAATCGGGGCTATAGTACTTGGTTGAACTCATGGCAGTCTACAGTCACCTTCCAGGATCATCTGGTTTCTATAAGGTCAAGAGTGGTGAATTAAACAGATACATGATAGAAACCACCATCCCTGTATCCTTTATATCCTAAGGATGGAACTAATTTCTGCTGTACCTACTCTCAACACTTTTCTTTGTTGTCCCCCAGGAGTAAACCAATCCTGGTTATGAACTCAGAGACTGGGAAATGACCACTGAGTGGCTCCAAGGACCCAATGGCTGTACTGTAAGCCAGGCCCAAGACAGGATTTCACTTACAACCTGGCCCCATGTGCTTCCTGCACTCTAACAAGGAGAGGTTATGATGGTGCTTCAGGCCTCGAGCATCATTGTCATCACAGACCCTACATCCAACAGACCCTGATATGTCTAGGTATTTTTCTTTCCCAGGTGCACAGTTACCCAAATAAATGGCCATTGGTCTTTTTGAGAAAGAACTGAGGGGATCATTATCACATATTCTTGTTATAGTATTGAGGGTCCTTCCTCCTAGGGACCCAGCCACCTCTTTAATCATGGGATTCCAAGTCTCAAGCTGGCTCTAGTCTGAACACTAGGAAAGGGATTGTGAATTTTTCTTGGGCTATGGCCTTCAGTCTTCTAGTCATCTTTCCTTAATTTCTTCTGCTAGTACAAGCTGAGTAGTACCCTTAACAATTGCCCATCTAATTTGCCCCTAGGGACATTTTGCTTTATTAGTCATCTCCATAACTCTCTGTTGGCCAGGTGTTCCTGGCTGCCACTCAAACCTCACCAGCCATGATGATAATTGCCATTGCCTAGCTTCCGGAAGTTAAGCACTGCCATCTGGACTTTTGTTTGTTTGTTTGTTTCAGTGTCCCATTATCCTCATTGCTATCAGTAAGTCAAGTTCTGTACTAGTCTCTTCTATTATCAGTCCTAGCCTACAGAGGAGAGCGAGTACTTATCTTTTTAGTACTTTTTATTCTGGTGAGCCTCTCACCAGCAAATTCTTTCTTTTTTTTTTTGAGTCAGAGTCTTGCTCTGTCACTCAGGCTGGAGTGCAGTGGCACGATCTTGGCTCACTGCAACCTCCGCCTCCCAGGTTCAAACAATTCTCGAACCTCAGCCTCTCGAGTAGCTGGGATTACAGGCACCTGCCACCACACCCAGCTAATTTTGTGTGTGTGTGTGTGTGTGTATATATATGTGTGTGTGTGTGTGTATATATATATATATATATATATTTTTTTTTTTTTTTTTTTTTGAGACAGAGTCTCGCTGTTGCCCAGGCTGTAGTGCAATGGCAAAATTTTGGCTCACTGCAACCTCCGCCTCCCGGGTTCAAGTGATTCTCCTGCCTCAACCTCTCAAGTAGCTGAGATTACAGGCATGCACCACCACACCCAGCTAATTTTTGTATTTTTAGTAGAGATGGGGTTTCACCATGTTGGTCAGGCTAATCTCGAACTCCTGACCTCAGGTGTTTCACCCGCCTTGGCCTCCCAAAGTGCTGGGATTACAGGCATGAGCCACCAAACCCAGCCCTTTTTTTTTTTTTTTTTTTTTGAGATAGAGTCTCGCTCTGTCACCCAGGCTGGAGTGCAGTGGCACAATCTCGGCTCACTACAACCTCCGCTGCCTGGGTTCAAGCGATTCTGCCTCAGTCTTCCAAGTAGCTGGAATTACAGGTATACACCACCATGCCTGGCTAATTTTTGTATTTTTCTTTTTTTTTTTTTTTTTTTTTTGAGAAGGAGTCTCGCTCTGTCTCCCAGGCTGGAGTGCAGTGGCACAATCTTGGCTCACTGCAAGCTCCACCTCCTGGGTTCACGCCATTCTCCTGCCTCAGCCTCCCAAGTAGCTGGGACTACAGGTGCCCGCTACCACGCCCAGCTAATTTTTTGTATTTTTTTTAGTAGAGACGGGGTTTCACCGTGTTAGCCAGGATGGTCTCGATCTCCTGACCTCTTGATCCGCCCGCCTCGGCCTCCCAAAGTGCTGGGATTATAGACGTGAGACACTGCGCCCGGCCAATTTTTCTATTTTTTAGTAGAGACGGGGTTTCACCATGTTGGCCAGGCTGGTCTCGAACTCCTGACCTCAAGTGATCCACCCACTTTGGCCTCCCAAAGTGCTGGGATTATAGGCGTGAGCCACCACGCCCGGCCTAATTTTTATATTTTTTTGGAGAGACAGGGTTTCACCATGTTGGCCAGGCTGGTCTCAAACTCCTGACCTCAAGTGATCCACCCACCTCGGACTTCCAAAGTGCTAGGATTACAGGTGTGAGCCACCATGCCGGGCAGCAAATTCTTCACGGCCTTGATAAGTAGTGTGTTGTTATGGTTTGAATGTGGCCCCTAAAAATCTGTGTGTTAGAAACTTAATTGTTCTCCCCTCATAAATGGATTAATGTCAGTTCTGCCCTCATGAATGAATATATGGAGTAATGAGAGTTCTGCCCTCTTGAATGGAGTAATGTCATTATCATGGGAGTAGGTTCGTTATCACGGGAATGGCTTTGCAATAAAAACAAGCTTTGTTTTTTTGTTATAAAAGCAAGCTCTATCATGGGAATGGCTTTGTTATAAAAGCAAGCAAGAGTAACCAGAATCTTTCTGGTTGCCCTCTCACCATGTGATGTTCTCTGCTATGTTATGACACAGCAAGAAGGATCTCACCAGATCCTGACTTCAGGCTCTTGGGCTTCCCAGCCTCCAGAACCATGAACTCAGTAAACTTCTTATAAACTACCCAGTCTGTGCTATGCAGTGAGAGCAACAGAAAACAGATGAAAACGTGTTCTCTGGGCCTTCTCATGAGGCATAATTAGCTAGGAGATCTTCTGGTTACCTATAGTCTATCCATTCTGGCACACCTATTTCCCTGAGTCTTTTCATTCTACCATCACTATCTGCCATAGCAATTCCGGCATGTAAGCTTTCTTTGGCATAGGTCATCACTTTTTCCATGCTTCTAGGATCCATCCTGGTAGTAAGATTGTACCATCTCCTATTGTCCTTGCCAGGATGTTAAATCTTGTATTTTGAAAGAGAGATTCCTGCCGGGCGCAGTGGCTCACACCTGAAATCCCGGCACTTTGGGAGGCCGAGGCAGGCGGATCACAAGGTCAGGAGTTCGAGACCAGCCTGGCCAACATGGTGAAATCCCGTCTCTACTAAAAATACAAAAATTATCTGGGCATGGTGGCACGTGCCTGTAATCCCAGCTACTCGAGAGGCTGAGGCAGGAAAGTTGTTTGAACCCGGGAGGCAGAGGTTGCAGTGAACTGAGATTGCGCCATTGCACTCCAGCCTGACAGGGTGAGACTCCATCTCAAAAAGAAAGAAAAGAAACGAAAAGAAACAAAGAGGGATTCCCAAGTCAATAAACTCTTCCCTATCCAATTTTATATTCCTTCTCCTTCATCAAGCACTCTCAGAATCCAGTTCCACATGTATCTCCCTGGCTCCTGCCAATACATGCTGGCTAGGTCTTGCTATTTCTGTGGCATATAGTCCCTTTCCACCCCTATCATACCCAGCACCTCTCCAGCTGGGTTATGCTGTAGCTAACCTAGTATAGGCTAGGAGGCAATGTGGGGGCAGATTCTGAGGGGGAGCTGTTGCTTTGTGGAGAAAGGCACTGCATTGTCCCTCAGCAGGGAGAGAGTGGTAGTTCTTACTAGGGAGGAGTGGGCCAATTCTGTAGGCTCAGGAGATTCAGAGGAATTTGTGGAGTCAAAATATTCAGGAGAGGCCAAGGCGAGTGGATCACTTATGGTCAGGAGTTCGAGACCAACCTGGCCAACATGGTGAAACCCCGTCTCCACTAAAAATACAAAAAAAACTAGCTGGGCATGGTGGTGCATGACTGTAGTCCCAGCTACTTGGGAGGCTGTGGCAGGAGAGTCGCTTGAATCCTGGAGGCAGAGGCTGCAGTGAGTCAACATCACACCACTGCACTCCAGCCTGGGAGACAGAGCGAGACTCCGTCTCAAAAAAAAAATCTTTAGGAGCATCCACTCTGATATCTCCATTCCACGTGTCAGGGTCCCAAGCTTTTCCAACCAGGACTTTGACTTTAGCATAAGAGATGTGCCTTATTTGGACATTTAACTGTCTTTGAAGTCAGTTGCTCAGATTATTATTATTATTATTATTTTAGATGGAGTCTTGCACTGTCCCCCAGGCCGGAGTGCAGTGGCACGATCTCCATTCACTGCAACCTCTGCCTCCCAGGTTCAAGCGATTCTCCTGCCTCAGCCTCCCTAGTAGCTGGGATTACAGGCGCACGCCACCATGCCCAGCTAATTTTTTGTATTTTTAGTACAGACGGGGTTTCACTATCTTAGCCAGGCTGGTCTTGAACTCCTGACCTGGTGATCTGCCCGCCTCAGCCTCCCAAAGTGCTGGGATTACAGGTGTGGGCCACCACGCCTGGCCAGTTGCTTAGATTATTAAGTCCTAGGCTTTGTCCTTGCTTTTCTCCACCCTTTCACTGCTAGAGATGTTGGCTTATTTGTATAAACCAAAGAGGCCTTTTCCTTTTCATAACCTGGATTTTTTTTTTTTTTTTTTTTTGAGATGATCTTACTCTGTTGCCCAGGCTGAAGTGCAGTGGCACGATCTTGGCTCACTATAACCTTTGCCTCCCGGATTCAAGCAATTCTCCTGCCTCAGCCTCCCAAGTAGCTGGGACTACAGGTATGTGCCATCACGCCTGACTAATTTTTGTATTTTTAGCAGAGATGGGGTTTCGCCATGTTGGCCAGGCTGGTCTCAAACTCCTAACCTTAGGTGATCCACCTGCCTTGGCCTCCCAAAGTGCTGGGATTACAGGCATGAGCCATTGCACCTGGCCCCATAACCTGGATTTTAATGCATGTTACTGGCCCTAAGTTGTTTATTATCCTGTAGCACATCCATGGAGCTTGGCAATAGCCACCAATTCCATCATCCTCATAGCTACTACTCCCTCCATACATCTCAAGTACCTGGCACATTGTGCCCTTAGAGTATCCAGTTCTACTGGTACATTCTCCCAATTTGCTGCCATTTGTCTGTGCTCTGCCCACCTCCACTAATGGGATCCTCATCATCAGATGGGTGGTGATCCAGTTCCAAACCCCATCTTACCATCTCCTTTCTCATCTACTTTGGTAGCAACTGTGGAAGACCAGATTCTCAAGAAGGAGATGCTGAGATAGAGTTTGGGAGGCAAAATGTTTATTAAGGACCCATACCTGTGAAAGGAAGGAAGAAAAAGCAGGACTGGGCAGAGGGAAAGTCAACCTGTGCTGCAGGCTCGACCAAGCTCAGCCGATCAGCAGGTCACTCTAGAATGAGAAGTGCTCATCAGGGCTTTCCAGCATCAAGTTTAAATGGCTGGACCTTTATACCTCTGCCTTGCTCAGTCACCAAATGTGGGCTACCCCAGGAAGGGCATGACCTCAGGTGAGGCAGCCCTGCAGCTGAAGCAGGCTCTGAAGGAACTGAAAGCTGGTATTGTCTGCTGCCCTCTCTCTGCAGCTAGGCAGCATGTCCTTTCTTGAAGGCGATCTGGGCAACACATCACCATGTGTCTCACAATGACATACAGACATGAAGGGACATAAATCCTAAGTATACAATTTGGTGAACTCACCCAGCTCAAAAAGTAGAAATGATCTGCATCACAGAACCCCCATTTATTCCTCTTCTCAGTCAATCTCTCTTCCCAAGGTAACCACTATCCTTCTTCTATCACCATAGACTCATTTACCTGCTTTTTAAATTTTTAACTGTGGTCAAATACACATAATATAAAACTTACCATGTGAGCCATTTTTAAGTGTGCAGTGCAGCCGTGTTAAATACATTCACATTGTTGTGCAACCAATCTCCAAAACTCTTCATCTTGCAAAACTAAAACTCTGTACCCATTAAACAAATCCCCATTATCTTTTCCCAAGCCTTTACTAACTACCATTCTACCATTCTACTTCCTTTTTTTTTCTTTTCTTTCCTTTTTTTTTTTTTTTTTTTTTTTTTGAGAGAGAGAGTCTCGTTCTGTCGCCCAGGCTGGAGTGCAGTGGTGTAATCTCAGCTCACTGCGACCTCTGCCTCCCGGGTTCAAGTGATTCTCCTGCCTCAGCCTCCCGAGTAGCTGGGACTACAGGTGCCTGCCACCATGCCCAGCTAATCTTTGTATTTTTAGTACAGACAGGGTTTCACTTTGTTGGCCAGGCTGGTCTTGAACTCCCGACCTTGTGATCTGCCCACCTCGGCTTCCCAAAGTGCTAGGATTACAGGCGTGAGCCACCACGCCTGGCCTACCATTCTACTTTCTGTGTCTATAAATCTGACTGCTCGCCGGGCGCGGTGGCTCACGCCTGTAATCCCAGCACTTTGGGAGGCCGAGGCGGGTGGATCATGAGGTCAGGAGATCGAGACCATCCTGGCTAACAAGGTGAAACCCCGTCTCTACTAAAAATACAAAAAATTAGCCAGGCGCGGTGGTGGGCGCCTGTAGTCCCAGCTACTCAGGAGGCTGAGGCAGGAGAATGGCGTGAACCCAGGAAGCGGAGCTTGCAGTGAGCCGAGATTGCGCCACTGCAGTCCGCAGTCCGGCCTGGGTGACAGAGCGAGACTCCGTCTCAAAAAAAAAAAAAAAAAAAAATCTGACTGCTCAAAGTACTTCATACAAATGGAATCATACAGTATGCATCTTTCTGTGCCTGGCTTATTTTACATAGCCTAATATCCTTAAGTTTCAGCCGTGGTGTAGCATGTGACAGGATTTCCTTCCTTTTCAAGGCCGACTAATATTCCGCTGCATCTTGCTGGGCACAGTGGCTCATGCCTGAAATCCAAGCACTTCGGGAGCTTGAGGTGGGTGAATCACTTGAGGTCAGGAGTTTGAGACCAGCCTGGCCAACATGGTGAAACCCCATCTCTACTAAAAATACAAAATTAGCCAGGTGTGGTGGCGCATGTCTGTAATCCCAGCTATTTAGGAAGGTGAGGCAGGAGAATGGTTTAAACCCAGGAGATGGAGGCTGCAGTGAGCTGAGATGGCGCCATTGCACTCCAGGCTGGAAAACAAGGGCAAAACTACATCTCTAAAAAAAAATAATAAAAAAATTCCACTGTATCTATATGCCACATTTTGTTTATCCATACATTCATCAGTGGACACTTGGGTTACTTCCACCTTTTGGTTAGTATAAATAATATTGCTATGAACACAAGTAGATTGTTTACCTGCTTTTGAGCTTTTCATATAAATGAAATGAATTCTACCATGTGTATTATTTTATGTTTGGTTTCTTTCCTTCAACATTGTGAAATTCATCCGTCTTATCGCATGTAGCAATAGTTTACTTTTCTCATTGATATATAGTAGTTCATTGTATAATCACATCCCAGTCTGTTTATTCCGTCTACCAGTGATGGACATTTAGGTTGTTTCCAGGTTGTATCTGTTATGAATAGTGCTGCTATAAACATTCTTGTTGGTGTCTTTTATTATACGCATGTATGCATTTCTGGATGTAAACACCTAGGAGTTAAATTGCTGGGTCATAGATTATGTTTGTTTAGTTTTACTAGACACTGCCAAATAGTTTTCCAAGATGACTATACCAATTTACCTCCTCCGGAACACTGAATGAGCATTCCAGTTGTTTGGTATCCTCAATAACACTTGATGTCATCGGTTATTTTAATTTTAGTCATTCTCATTGATGTAAAGTGGTATCTCATTGTGGTTTTAATTTGTATTTCCCTAATGACTAATGAGGTTGAAAGACTTTTTATGTTTATCAGTCAATTGGATGTGAAGCGCTTGTTCATGTTTTCTGTGAAGTGCTTGTTCATGTTTCTTGCCCTTAATTTAGTTGTCTGTTTTTTTCCTTATTGATTTGTAGTATTGTGGTGTATGTATGTATTTTTCCAAGGGTGATTCTCCAGATGGCATGGGCTTGCTCCAGAACCCCAGTGACCCTGCTAGGACTTGCCACAAATTACACACAGTGTCTTCTCCCATCTCCCACACAAATGTGTGGGTGTGTATGTGTATGTATTTTTTGTTTTGTTTTGTTTTGTTTTTAAGATAGAATCTCATCCAGTTGCTTAGGCTAGAGTGCGGTGGTGCAATCATAGCTCACGGCAACCTTGACCTCCTGGGCTCAAGTGATTCTCCCACATCAGCCTCACGAGTAGCTGGAACTACAGGTGCCCGCCACCACACCCAGGTACTTTTAAAAAAATTTTTGGACTGGGCACAGTGGCTCATGCCTGTAATAGCAGGACTTTGGGAGGCCAAGGTGTATACATCATCTGAGGTCAGGAGTTCGAGACCAGCCTGGCCAATATGGTGAAACCCCATCTCTACTAAAAATACAAAAATTAGCCGGGCGTGGTGGTGGGCACTTGTAGTCCCAGCTACTTGGGAGGCTGAGGCAGGAGAATCGCTTGAACCTGGGAGGCAGAGGTTGCAGTGAGCCGAGATTGCACCACTGCACTCCAGCCTGGGCGACAGAGCAAGACTCTGTCTCAAAACAAAACAAAATAAAACAACAACAAAAAATTGTTTTTGGAGAAATGAGGGTCTCCCTATGTTGCCCAGGCTGGTCTTCAACTCCTGGGCTCAAGTGATCCTTCTGCCTCAGCCTCCCAAAGTGCTGGGATTATAGGCATGAGCCACCAGCCTGCATGTATTCTTGACAAGGGCTCGAAGTTTAACATGAGGATTGCAAATATAGTCTCCCTCTCTATGGTTTGCCTTTTTTCCCTCTTAATGGTGTCTTTTGATTAGTTCTTCATTTTAATCAATTCAAATTACCAATCTTTTTCTTTATGACTAGTGCTTTTTGTGTTCTGCTCACTAATTATTTTTAAAATACACATAAGAATAAACATATACTCATCGACATAAAAATATTCTTCTGTGAACCATCTACGATCATATTGTGTAACACTACTGACCTCTTGGATGAAGCCCAACTGCCTACTGTGAAACACCTGATCAAGCCCCTGCCAAGCCCTCCAGCCCCGTCCCACTGCTCCCTGCCCTGCACTTCATCCTTCCACTAACCAAGCAGCTGTCACACAGCATGGCATTGCTAACCACCCTGCCTTTGCACCGGCAGTGTGGAAATAACAGTGTGTCGGACACTGTGGCCCACGCTTCTTCTCCCCTTTCCCACCAGAGCCCTGACTTTGCATAGGTGTCCACTCTCCCCCACATAGCCCTGTGCTTCAGGGCAAGATGCCCCCACCTCAGCCACAGGAAGGGCATCCTGATGGCCTAATCCAATTGTGGTTCCACATTCCTCCTGCCATGGACATAGGACTCAATTCTAGCTAATGAGATGCAAGAGGCTCCTGGGAAAGTCATCCTTGTTCCTGCCAAAGAGAACAGGAAGAGTTAGATCATTACTCATGTTGGATGTTGTTAGGCTGGATGATAAATCCCATACACTGAGGACAGCACTGAGACTTGTCTGATAGAAGCTGGGCCTTTGGTGACATGGAGTGCCAGTGATCATACTCTGCCTAAAGAACAACCTTCTGGCTGGGCATGGTGGCTCACATTGTAATCCTAGCACTGTGGGAGGCCAGGGCAGGAGGATCACTTGAGCCCAGGAGGTGGAGACTGCAGTGAGCCATGTTCGTGCCACCACACTACAGCCTGGGCAACAGAGCAAGACCCTGTCCCGAAATAATAAAATAATAATTTTTAAAAACACAAAAATTAGTCGGGTATGGTGGTGCATATTTCCCAACTACTTGGGAGGCTGAGGCAGTAGAATCACTTGAACCCAGGAGATGGAGGTTGCAGTGAGCAGAGATCGGACCACTGCACTTCAGCCTGGGTGACAGAGCAACACTCCATTTCAAAAATAATAATAATACTTTAAAGGCCAGGAGCAGTGGCTCATGCCTGTAATCCCAGCACTTTGGGAGGCTGAGGTGGGCGGATCACTTAAGGTCAGGAGTTTGAGACCAGCCTAGCCAACATGGTGAAACCTTGTCTCCACTAAAACTACAAAAATTAGCTGGGAGTGGTGGTGCGTGCTTGTAATCCCAGCTACTAAGGAGGCTGAGGCATGTGAATCGCTTGAACCCAGGAGGCGGAGGTTGCAGTGAGCCGAGATCGTACCACTGTACTCCAGCCTGGGCAAATGAGCGAGACTCCATCTCAAAAAAAGATAAATATAAATAAATAAATAAATAAATAAATAAAAGTGTAATCTGAAGCTCAGCATGGCATGGTGGTTCACACCTGTGATCTCAGCACTTTGGGAGGCCAAGGCAGGTGGCTGTCTGAAATAATAATAATAATTTTTAAAAACCAACCTTCTGCTGGTCTATATTTCCTTATGATTGAAGTCAGTTTGAATCATGGTTTCTGTCCCTTTTAACTGAAAGCACCTCACTAGTAGGACCTTAACTGACCTTGGATGAATTACTGAATGTGGATGTATTTGGTGTGTTATGATGTTTAGGACCAGCTTCACGGGTGTGCAACCTGTGCTGTCACACCAGGCCCACACTTAGTAGGGCCCCACGCTTGGTTTAATGTTCTGCTTTCATGGTTTTGAAATTCTTTTATATATATATATATTTTTTTTTTTTGTATTATACTTTAAGTTCTAGGGTACATGTGCACAATGTGCAGGTTTGTTACATATGTATATATGTGCCATGTTGGTGTGCTGCACCCATTAGTCATTTACATTAGGTATATCTCTGAAATTCTGAAATTCTTAATAACTTACGAACAAGGAGCCCTGCATTTTCTTTTTTCTTTTTTTTTTTAATTTTTTTTTTTTGAGATGGAGTTTTGCTCTGTCGCCCAGGCTAGAGTGCAATGGCACGATCTTGGCTCACCGCAACCTCTGCCTCCTGAGTTCAAGTGATTCTCCTGCCTCAGACTCCCGAGTAGCTGGGATTACAGGCATGCGCCACCACACCCAGCTAATTTGGTATTTTTTAGTAGAGATGGGGTTTCTCCATGTTGGTCAGGCTGGTCTGGAACTCCCGACCTCAGGTGATCCGCCCGCCTCAGCTTCCCAAAGTGCTGGGATTATAGGCGTGGGCCACCGCGTCTGGCCTGGGCCCTGCATTTTCATTTTGCACTGGGCCCTCCTAATTATGTAATTGGTCCTGGTGATGTGACATTTCTTATCTCCTTGTGTTTCTTTTTCTGCCCTTTCAATCTTTGAATCTGCACAGCTTCATCCACAAGACTCTAATTCACATGCTTCATCTGCCAAATCCACCAGCTTAACTGCAAAATGAGGAGGTTGAACCATTATCTGATCTCTATGGATACCTTTTAGAACTGTTAAGAATTCACCACTGGGCATGGCGGCTCACACCTGTAATCCCAGCATTTTGGGAGGCTGAGGCGGGCAGATTGCTTGAGCTCAGGAGTTCGAGACCAGCCTGGACAACATAGCGAGACCCCATCTCTACGAAAAGTACAAAACTTAGCCAGGTGTGGTGGTGTGTGCCTATAGTTCCAGCTACTTGGGAGGCTGAAGTGGGAGGATGGCTTGAGAGGTTGCAAGGAGCCGAGATCGAGCCACTGCATTCCAGCCTGGGTGACAGACCAAGAGCCTGTCTAAAAAAAAAACCAAAAAACAAACAAACAAAAAAACTTAAACTTTCTTGCAGATGAGCAGTCTGTGTTAAAAAAGAAAAAAAAAAAAGAAGGAAAAAGGATTCAACTTTCTCCCCAGCCATTTTGGTAAGCAATGACTTTTCAGTATTCCAGAAGGCAAAATTCAAGTGCCCTGGCCTGGCATTCAATATCTTGTTCCATATATTGTTCTTGTTACTTTCTGACACCAGCACCCATTACTCCCCAGTAAGAATTACCCACTTTAACTAAAAAGAATGATGATGATAATAATAATAATAGTAACAATAATAGTGAAAACAATGCATTCAAATAATGGTTTATAGACCGTATTCATACATATTTACGTTTGTTCCTCACAATAATTCTGTGAGATATCATGTGAAAAATAATTACTCTGGACCTTAATTCTATTACAAATAGAATTTACTAACAAGCACTATATCTCATGCAAAAGTTCAGAAATTTAATAAGTGTAGTTAATTACTAGTCATTTATGACAACTTTTTTTTTTTTTTTTTTTCTGGAGACAAGAATCTTGCTCTGTTGCCCAGGCTGGAATATAGTGGCAAGAGTGATCCTCCTGGGCTCAAGTGGTCTTCCTGCCTCAGCCTCTCAAGTAGCTGGGACTACAGACATGTGCCACCATGGGTGGCTATTTTTTAAATTTTTGTAGAGACAGAGTCTTACTATGTTGCCCAGGCTGGTCTCAAACTCCCGGGCTCAAGCCATCCTCCCACCTTGGCCTCCCAAAGTACTGGGATTACAAGTGAGCCACTGCACCTAGACTTATTACAACTTTTTATTTGAAATAATTTCAGACTTACAAAATGATTTCAGGAAAGGTCAAAGACATCCCATGTACTTTTTTTTTTTTTTTTTTTTTTTGAGACAGAGTCTTACTCTGTAACCCAGGCTGGAGTGCAGTGGTGCGATCTCGCCTCATTGCATCCTCTGTCTCCCAGGTTCAAGCAATTCTCCTGCCTGAGCCCCCTGAGTAGCTGGGATTACAGGTACCTGCCACCATGCCCAGATAATTTTTGTGTGTTTTTGTTGTTGTTGTTTTGTTTTGTTTTGTTTGAGACAGAGTCTCACTCTGTTGCCCAGGCTAGAGTGCAGTGGTGCAATCTCAGCTCACTGCAATCTCCACCTCCCGACTTCAAGCAATTCTTCTCCCTCAGCCTCCTGAGTAGCTGGGATTACAGGCGTGTGCCACCACACCCTGCTAATTTTTGTATTTTTAGTAGAGACAGCGTTTCACCATACTGGCCAGGCTGGTCTCGAACTCCTGACCTCGTGATCCGCCCGCCTCGGCCTCCCAAAGTGTTGGGATTACAGGTGTGAGCCACAGGGCCCGGCCTGTATTTTTTGTTTTTTTGTTTTTTGTTTTTTGTAGAGACGGGCTTTCACCACGTTGGCCAGGCTGGTATCGAACTCCTGGCCTAAAGCGATCCGCCCGCCTTGGCCTCCCAAACTGCTGGGATTACAGGCGTGAGCCACAGCACCCGGCCCCATATACCCTTTATTCAGATTCTCAAAATGTTAATATTTTACCACATTTGCTTTATCATTTTCTTTTTTTCTTTTTTTTTCCCAAGACGGAGTCTTGCTTTGTCGCCCAGGCTGGCGTGCAGTGGTGCAGTCATGGCTCACTGCAACCTCAGTCTCCCAGGTTCAAGCAATTCTCCTGCCTCAGCCTCCCAAGTAGCTGGGATTACAGGTGTGTGCCACCACACCTGACTAATTTTTGTATTTTTAGTAGAGACAGGGTTTCATCATGTTGGCCAGGCTGGTCTTGAACTTCTGACCTTGTGATCTGCATGCCTCGGCCTCCCAAAGTGCTGGGATTACAGGCATGAGCCACCGCGCCCGGCCCCATATGACGTTTATTAAGATTCTCAAAATGTTAACATTTTACCACATTTGCTTTATCATTTCTCTCTCTCTCTCTCTCTCTCTCTCTATATATATATATACATATATATATATACACACACACACACACAGGTAATATATATGCATACAGACATATATACACACACAAATATATGTATGATATATGAAATTATTTTTCCAGAACCATTGGAGAATAAATTGCAAACAGGATGAAATTGTATCTCTAAATACTTAAGTATGTGTTTCCTAAAACAAGAATATTGTATTCTCTTGTATAACAGTAGCACAATTATAAAATAAAAATAATAACATTGATATAATAATATTACCTAACCCAGAGACCTTATTCAGATATCCTCCACTGTCTTAATAATGTTTTCCACAGCAAAAAGAAAAATTATTTTTCTAAGGTCAGGCATGGTGACTCATGCCTGTAATCTCAGCACTTTGGGAAGCCGAGGTGGACAGATCATCTGAGGTCAAGAGTTCGAGACCAGCCTGGCCAACATGGTGAAACCCTGGCTCTACTAAAAATACAAAACTTAGCCAGGCGTGGTGGTGCGCACCTGTAGTCCCAGCTACTCAGGAGGCTGAGGCAGGAGAATCACTTGAACCCAGGAGGCGGAGGTTGCAGTGAGCCGAGATAGCATCACTACACTCCAGCCTGGGCGACAGAGCGAGACTCTGTCTCAAAAACAAGAAAGAAAAATTATTTTTCTGGCTCAGGATCCAATCCAGGATCACACACTGCACTTAGTTGAGAAATCTCTTTAGTTTCTTTTAATCTGGAATAATTCCTCAGTCTGACTTTGCCTCCCACGATCCTTTGTCACTTGAAGAATACAGGCCAGATATTTTGTATGAGGTTCTTGTTTTAGGTTTATCTGTTTTTTCCCCTCATGATTAGATTCAGGCTATACATTTTTGGCAGGAATATTCTAAAACTGATGCTGTGTTCTTGGTTTATTAAATCAGGAGGCACATTACTGACTACTGGTGATGTTAATTTTTATTTTTAGGTCAAGGTGGTGTCTGCCAGTTTTCCACTTTAAAGTTATTCTTTGTCGATTTTTAGTTAATAAGTATCTTTTTTTTTTCTTTTTTTAGAGACAGGGTCTCACTCTGTTGCCCAGGCTGAAGTGCAGTGGCGCAATCATAACTCACTGCAGCCTCAAATTTCCGGGCTCCAGTGATCCTCCCACCTCATCCTCCTGAGTAACAAGGACTACAGGCACGCCACCAGGCCTGGCTAATATTTTATTTTTGTAGAGACAGGTCTTGCTATGTTACCCTGGCTGATCTCCAACTCCTGGCCTCAAGTAATCCTCCCAACTTGGCCTCAGCCTCCCAAAACTCTGGGATTATAGGCATGAACCACCATGCCTGGCCAATAAGTATCTTGTGGGGAGATATTTTGAGACTATATCCTGTTCCTCATAAAACTTTTACCCACTAATCTTAGCATCCATTGCAAAAATTACAAAGTCTTTCATTGAAAAAGTATACACAAGCCAATGGTTAAAAAATTCAAAACAATACAGTGAACAAGTATGTATACATACTCACTTTTTGTTGTATAAAAAAAGAGAAATAGAGTGAATAGTATAGTGAAAAGTAAATCTCCTGATATTAGATCCTCAGGACCCTTCCTCCTGTTACTTGTTTGTGTCTTTGTGGTAGACACGATGCCATATGATACTGAACCTCATTTCATTTCCTTTTTTCTGGGCATAAAGGATGACAACATTTCCTGTCCTGCTTTGCGGTGAGGCTGAGACCATGAGACTAGTTCTGGCTCAAGGGCTATGAACAGAAATGATATTGGGCACTCTTGGGCCAAAGCATTTAGTGCCATTTTATGTCTCTCCAGCTCTCTCTTCCCCTGCTGCAGCAATTGTGAAAGCCACGCATTTAGATGGTGAAGCCACAAAATGGAAACAGCCTGGATCCCTGAGTCACCAGATGCAGAAACAGCTGCCCTGAAAAGTTGTCCATCTTGCACTATACATGCCCATGTACGAGAAATACAAGCCTTTTCTGGCCGGGCGCGGTGGCTCACGCCTGTAATCCCAGCACTTTGGGAAGCCGAGGCGGGCAGATCATTTGAGGTCAGGAGTTCGAGATCAGCCTGGCCAACATGGTGAAACCCCGTCTCTACAAAAAATATAAAAATTAGCCAGGCATGGTGGCAGGCGCTTGTAATCCCAGCTACTCAGGTGGCTGAGGTAGGAGAATCGCTTGAACCTGGGAGGCAGTGGTTGCAGTGAGCCGAGATTACACCATTGCACTCCAGCCTGGGTGATAAGAGCAAAACTCTGTCTCAAAAAAAAAAAAAAGGCCTTTTCTGTGGTTAAGAAATGAGAATCAAGTTTAAGATATTTGAGATTTTTCTTTTTATTATTTTTTTCCTTAGAGGTAATTGTGGGGTGGAGGTGGGGGTCTTGCTATCTTGCCCAGGCTGGACTCAAACTCCTGGGTTCAAGCAATCCTCCAGTCTCAGCCTCCCAAGTAGCTGGGACTATAGGTACACACTACCACACCAGTTTCTTTGAGATTTTTGTACATCGGGATATATAGCTCATTCTTTTTAAGATTTGCCAAGTGTTCCATTGTATGACTATAATATATTTAGGAGGTACATTTCTTTAATTTAAATTTTTGAATTGATATTATATACCATATGGTTTTAAATTAAAATGGTTCAAAAAAGTATATATGTGAAAAATTCTCACTCTCATTGCTGCCCTGAGCCAATAAATTCCCCACCAAAGGTAACCAATATTTCCTGTTCCTTATGTGTACTTCCAGAGTTATGTCATACATAGGATATTTAAAGGAACCTCACTCGTCTCAAGTTTGGCCGAGACACCAAAACAATAAGGTCACACTTCAAAGTTACGGGCAAGTCCACCAATACAGGATTTGCAAAAGAAGATTATAGAAAACCAATTTTCATGCCGGGCGCGCTGGCTGACGCCTGTAATCCCAGCACTTTGGGAGGCCGAGGCAGGTGGATCACGAGGTCAGGAGATCGAGACCATCCTGGCCAACATGGTAAAACTCCATCTCTACTAAAAATACAAAAATGAGCTGGATGTGGTGGTACGTGCTTGTAATTCCAGGTACTTGGGAGGCTGAGGTAGGAGAATCACTTGAACCCAGGAGGCAGAGATTGCAGTGAGCCAAGATAGTGTCACTGCACTCCAACCTGGCGACAGAGCAAGACTCCATCTCAAAAAAAAAAAAAAAAAAGAAAAGAAAACCAGTTTTCAATCTTCATTCACTACCCATCCGCAGCCTGCAAAAGATGTTGAAGAGATTGAAAAAAAAAAAGACTCAAGGTTTTAGAAAAAGCTATTGCTGAACTGAGTCACTGAGTCATTGCCTCCAACCTCATCCTAAGGGGTACATGCCCCTCACCTCACACTAATAAAACGAATTTTACTGGGATCACATAGTAGAATATGTGTTTCTTCGTCTTTGAGAGGCACAGTGGGCTGAAGTCTGAGTTGTCTGGGATGTGTAAAGGGTTAAGGGTTAATGCAGGCATCCTGTGGGGTAGAGAAGAGGTTGCGATTTGGGATATAGCAGCACTTGCAACAATGGGTCAAATGAACATATTTTCTCTAATCTAAGTATGATACAAACATGCAAGAGCTCTGGAGAAGCATTGCCTTGGATCCTGTTCAAGAAAGCTGCCTGGAAAGTAAGTGGACTTCAGCAGAAGGAAGGTGGAGGCGTAGCACCAGATGCCTAGAGTCTCGAGAAAGAATTGTAAATAAACAACTGTAAAAGCCATGTATTCATCTATGCAGGAGAAACTGCAGGCCAAGTGTGGTAGCTCATGCCTGTAATCCCAGCACTTTGGGAGACCAAGGCGGGCAGATCACCTGAGGTCAGGAGTTCAAGACCAGCCTGGCCAAGATGGTGAAACCCCGTCTCTACTAAAAATACAAAAATTAGCTGGGCGTGGTGGTGGGCATCTGTAATTCCAGGTACTCAGGAGGCTAAGGCAGGAGAATCACTTGAACCCAGGAGGCAGAGGTTGCAGTGAGCCAAGATCGCACCACTGCACTCCAGCTTGGGTGACAGAGGGAGACCTCATCTCAGAAAAAAAGAAAGCTGCCGGGAAAGTAAGTGGACTTCAGCAGAAGGAAGGTGGAGGCGTAGCACCAGATGCCTAGAGTCTCGATAAAGAATTGTAAATAAACAACTGGAAAAGCCATGTATTCATTTATGCAGAAGAAACTGCAGGCGGGGCACGGTGGCTCATCCCTGCAGTCCCCACACTTTGGGAGGCCAAGGCAGGTGGATCACTTGGGGTCAGGAGTTTGAGATCAGCCTGGCCAACATAGTGAAACCCCAACTTAAAAAAAAAAAGAAACTGCAGAGATGAGATCCCCAATGATGGGAGGAGGAAGCTTTAAGGAACTCAGAAATACAGCCCACATACAAAAAGAGTAAGCCTTAAACACCTGCCAGAGTACAGATGCCATTCATGACAGTACTAGTCAAGTGTGAACTTTACCGTCTCCTTTATTACTTTCTCCATATGTTCCAACCTTAACAGGCCTTATGGCTGTGTGATTCATTCACTGCTAAAGGGTGCCTAAATGAAGGCGCATATGGTGGCTGCAACCCAGTCTGGGTTCCATTCTCCAAACTGTATGCCCTGGCATGGGGTTTTATCTATTTGGAATAAGAGCAGTGTTTTCCTAATTCACACAGAGGTACAGTTCTCTCACCATGGGGCTGCATACACCCAGAAGGGGAACATATTCCTAATCTACAGAGGCACCAGATGGACTAGCAGCCACCCAGTTTGGAGGGTCTCAGAGACAGTGACTAGCAAGAGGAGGAGAGGAGGGGAAGCACTGAATGAGGAAGGAGCTGAGCTGGCCACACACTCCTTTTCCATAGTAGGTAACCCACCTCGTAGAGGCCCAATCTGGGAAAGAGGGTGGAGCCTCTGTATAAATGAATTTTACAGTAATGGATGTTAGAGGGGGCTGGAAGTTTTTTTTTTATCACTTAACTGATATTATTTGGGAAACTAGCATGACAGGAGAACTTTTTTTTCTTTTTCTTTTTTTTTTTTTGAGACAGAGTCTCACTCTGTTGCCAGGATGGAGTGCAGTAGTGTGATCTGGGCTTACTGCAACCTCCGCCTTCTGGGTTCAAGCAATTCTCCTGCCTCAGCCTCCCAAGTAGCTGGGACTATAGGTGTGTGCCACCACGGCCAGCTAATTTTTGTGTTTTTAGTAGAGACAGGGTTTCACCATGTTGACCAGGATGGTCTTGATCTCTTGACCTCATGATCCACCTGCCTTGGCCTCCCAAAGTGCTGGGATTACAGGCGTAAGCCACCTCACCCGGCCAGGACTTTTTTTTTTTTTTTGAGATGGAGTCTCTCTCTGTCACCCAGGCTGGAGTGCAGTGGCGTGATCTTGGCTCACTGCAACGTCCACCTCCTGGGCTCAAGCGATTCTCCTGCCTCAGCCTTATAAGTAACTGGGATTACAGCATGTGCCACCATGCCCAGCTAATTTTTGTATTTTTAGTAGAGATGGGGTTTTGCCTTGTTGGCCTGGCCGGTCTCGAACTCCTAACCTCAGGTGATCCACCTGCCTCAGCCTCCCAAAGTGCTGGGATTACAGACATGAGCCACTGCGCCCAACCTAGGAAGACTTTTAATACTTATGAGTAACCAGAAAAGTTGAGGGATTTGACCATGGTTTCACCTAAGGGGGCACGGGAAAACTAGCCCCAAAGAATACATTAAAAGGCCAGTGAAAGATGAAAGTTAAGATTTTTCTGATTCATACGCGGTAGCGGAGACTCCCTACTAATAGGCATTCTATCCTTTAGGCACAAAGCTAGGCTCTGTTTCCCAGCATACATTGCAGGTTGGTATAATCTTTTGTTTTGTTTTGTTTTGTTTTGAGACAGAGTCTCGTTCTGTTGCCCAGGCTGGAGTGCAGTTGCTAGATCTTGGCTCACTGCAACCTCCACTTCCCAGGTTCAAGAGATTCTCCTGCCTCAGCCTCCCGAGTAGCTGGGATTACAGGCGTGCACCACCACACCCGCATAATTTTTGTATTTTTAGTAGAGATGGGGTTTCACCATGTTGGCCCGACTGGTCTCGAATTCCTGACCTTAAGTGATCACCCGCCTTAGCCTCCCAAAGTGTTGGGATTACAGGCTTGAGCCACCACGCCCAGTTGGGTATAATCTTTTTATTAAATTTTTTCCAGTGAAATGCAAAACAGGTTTGGGTTAATACGATGGGTATGACTTGCAGAACTGGCCTATAACTGCACCCCCACCCATAACACTCTTCTATTTTTTCCCACCTTTTGCCAACTTAAAGTAGATGATGACAAGGGCTCAAGTGATGACAGATAGAAACCTGGGTCTGTGGATGATGGCAAAGAGGAGAGCTGCCCCACCAAGCCAAACAACTGTCCAAGACTACTATGTGAACGGGAAATAAACCTCTATTTTGTTAAGGCATTATATTTTAGTTTTGCTCATGTTAAAAGAATCACAAATCCTTCAGATCTAGAAAACAAAAGTAGAATTCATTTCTTGCTGGGCAAGGGAGAACTGCAAAGATACATGTAATCCCTGTGAACAAAGTAAAAAATAGGTTTATATGGGATTTTAGGAAAATATAAGTGATTGGTTTTGGCTCAAAGTGAGTAGGGTTAGTCACTGATTAGATAGGTTTCAAGAACAGGTGACCTATTGATGTAAGGTTTGATGACTGCAGGTGATTCAGCCCAAGACTGATATTGATTCATCTTATAGTTTCCTGTGTAAATGCCTGCAGACATCAGCTAGGTTCTTCAGGCAAGAATGGAATTTTCTATTGTCATCTCCCATTTTGCCCCTGCTTGACAGGTCATGGAAGAGGCCATTAAATATTGTCTAGAACAGTGGTGGGCAACTGTTTTTCTGTAAAGGGACAAAACGTAAATATTTTAGGTTCTGTGAGCCCTACTGACTCTATCGTAACAACTTAACTCTGCTGCTGTCACACAAAAATAGCACAAATGATTCGTAAATGAATAGGTGTGGCTGTGTTTCAATAAAACGTTACTTAAAAAAACAAGTGGTGGGCCAGACTTAACTCATTGGCCATAGTTTGCTAGCCCCTGGTCTAGAACTCTAGATGTAGTCCACTGACATGGTTTTCCTTCGGGGGTGAAATGGTGGCTGTGGTGATCATCATGATTTCATTTTGTTTTTGATTCAAGATCATCTGTTGCACCATCTGATGAGACAGCCAACACACAGTAGAGTTTAAAATTCTGGACACCAGCTAGACAGTATATAAATACAACATTAAAATATATGCCAGGCACAGTGGCTCACGCCTGTAATTCCAGCACTTTGGGAGAACGAGGTGGGCAGATCACTTGAGGTCAGGAGTTCGAGACCAGCCTGGCCAACATGGTGAAACCCCGTCTCTACTGAAAATACAAAAATTAGCTAGGCGTGTTGGGGGGCGTCTGTAATCCCAGCTACTAGGGAGGCTGAGGCAGGAGAATCTCTTGAACCCAGGAGGCAGAGGTTGCAGTGAGCAGAGATCGCATCACTGCACTCCAGCCTGGGCAACAGAGCGAGACTCTGTCTTTTTTTTTGAGACAGAGTTTCGCTCTTGTTGCCCAGGCTGGAGTGCAGTGTCGCAATCTTGGCTCCCTGCAACCTCCGCCTCCCAGGTTCAAGTGATTGTCCTGCCTCACTCAGGCTCCCGAGTAGCTGGGATTACAGGCATCTACCACCATGCCTGGCTAATTTTTTGTATTTCCAGTAGAGATGGGGTTTCACCATGTTGGCCAGGTTGGTCTCAAACTCCTGGCCTGAGGTGATCCACCCGCCTTGGCCTCCCAAAGTGCTAGGATTACAGGTGTGCCCGGCCGGAGACTCTGTCTTTAAAAATACACACACACACACACACACACACACACACACACACACACACACAGGACTAGATTTTTTTTTTTTTTTAGAGTCAGTCTCACTCCATCACCCAGGCTGGAGTGCAGTGGTGCGATCTCAGCTCACTGCACCCTCCACCTCCTGGGTTCAAGCAATTCACATGCCTTAGCCTCCCTAGTAGCTGGAATTACAGGTGCGCCACCACACCCCGCTAATTGTTGTATTTTTAGTAGAGACGAAGTTTCGTCATGTTGGCCATGGTGGTCTCAAACTCCTGACCTCAGGTGATCCGCCTGCCTTGGTCTCCCGAAGTGCTGGGATTACAGGTGTGAGCCACCATACCCAGCCTACAACTAGTAGAATAAGGAAGGACTGGAAAGTGCACCAAAATCATGATCCAAGTTTTCACAGATTAAACCCTCTTTTTGACCTGAAGTATGGGGATAAGACAAAGAAATGTTTTTTGTTTGAGATAGAGTCTCATTCTGTCACCCAGGCTGAAGTGCAGTGGCATGATCTCAGCTCACCGCAGCCTCGAACTCCCAGGCTCAGGTGATTCTCCCACCTCAGCCTCCTGAGTGAGTAGCTGTAACTACAGGTGTGCACCACCAAGCCCAGCTAATTTTTGTACTTTTGGTAGAGATGGGGTTCCGCCATGTTGGCCAGGCTGGTCTCGAACTCCTGGGTTCAAGGGATCCACCTGCCTCGGCCTCTCAAAGTGCTGGGATTACAAGTATGAGCCACCGTGCCTGGCCCAGACAAAGGAATATTGACCAGGTTGTTATCATTTGAAATTTTTTGAAGTTTCTCTAATCTCTTTGCTAATGTTGAAAATCTCTGAGACATCTTGGGAAATACAAGTGCAATATTTTCCTTTAGCACAGCACAAGTTCCTTTTGGTGAGATAAGGAGAATATGTCATGGGCGCTCTATTTTGGCTGACTGCCTTCTTGCAATAAGTCTAAAGCTTAGAAGGTCTTTGTTAAGCTTTCAGTCATTTGTACAGTCATAAACTTGAAGAATTCTCTCAAATATATGTGCCCCCTGTAAAGCATGGTGTGAAGCTGTCTGGGGACAAAAAAAATTTCAAAATTCTCTTATGCCAAGGTTTAATTGCTTGTAACAGAAATGAAGGGACCGGATGCAGTGACTCATGCCTGTAATTCCAGCACTTTGGGAGGCCAAGGCGGGTGAATCACCTGAGGTCAGGAGTTCGAGACCATCCTGGCCAATATGGTGAAACCCCACTCTACTAAAAATACAAAAATTAGCCAGGTGTGGTGGCACACACCTGTAATCCCAGCTACTTGGGAGGCTGAGGCAGGAGAATCGCTTGAACCTGGAAGGCGGAGGCTGCAGTGAGCTCAGATCATGCCATTGCACTCCAGCCTTGGCAACAAGAGTGAAACTCCATCTCAAAAAAAAAAAAAAAGAAAGTAATGAAAGGGTTTCCCTTTAGGCCCGGTACAATGGCTCACACCAGTAATCCCAGCACTTTGGGAGACTGAGGTGGGAGGATTGCTTGAGCCCAGGAGTTTGAGACCAGCCTGGGCAACATAGCAAGACCTCATCTCTACAAAAAACGTTTAAAAGTTAGCCTGGCACGGTGGCCTACGCCTGTAGTACCAGCTACTCAGGAGGCTGAGGCAGGAGGATCACTTGAGCCCAGAAGGTCAAGGCTGCAGTGAGCCATGTTTGTGCCACTGTACTCCAGCCTGGGTAACAGAGAGACCCTTTTTTTTTTTTCTGAGACAGTCTTGCTCTGCCACCCATGCTGAAGTCCAGGGGCAC
Organism: Homo sapiens; assembly: GCF_000001405.40. NCBI lineage: Eukaryota > Metazoa > Chordata > Mammalia > Primates > Hominidae > Homo > Homo sapiens. The sequence continues at coordinate 349,526 of NW_021160016.1, forward strand.
GATCTCAGCTCACTGCAACCTCCACCTCCAGGGTTCAAGCAATTCTTCTGCCTCAGCCTCCCGAGTAGCTGGGACTACAGGTACGCACGCCACCACGCCCGACTAATTTTTGTATTTTTAGTAGAGACGGGGTTTCACCATATTGGCCAGTCTGGTCTCAAACTCCTGACCTCGTGATACGTCCACTTTGGCCTCCCAAAGTGCTGGGATCACAGGCTGAGCCACCGTGCCCAGCTGAGACCGTTTTTTTAAAAAAGGATTTCTCTTTAGATAATTTTGACCAAAAGGGTCTAGGAGTGAGGTCCTGAATTATTATTATTATTATTATTATTAAGGGTCTATGAGTGAGGTCCTGAATTATTATTATTATTATTATTATTATTATTATTATTATTTTGAGACAGGGTCTTGCTGTGCCCAGGCTGGAGTGAGTGGTGTGATCTTGGCTCACTGCAACCCCAGCCTCCTGGGTTCAAGTGATTCTCCAGCCTCAGCTTCTCAAGTAGCTGGGACCACAGGCACCACCATGCCCAGCTAATTTTTACATTTTTAGTAGAGATGGAGTCTCGCCATGTTGCCCAGGCTGGTCTCAAACTCCTGGCCTCAAGCAATCTGTCTGCCTTGGTCTCCCAAAGTGCTGAAATTACAGGCATGTGCCACCGTGCTCGGCCATGAATGATTCTTAATACAGGAATCAGTTGCCATAAATAGAAACATATCACCAATTTTCAGGGAGTAACCAGGAGTTCTTTATTCCACAAAGCAAGTACCACTCATTAGGAGTCACCTAGGAACTGGGTTCAGGCCAGGAAAATCCAGAACTCTCATTATGGATCCTGGCAAAGATAATGAATCTGAGTCTACTTCACTTTAAAACTAACTTAAAATATCTGAAAATAATGCTTTGGTATGCCTTTGTGGTAAGAGTTGTACAGGTTATGCATTTTTTAAGATAAACCATACCAGTGATTCTTCCCCTGGGCTGTCAGTGCTACAAAAATTTGAACACACGAACTGGTCCCCACCTTAGGCCCTTTAGTTTGATTTCTGTGTAAGCAAAAATGTCCTACTTTAGGCATGACAATATTGGTATTGGTGGCTTAGAAATATAAGGTTTGTGATGGTGATTATCAGTAATTATGTTAAGAGTTCATAATAACTTCATTCATTATGAAGTCATTGATATCACTTGAGGGGATTACTACCCAAAAGAATTATACAACCTAAAGGGAAGTGAGTGCAACCCAGCAACTGAATCTGGCTAGACTGTGGGCTAACTGTGGATAAGTAATTGTTGTATAGGAGGAGTTTACTAAAGGCAAGAGTATCAACAACAGAAACAGGAATAATAAAAAGCCCGTATACAGTAGACACAGTGGCTCACACCTGTAATTCCAATACTTTGGGAAGCTGAGGTGGGAGGATCTATTGGGCCCAGTAGTTCAAGACCAGTCTAGACAAGATGGTGAGACCACCTGTCCCACCCACAGTCTCTACAAAAAGTTTTTAAAAAATTAGCCAGCTGTGGTGGTGTGTGTCTGTGGTCCCACCTACTTGGGAGGCTGATGCAGGAGAATCCCTGGAGCCCAGGAGTTCAAGGCGACAGTGAGCTATGATTGCACCACTGCACCATTGCACCACTGCACAGAGCTAGACTCTATCTCTTGGGGGAAAAAAAAAAAAAAAATATATATATATATATATATATGATCTTGTAGTATGCTACCTTCCCTTCTGGGTAAGAAATAAAAGGGGGAAATAAGAAAATACACATGTATATATTCATTTGTGCAAAAAGAAACACATGACAAACTGGGTTCAGTGGCTCACAGCTGTAATCCAAGCACTTTGGGAGGCCAAGACAGGGGGATCACTTGAGCCCAGGAGTTGTAGACCAGCCTGGGCAACAGAGTAAGACCCCATCTCTACACAAAACTTAAAAATTAGCCAGGTGTGGTGGCGCACACCTATAGTCTCAGCTACTCGGGAGACTGAGGTAGGAGGTTGAGCCTGCAGTGGGCCATGATCACACCATTGCACTCCAGCCTGAAGAACAGAGGAAGACCCTGTCTCCAAGAAAAAAAAGAATGGGCTGGGCGCGGTGGCTCATGCCTGTAATCCCAGCACTTTGGGAGGCTGAGGCAGGCGGATCACCTGAGGTCAAGAGTTCGAGACCAGCCTGGCCAACATGGCGAAACCCCGTCTGTACTAAAAATACAAAAATTAGCCAGGCTTTGTGGTGCACACCTGTACTCCCAGCTACTCAGGAGGCTGAGGCAGGAGAATCACTGGAACCCAGGAGGCAGAAGCTGTAGTGAGCTGAAATTGCACCACTGCACTCCAGCCTGGGCGACAAGAATGAAATTCTGTTTTTAAAAAAAGAAAAAAAAAAAAGAATGAGGCTGGGCGCAGTGGCTCACACCTGTAATCCCAGCACTTTGGGAGGCTGAGGTGGCGGATCACTTGAGGTCAGGAGTTCAAGACCAGCCTGACCAACATGGAGAAACCCCATCTCTACTAAAAATACAAAATTAGCCGGGCATGGTGGCACATGCCTCTAATCCCAGCTACTTGGGAGCCTGAGGCAGGAAAATTGCTTGAAGCTGGGAGGCAGAGGTTGTGGTGAGCCGAGATCGCACCATTGCACTCCAGCCCGGGCAACAAGACCGAAACTCCGTCTCAAAAAAAAAAAGAAGAAAAAGAAAAAAGAATGATAGTGACATGTCAAAGTAACACAGAAGGCAGCTTGAAAAGGTAGCCAGATCTGCCTGTAAGAGATTAGAATCAAGTATGGGTGGAGGGACTCCTAGTTATATGGGCCTGCCTGCCAGTGGCCGAATCAGAGGGAGACAGTCTATGGGTTCCTGAATGGGCAGAACACAGAGTCATAGAGCAAAGGACAGTATTTAAGGCCATGGGAACTCAAGTGTGTCTGATAATTTAGTTAATTTAAGCTTAGTACTCCTTTTGTGGTTTTGACTTTTCTAGATGATTGAGAGTGGTAAGGAGCACGAGGCTTTGACATGACAGGCAATGCTTTACATAGCTCAAGAATGATTGCCCCAGTAAAATAAGTTTATCTATCATTACACAATTAAATTAGAATAGCTCCTGTAGGGAATACAAAGTCCATTAGTTTCTTAGCCACTTTGAGTGTCTCAAAAAAAAAAAAAAAAGAGTTTTAATCACCTCATGGTTCTGCAGGCTGTACAGGAAGCATGGCAGCATCTGCTCCGCTTCTGGGGAGGCCTCAGAAAACTTACAATCATGACAGAAGGCAAAGCGAGATCAGGAGGCTTACATGACAGAAGCAGTACCGAGTGTGGTGGGGAAGTGCCATGTACTTTTAAACAACCAGATCTCATGAGAACTCACTATCATGATGACAGCACCAAGGGTGATGATGTTAAACCATGAGAAACCACCCCCATGATCCAATCACCTTCCGTAAGGCCCCACCTCCAACATTAAGGATTACAATTGAACATGAGATTTGGGTGGGGACACAGACCCAAACCATATCACCCCCACTGCGGTAAACTGTTCTATGGAGAGCTTTTGTAAGTGTTCGTTTGAACTTTTCTGGTGCTACATGGAGGCTGTCCTCATGGATCTTATAACCCAATAGTGTGCATAGATGATGGAATTCTTGAACCTCTCCATGGGCTCATCATCATTCTGTTGCTAAAAGAACTCACTTTTAAAGACTTCAGACAGAGCAACTTATAAGTATAAAGATCTGCTAAAGCATTTCTTCTCATTTTTTTAAAGTGTGGGCCTCTGCTTAATGACAGCAATTTCCAAGACATCATGAAACTCATTTATTTGTTGTCTATTTTTAACAGGGATACCAATTGAGAAGGAAAATTTTCTGTTTCTTTCCATGGTATTCTGAAGCCATGGCCCATGAGTCAGAATGTTCATGTGTGTTAGTCATTCCTTGCTGTGTTTAACAAGATATAGTAAGAGATAAGCTCAGGTAAGAACATACTGACTTGCAGGTGAAAGGAAAAGGAATAGAAGGAGTCCAGCAATGGAGCCTTGTAGGGTTGGAGAAGCTGCTGAACCCCAACAACAGGAAAAAAGACTGAAAAGGCTTTGAGAAACACAGGTCCACTAAGGTATTTCAATTAAACAGAGGAATTCAGCACTACTGCAAAGAACAGTTTAAAGGTGTTTTCTCTTACCTAAACCTATTGTTTCCTATGGCCTCACTGTAACTGCCATTAAGTTGAGAGAGAGAGGCATGGAGTGAAGAAAGAAAGAGATAAGCAAAAGTTGATATTTATGTCTTGAAAAAAATCCAGCCTGGCCAACATGGCAAAACCCCGCCTCTACTAAAAATACAAAAATTAGCCAGGTTGGCCGGGCGCGGTGGCTCACGCCTGTAATCCCAGCACCTTGGGAGGCTGAGGCAGGCAGATCACGAGGTCAGGAGATCGAGACCATCCTGGCTAACATGGTGAAACCCCGTCTCTACTAAAAATACAAAAAATTAGCCAGGCACGGTGGCAGGTGCCTGTAGTCCCAGCTACTCGAGAGGCTGAGGCAGGAGAATGGCGAGAACCCGGGAGGCGGAGCTTGCAGTGAGCTGAGATCGCACCACTGCACTCCAGCCTGGGTGACAGAACGAGACTGTCTCAAAAAAAAAAAAAAAATTAGCCAGGCATGGTGGCAGGCACCTGTAATCCCGGCTGAGGCAGGAGAATCACCTGAACCCGGGAGGTGGAGATTGCAGTGAGCTGACATGGTGCCACTGCACTCCAGCCTGGGCGATGGCATGAGACCCTCTCTTTAAAAAAAAAAAAAAAAAAAAAAAAATATATATATATATACATATATATATATATATATATATATATATGTATATATATATATGTATATATATATGTATATATATACATATATATATATATGATGGCATAAGACCCTCTCTTTAAAAAAAAAAAAAAAATATATATATATATATATTTTTTTTTTGGCACAAGATACTGTTGTGGCACAAGATACTGTTTGCTTTGAGGCAAATCGATCCAAAAAGTTTCTGAGTGAACTGTATTGCCAAAAAATTCCCCAGCCTGGTCCGAATAAATAAGTAAAACCATAAAGTAACACTTGGAAATCCAAAGTTGCACCATCAGGAAGGAGGCTTTCAAGGCTGTGTAGTTCCCAAGGAGGACAGGCACCCCACTTCACACAAAGCCAGGAAGAACAATGGCTGAGGAAGAACTTGCCAGAGGGCAGAACAAGGGTGGAAGGAGAACAATGCCAGGATAATTTTTCCTAAAGAGCAAAATCTGGTCTAATCTAGGAAATTCATCCACTGCCAGGAAAGGATGTCTTCATAATGCATATCTAGCAGAACTCCATAATTGCTTTGGACAGGAAGGTTGGGTTTTTCCCATTCTCCCTTTTCCAAATAGGATTTGCTATTGCCCTTTTCCTGTCTCTGCTTCATCATTGTAGATGGGCAGGTGGGTTTATTGGGGTGGGGAGAAAGTGGCAACCACTTGGCTTTTAGTTCATAGATTGCTAGACCATGAGGAAATTCACTCAGGCCAATTACAGAAGACCACAATCCAGATTCTGATATGAATCCTATAAATGAATGGAAGTTTTTGTCATAGCTCTTGGGAGAAGGGTGAATATGAGATTTGCTGGTCAGAGAGGCTGACTGTAGCAGCGACCCCTTGCTATCTACCAAAAGTCATTATTCTCTTTAGGCACACAACAAGACTGTTTCCCATACTCCCATTCAATTTGAGTGTGGTCATGTGACGGTTTTCTCCAATGTAATGTGAGTGGAACCAATGTGTGTCACTACCTGATCCAGGGGATAATAGATGGACAGCTTCTGGGCCCCTTAATGAAAAAAGTGGAGGAGAGTGGCCCCATTGACCTGAATATCCGCCCGGGACTGTTAGGTGAGCAAGAAATTAAGTATTTTACTGAGTCATATTTTGGATCTATTTGTCACAGTAGTTTAACCTATTATTAACTGATACACACCCCATGAGTCATGCTTGTTCAACATGACTATATATGCATATCCTTTTAAACAATAATTATTAATGGTAACATACTAAACACCCTGTAGTGAACCTTGTTTTTTTGTTTTCTGTTTTTTTTTTTTTTTTTCATTAAATTTCCTGCTAAGTGTTCTGTATCAGTACATTAATAACTCCTTTGCCGGGCGCAGGGGCTCACACCTGTATTCCCAGCACTTTGGGAGGCCAAGGCAGGCGGATCATGAGCTCAAGAGATCAAGACCATCCTGGCTAACACGGTGAAACCCCATCTCTACTAAAAGTACAAAAAAAAAAAAGCCGGGCGTGGTGGTGGGCACCTGTAGTCCCAGCTACTCGGGAGCCTGAGGCAGGAGAATGACGTGAACCTGGGAGGCGGAGCTTGCAGTGAGCCAAGACTGCGCCACCGCACTCCAGCCTGGGTGACAGTGCAAGGCTCCGTCAAAAATAAATAAATAAATAAAATAACTTCTTTGTTTTTATTTTCTTTATTTTTGCTTTTTTTGCGGGGGGCGTTGGCAGGGGAGACAGGATCTTACACTGTTGCCCAGGCTGGAATGCAATGGTGCCATCATAGCTCACTGCAGCCTAAACTCCTGGGCTCAAGTGATCCTCCCACCTCAGCCTCCCCAGTAGCTATGACTACAGGTGTGGACCACCATGCCCAGCTAATCTTTTAGTTTTTGTAGAGACAGGGTCTTGCTTTGTTGCCCAAGCTGGTCTTGCATTCTTGGCTTCAAGCGATCCTCCCACCTGGGCCTACCAAAGTGCTGGGATTATAGGAGTGAGCTACTATGTTTGCTTTTTGAATAGCTTAAGTACCACATGTTATTTTGCCCGTTCCCTACTGATGGACATTTAGTTTGTTAACAGTCCTTTGCTATTGTCCTTGGTTCAAGTTCTTTCTTTCCTTCCCTCCCTCCCTCTTTCTCTCTCTCTCTCTCTCTCGTTCTTTCTTTTTAATGGAGTCTCGCTTTGTCGCCCAGGCTGGAGTACAGTGGCACCATCTAGGCTCACTGAAACCTCTGCCTCCCAGGTTCAAGCGATTCTCCTGCCTCAGCCTCCCAAGTAACTGGGACCACAGGCACCCGCCACCATGCCCAGCTAATTTTTGTATTTTTAGTAGAGATGGGGTTTCACCTATTGGCCAGGCTGGTCTCAAACTCCTGACCTTGTGATCCTCCCACCTCAGCCTCCCAAAGTGCTGGGATTACAGATGTGAGCCACTGCACCTGGCCGATTCAAGTTCTTTCAATTGGCACTCTGCAAATGCAAAAGACAGGTCAGCTACATGTCCAGCATTATCTAGTTCTATTCTTTAATTTAGGACTTCCCTTAGATTCTTTTAGCCAAGTTGCAAAGATAATATGCTCTATTGATTCTCTGTGGTCTACTATTGTAAAATACATATTGAAAAATAAACTCAAGTGATTACAAGTCCAATACTTACACAGGTAGGAGGACTATAACATGGTGACCTAACAGCATGATTACAATGAGACAGCCCTGGGTTCAAATCCCAGCTCTACTACCTATAACATGTAACTTAACCTTACACAATTTACTGAACTGTAAGCATCCATTTTCTCACCTGTTAAGTGGTGACTATTGTGAAGATTAAATGATAATGAAGTGCTCAGTACATGATATTCAGTTAACAAGTACTGTAGAATTTTTCTTACTACGTAACTTTAAAAAATTACCAAAGAAAGCCAAAATTAAGGCCAGGCACGGTGGCTCACGACTGTAATCCCAGCACTTGGGGAGGCCGAGGCAGGTGGATCATCTGAGGTCAGGAGTTCGAGACCAGCCCGGCCAATATAGCGAAACCCTGTCTCTACTAAAAATACAAAAATTGGCTGGGCGTGGTGGCTCACTCCTGTAATCCCAGCACTTTGGGAGGCTGAGGAGGGCAGATCACGAGGTCAGGAGTTCGAGACCAGCCTGACTAACATGGTGAAACCCCGTCTCTACTGAAAAAAAAAAAAAATTAGCCATGCGTGGTGGCGGGCGCTTGTAATCCCAGCTACTCAGGAGGCTGAGGCAGGAGAATCGCTTGAACTCGGGAGGCAGAGGTTGCAGTGGGCCAAGATTGCATCATTGCACTCCAGCCTGGGCGACAGGGTGAGACTCCGTCTCAAAAAATAAATAAACAAATAAAATAAAAATAGAAAAATTAGCCGGGCATGGTGGTGCATGCCTGAAATCCCAGCTACTAGGGGGGCTGAGGCAGGAAAATTGCTTGAACCTGGGAGGTGGAGGTTGCAGTGAGCTGAGATCGTGCCACTGCACTCCAGCCTGGGCAACAGAGCGAGGCTCCGTCTCAAAAAAAAAAAAAAAGAAAAAGCCAAAATTAAACTTTAGTCTGAAGATGGGACATGTATCATAACTGTCTTTATTGTTAAGATAGGAAATAGGGGCCAGGTGCGGTGGCCCATGTCTGTAATCTCAGCACTCTGGGAGGCCAAGGTGGGCAGATCACCTGAGATCAGGAGTTCAAGACCAGCCTAGTCAACATAGCGAAACCCTGTCTCTACCAAAAATACAAAAATTAGCCATGCATGGTGGTGGGCGCCTTGGTTTTCAAAAGGTTAAATCATTGTTCAGTTTTTTCAAAATGATTTTATTTTACATACTTCTCTGCAACTTGCCAGTCTCTCTCTCTCTCTTTTTCTTTTTTCTTTTTTTTTTTTTTTTTTGAGACATGGTCTCACTATGTTACTCAGGCTGGAGTGCAGTGGCATGGTCATGGCTCACTGCAGCCTCGACCTCCTGGGCTCAAGCAACTCTTTTACCTCAGCCTTCTGAGTAGCTGAGACTACAGCCACCATGTCCAGCTAATTAAAAACTTTTTTTTTATAGAGATGGGGGTCACGCTATGTTGCCTAGGCTAATCTCCAATTCCCGGGCTCAGGTGATCCTTTCGCCTCAGCCTCTGAAAGTGTTGGTATTACAGGCGTGAACCACCTCTCCCAGCCTGCCAATTTCTTTTCTTTTCCTTTTTTTTTTTTTTTTTTTTTTTTTTGAGACAGAATCTGGCTCTGTCGCCCAGGCTGGAGTGCAATGGTGTGATCTCAGCTCACTGCAAATTCCTGGCTTCAAGCAATTCTCCTGCCTCAGCCTCCCAAGTAGCTGGGATTATAGGCGCCTGCCACCACTCCCAGCTAATTTTTGTATTTTTATTAAAGATGGGGTTTCACCATGTTGGCCAGGCTCTTCTTGAACCTCTGACCTCATGATTCACCTGCCTCCGATCCCAAAGTGCTGGGATTACAGGTGTGAGCCGCCACACCTGGCTGCTAATTTCTCTTTAAATTGTACTGCTGACATCTTCTCAGTCAGTAGAAGTATATCGACTTCATTATTTTTAATACCTTTAGTCATTTTTTTTGGTAATCATTCATTTTTAATAAAGAGGGATTCTTCAAATTTTTTGGTTCTTTTTTTTTTTTAAGGGAGTCTCGCTCTGTTGCCCAGGCTGGACTGCAGTGGCGCAATCTCGGCTCACTGCAACCTCTGCCTCTGGGGCTCAAACGATTCTCCTGCTTCAGCCTCCCAAGTAGCTGGGACTACAGGCATCTGCCACTACACCCAGCTAATTTTTGTATTTTTAGTCGAGACAGGGTTTCACCATGTTGGCCAGGCTGGTCTCGAATTCCTGACCTCAAATGATCTGCCAGCCGTGGCCTCCCAAAGTGCTGAGATTACAGGCGTGGGCCACCGCGCCCGGCCTCAAATTTTGTGATTATTCATTTAAATTTTGTAATCAAACATTAGGGTGACGTGTTGGAGCTGATCCCATACTGTAGGTTCAGGAAATACAGTCATTGCAGACATCATCATTAACGTTAAAGCAAGCAACACAGAGGCTTCTCTCTTGGGACTGAGAAGGGAAAGAGGTGTAGGAAACATATACAAATGTAAAAACTATTCTCCTAGTACTTGGCTTCTGGAAGTGAAACTGAAGGACTGTACTGTCCATATTAGGAAATGACTGGCTGCTGGATGACCACAGTGTTAAGCTTTTTGTCCCTTTTTGTGGGGAGAGAGATGAAAGGGAATTGGTCAGGAGGACATCAGATCAGTTAGCTTTATAATCAATCTCTTCTCTTCCAACACAATCTCAGTAGAGTTATAAGCATTAGGAAATCAAACTTTCACTTTAATTAGAGAGATTGAAAATCTGGCTCCATTTTTAAAGGTGAGGGTTCTAAATTGTATTCCTAAATGATGTTAACTATTGTTCCCCGAAATTGCATCAGGGTTAAAAATTTGTGTTGAGGTTGGTTTGAATTAATCTAAATATTCAACATGTGCTCTTGCCATAAAGCAGAAAGCAAAGGCCTGAAGTAGACAAGCTTTTTAACCTTTCTGGCATTTCATAGATTTCACCTTAATAAAATTCTGAAAACTCCCATTATAGTATAATTAGCTTCCTTTATTTTATTTATGTATTTTTTTGAGACACCTGTGTAGGTATCTGTGGACACATTTATGAGAATCGGTTGGCCCTGCAACTCTCCCAGTCAAGCTCACTGCCAGGCTAACTTTGGCTTGTGTACCTTCTCCTCTTAGTTTCACCAATACTTGACAGAGTCTGGCTCAGCACAGCTCTATGGGATGGAGGGCCAGATGGCTCCCAAAGAGCCCTGACCAGAGGCACAGGCCTGTGACCAGGTGTCCTATTCTAGGACAGATGGCTTGAATTGCCTCCTGCTCCCTTTTGCTCTGACAGTCTCTGGGACTACTGAGCGCTGGGGCCACTACAGAAATTGGATGATGCTTTGCAAAGATGGCTTTTAATTAAGTATCAGGGAGAGTGAGACAATCCAATATTTTCAAAGATGAGTCACTCTGGGATTGGCCTTTTTGCTTGCCTTAGAGGTCTAACCTCTTCCATTCACAGGTGAGAGACAGAACAATGTAGTCAAGTCAGTTCATCAGCATGTTGGCAAATCGGAGTCCCAGGCTTGGAGAAGACCTTTGCAGTGAAGGCATGTGGAAAGAGAATGTGGCAAGAGAGCAGCTATCTTCAGGGGAATGTTGGTCTGCCCACTGCCAGGAGGGCTTGTTACTCTGAAAAAGTTTTCAAAGTTTACCTTTGAGCCTCAGTAACTAGGTACTGGCATTTCCCCAGGGTTTAGTGGTTAGTGGAGGCTGACACTTCACATAACCCAGGTCACCAGACACCAAATACCAATTGTCTGACTTAAAATACAAACAGTTCTATGAAAGAGGACACCCAGTAGTCAGCCTGATGGTCGTATCCCCTACCCACAGGAAAACACACTGAAAGCCCACTCAGGCTGCAGATACGTTACTGACGCATCCACCACCACAGCTAGAGAGATACCCTCAGGAATGTGTTGACTTGATATACCTCCTTGCTGGGCCCCCTAGTCACATTCTTTCTTTACACAAGTTAATACCATTTACTCAGCAGAGGCTTTACACATGCTAATAGAGGCTCCTCAGGCTACACCTTCATCTCAGGACAAGTGGAAACCTTAATCATCTGGTTTCATTTTAATTTTCCATGACAGTAAAAGGTACAGTGACTACAGGACAGTCCTTTCCTGCCTTCCTGGGGTAGTTAATCCTAAAAAACCTCTTGTGGGGCAATTCAAGTTGAAAATGTAATCAGTACTTAATTTCAATGGGAAAACATTTTATATGTGCACAGTGTCCCAAAATTAACACCCACTCATGCTAAAACATCAAATCTCATTAAGACAGACACAATTACATTAACAATTACACTGGCTATCATAAACAAAACTAAAGGCATTTTCCCTTCATTAGTTATGATCTCATTAGTTACGAGATTATTATCCCATAATATGGCCATTTACCCGTTGTTTCTTAGCTTTTATGCACTGTACATTTAAGACTAAATTTAGGCCAGGCTCAGTGGCTCACACTTGTAATCCCAGCACTTTGAGATGCCAAGGCAGGTGGATCACTTGAGGTCAGGAGTTCAAGACCACCCTGGCCAACATGGCGAAACCCTATCTCTACTAAAAATACAAAAAAAAAATTGGTCAGGCACGGTAGTTCACGCCTGTAATCCCAGCATTTTGGGAGGCCAAGGAGGGCAGATCCCAAGGTCAGAAGTTCGAGACCAGCCTGGCCAATATGCTGAAACCCCATCTCTACTAAAAATACAAAAAAAAAAAAAAAAAAAAATTAGCTGGGCGTGGTGGCGCCCACCTGTAGTCCCAGCTACTTGGAAGACTGAAGCAGAAGAATCACTTGAACCCGGGAGGCGGAGGTAGCAGTGAGCCGAGATTGTGCCACTGCACTCCAGCCTGGCAGCCTGGGTGACAGAGCGCGACTCCATCTCAAAAAAAAAAAAAAAAGGTCAGGCCTATCCCAGTACTTTGGGAGGCCAAGGCAGGCGGATCACTGAGGTCAGGAATTTGAGACCAGCCTGGCCAACGTGGTGAAACCCTGTCTCTACTAAAAATGCAAAAATTAGCTGGGTGTGGTGGTGGGCACCTGTAATCCCAGTTACTCGGGAGGCTGAGGTAGGGGAATTGCTTGAACCCAGGAGACGGAGGTTGCAGTAAGCCAAGATCGCACCACTGCACTCCAACTTGGGTGACAGAGCGAAATTCTGTCTCAAAAAAAAAAAAAATTAGCCGGGTGTGGTGGTGCACTCCTGTAATCCCAGCTACTCGGGAGGCTGAGGCAGGACCCGGAAGGTGGAGGTTGCAATGAGCTGAGATCGACAGAGAAAGACTCCGTCTCAAAAAAAAAAAAGATATATACGGCCAGGCGGCTGGGAGTTCGCGACCAGCCTGACCAACATGTAGAAATCCTGATTCTACTAAAAATACAAAATTAGCCAGGCCTGGTGGCACATGCCTGTAATCCCAGCTACTCAAGGGGAATCGCTTGAACCCAGGAGGGCAGAGGTTGTGGTGAACCAAGATCCTGCCATTGCACTCCAGCCCGGGCAACAAGAGCGAAACTCCGTCTAAAAAAAAAAAAAGACTAAACATGCAAAACATACGTAAAAAATGATGTCCAATGTTTATACAACTTAACCTTTTTTTTTTTCTGAGACAAGGTCTCATTCTATTGCCCAGGCTGGAGTGCAGTGGCATGATCATAGCTCACTGCTCAAGTGATCCTGCCTCAGCTTCCCATCAGAGTAGCCAGGACTACAGGCATGCACCACCATTCCTAGCAGTTTTTAAAAACTTTTTTGAGGCTGGGCACGCTGGCTCATGTCTATAATTCCAGCACTTTGAGAGGCCGAGGCAGGTGGATCACTTGAGGTCAGGAGTTCGAGACCAGCCTGGCCAACATCGTGAAACCCCATCTCTACTAAAAATACAAAAATTAGCTGGGTGTGGTGGCAGGTGCCTGTAATTCCAGCTACTCAGGAGGCAGAGACAGAAAAATTGCTTGAACCCAGGAAGCGGAGGTTGCAGTGAGCAGAGATTGTGCCACTGCACTCCAGCCTGGGTGACACATTGAGACTCCGTCTCAAAAAAAAGAAAAAAAAAAAATTCTTTTTCAGGCCATGTGCAGTGGCTCACGCCTGTAATCCTAGCACTTTGGGAAGCCGAGGCGGGCGGATCATCTAAGGCCAGGAGTTCGAGACCAGCCTGGCCAACATGGTGAAACCCCATCGCTAATAAAAATACAAAAATTAGCCAGGCGTGGTGGTAGGTGCCTGTAATCCCTGTTACTCAGGAGGCTGAGGCAGGAGAATCACTTGAACCCAGGAGGCAGAGGTTGCAGTGAGCTGAGATCAGGCTATTGCACACCAGCCTGGGGGACAAGAATGAGGCTTCGTCTCAAAAAAAAAAAAAAAAAAAAAAACCTTTTTGTAGAGACAGGGTCTTGCTATGTTGCCCAGGCTGAACTTGAATGCCTGGCCTCAAGTGATCTTCCCATCTAGGCCTCTCAAAGTGATAAAATTATAGGCAAGAGGCACCGAGCCTGGCCTTAACCTTTGTTTTAAAAAAAGAGTAACAAGGGCCGGGCACAGTGGCTCACACCTGTAATCCCAGCACTTTGGGAGGCTGAGACGGGCGAATCACGAGGTCAGGAGATCGAGACCATCCTGGCTAACACAGTGAAATCCTGTCTTTACTAAAAATACAAAAAAAAATTAGCCGGGCTTGGTGGCGGGTGCCTGTAGTCCCAGCTACTGGGGAGGCTGAGGCAGGAGAATGGCATGAACCCAGGAAGCGGAGCTTGCAGTGAGCTGAGATCGCACCACTGCACTCCAGCCTGGGTGACAGAGTGAGACTGTCTCAAAAAAAAAAAAGAAGAGTAACAAGGGCCAGGCACGATGGCTCACGCTTGTAATCCCAAACACTTTGGGAGGACAAAGCAGGAGGATCACTTGAGTCCAGGAGTTCAAGACCAGCCTGGGCAACAGGGTGAAACCACATCTCTACAAAAAATACAAAAATTAGCTGCGCGTGATGGTGCACACCTGTGGTCCCAGCTGCTCGGGAGGCTAAGGTAGGAGGACCGCTTGAGCCTGGGAGGCAGAGGCTGCAGTGAACTGAGATCATGTCAGTGCACTCCAGCCTGGGTGAAAGAGAGAGACCCTGTCTCAAAAAAAAAAAAAAAAAAAAAAAAAGTAACAAGTCTTGGCACAGTTGTTTGTGCCTGTAATCCCGGCACTTTGGGAGGCTGATGCAGGAGGACTGCTTGAGCCCAAGAGTTCCGGACCAGCCTGGGTAACACAGTGAGACCTCGAGGCTGACACAGGAGGATCGCCTGAGCCCAGAAGTTCAAGACCAGTCTGGGTAGTACAGTGAGACCCGGCTCAATTAAAAAAAAAAAAAAAAAAGTAATAAAATGAATGAAAACCTTGCAAATAAAATTACCTTCACTGAACAAGTGAAATAACAAGAGACTTGATGTGTATTATTAAGCCTTAAATATGTTTTGCTATAAATCAGCAAAACTATGAGAAATCTGATGAGATAACTTAAGGTAACACAGACCAGCTCTGTGAAGCTGATGCATGTTGGCTTCAGGCACTCCAAGAAGTACACCAAACAAATCCATCCTGAGAGCTGCAAAGACATGCTTTGTGTTTCAGTTTTTATTGCAGAACAAACTACCTCAAAACTTACTGGTTTCACTCTTAAACAATAAGCATTTATTCTTTTTCATCAGTCTGTGGGTTTGCTGGGGAAGTCTTCTGGTCTGGGCCAGCTTAGCTGGGCCTGGATGGTCTAGAATGCTCTTGTTCATATGTCTGGTAGTTGCTGGCAGGCTAGCTGGTCTAAGGGGCCACACTCATACATGTCTGGCAGTTGGTCAGATGTCAGATGGGGTGATGACTATGTGTCTGTCATCATCCATTAGGTTAGTAGGAGTTATCCTCGTGGTAGTGGAAGAGGTCACAGCAGCAAGAGAAAGCAACCCCCTGTTGTAATCACTTCTCAAGACACTTCTTGCTTTACATTTGCCAGTGTCCTACAGGACAAAGCAAGTCACACGGCCAAGCCTAGATTCAGTGAATGGAGAAACAGACTCCACCTCTGCATTGGAGAAGCTGAAAAACACTGTGGCTATTCTGTTCAACCCACTACCCTTTAGAAGCTAAAGTAGAGATTAAATGATATTCCTTGTAACATGAATGGGCACGTATCTCAGGGTTTAATCATCTAGGTTTCAGGGCATTCTACATTTTCTGTTACTTATATCATATTTCTGTGATGGGAGGAGCATGCTTTTCTGTTTCAGCTACTGAGGTCAACTAGTAGGGCCACTTTCCTAGGACCTTTTCTATACCTTGAGACAGAGATAAAACTGAAGAGGTAGGCAAGAAGCTAGATCTTCTTAGGGCCCTGTAGGCCACATAAAGGAATTTAGGACTTGATCCCAAGAGCAATGCGAAGCCATAGAGCATTTTAAGGAGAAAGATCCGATCACTTGAGCTGTAGTGAAGACAATAACTCTAGAAGTTTTGCCAGGAAGGGGAATTAGTGAGATAAGGCTTTAGTCAACAGAATGTGGGATTGAGGGAAAGGCTTTTTTTTCCTTCTTCTTTTGAAAGCAAAAGATGAGTGAAACTAGAGTTTGCTTGAATACTAATGAAAGGATCCAACATTGCAAGAGGTTAAAGGGAGATCCCTAAGAATTGTGAAGGGAAACTTGAACAGCTATGGAGTTTGGCTTTTTTGTTTTTAGACGGAGTTTTCGCTCTTGTTGCTCAGGCTGGAGTGCAGTGGCACCATCTTGGCTCACTGCAACCTCTGCCTCCTGGCTTCAAGAGATACTCCTGCCTCAGCCTTCCGAGTAGCTGGGATTACGGCCAACTGCCGCCATGTCTGGCTAATTTTTGTATTTTCAGTAGAGACGAGATTTCACCATGTTGGCCAGGCTGGTCTGGAACTCCTGACCTCAAGTGATCTGCCCGCCTCGACCTCCCAAAGTGCTGAGGTTACAGGCATGAGCCATTGCACCCGGCCTGGAGTTTGGCTTTTAAGAAAAAAACTTCATACAATAAAATTGACTTTATTTTTGTTATATACAGTCCTATGGATTTTAACACATGTACAGATTGAAGTAACTACTACCAAAATCAGGATTCAAAAGAGTTCCATCACCCTAAAACCGTCCTTTTTGCTATCTCTTTAGTCATTCCCTCCACCCCCTTAGCTCCTGGCAATCACTGACTTACTCTCCAAACTATAATTTCAATATTTGTATGTGTGTCATTTGAGACTGACTTAGTTTACTTGGCATAATCCTTTCATTATTATGTAGTTATAATGCCTACTTGTTGTGTATATCAATACTTTATTCTTTTTATTGCTAATATTCCATTGGTGTTGGCTTCTGCTGGTATTCCTTAGGTCAGCAAATGATACCATTATTCTAACAATTACTTGGGCCAAAAACCTTGGCATCATCCTTCACTCTCTTCTCTAGCCTATACAACCAATCCATCAGCAAATCTTAGTGGTTCCACTTTCTTATCTTTTTATTTAGTTATTTTTTTTGAGACAGCGTCTCTCTCTGTTGCCCAGGCTGGAGTGCAGTGGCATGATCATGGCTCACTACAGCCTCCATCTCCTGGGCTCAAGCCATCCTCCCATCTCAGCCCTGACTAGCTGGGACTACAGGCACACACCATCGCACCTGGCTGATTTTTGTATTTACTGATAGAGACGGAGTTTCACCATGTTGCCCAGGCTGTTCTCGAACTCTTAGGCACGAGCGATCCACCCGTCTCAGCCTCCCATAGTGTTGGGATTACAGGTATGGGCCACTGTGCTCACTGGCTCGCTCAGCCAGCTCCACTTTCAAAATACACGTGGAATCTAACCACTTACCACTACCTCCACTGCTGTTACTTAGTTCAGGCCACCATCATCTTCTGCCAAGATTAGTGCTTCTACTCTTACCCCTTACCCTCATAGTCTATTCTCAACACAACAGCTAGAATGATCCCTTTAGAGATATAAATCTGATCAAGTAGCTCTTGTGTTCAGAACTCTCCAGGGCTTTCAGTGGTGACCGGCAAAATTGTTGCCATAATTGAGAAGGCCCTGCATGGTAAGGCCCCAGCTACCTTTTTTATCTGGTCTCTTAGCACTCTCCCCATCACTCACTCTGAATCAACATAGTGATCTCCTTGCTATTCCCATAGCACCTCAAGCAGGCTCCTGCCTCAGGGCATTTGAATTTGCTGTCTCCTCTGCCTGGAACACTCTCCCCCTAGATATCTACATGGCTTACACCCATTAAGTCAAGGCCAGTTTCTGCTTAAGGGCTCCTTATAAATTCTTCTCTGACTAACATCTAAAATAGCAGCTACCTGACACCACTGTCTAATCCCTACCCTGCTTTGTTTTCTTAGCATATATCCCTGACATTACATACTTGTTTTCTCTCCTCGAACTAGTAAAGATCCTTGCGAGCAGGGAATTTGTTTTGTCCATTGCTCAGTAAGCACCTACATGAGTGCCTGGTCTGGCATATAGTGGGAGTTGAATGAATATTTTTGATTGAATAAATAGGAGGTAAGGACAGGATGGGAAGGCAAGTAAGTAGGTTTCTCGATTTCAGGACATTCTACATTTTCTGTTACTTACATGATAAGGAAGTCAGGGGAAGTGGTAAGGGTATAGGTCAGAGATTTGTAGAGATCGTGGAGAGCAAGTTGACTAGAAAAATATAATGAAATTTCTAGTCACAGTTCACAGTCCTTTTTTTTTTTGAGACGGAGTCTTGCTCTGTCACCCCGGCTGGAGTGCAGTGGCGCGATCTCAGCTCAATGCAAACTCCACCTCCCGGGTTCAAGCAATTCTTCTGCCTCAGCCTCCAAAGTAGCTGGGATTACAAGTGCTTGCCACTGCGCTCAGCTAATTTTTGTATTTTTAATAGAGACGGGGTTTCACAATGTTGGCCAGGCTGGTCTCGAACTCCTGACCTCATGATCCACCCACCTCAGCCTCCCAAGTGCTGGGATTACAGGTGTGAGCCGCCGCACCTGACCCACAGTCCATTTAAAGTTGGTCTTTATTAATGTAGTGACGCCAATCTGTTCAGCAGGACACTTTTTCTTTTTTTGAGGTGGAGCTTTGCTCTTGTTGCCCAGGCTGGAGTGCAATGATGCAATCTCAGCTCACTGCAACCTCTCCTCTCAGGTTCAAGCTCTCCTGCCTCAGCCTCTGGAGTAGCAGGGATTACAGGTCTTCACCACCACGCCCGGCTAATTTTTGTATTTTTAGTAGACAGGGTTTCACCATGTTGGTCAGGCTGGTCTCAAACTCCTGACCTCAGGTGATCCACCCGCCTCGGACTCCCAAAGTGCTGGGATTACAGGCATGAGCCATCGTGCTCGGCCTCAACAGGACAATTTTTTTGTTTTTGAGATGAAATCTTGCTCTGTCACCCAGACTGGAGTGCAGTGGCGTGATCTCGGCTAACTGCAACCTCCGCCGTCCAGGTTCAAGCGATTCTTCTGCCTCAGCCTCCCCAGTAGCTGGGACTACAGGCATGCGCCACCACACCCAGCTAATTTTTGTATTTTTAGTAGAGACGGGGTTTCACCATATTGGCCAGGCTGGTTTCTAACTCCTGACCTCGTGATCCGCCCACCTCGGCCTCCCAAAGTGTTGGGATTACAGGCATGAGCCACCACGCCCAGCAACAGGACAACTTTCTATGACAAGGTACAAGCAAGGAGAAACACATAGGTCCATCCAGGGTGAGGGATTTCGTTGGGGAAAAAGGAGTGTTGTGGTGGGATTAAGATTAAGTAGGGGCAGGACTGTATTAATGTACCACTGAATCTAAAATGGATAAGGAAGGAAGTGAAGAGGGGATTAATGTATAAGAGATAAAGTAGAGGCTTTCAACCGATTAGATGCTCTGCTCTGATAAAGTGAAAGAACAGGCCGGGTGCAGTGGCTTACGCCTGTAATCCCAGCACTATGGGAGGCCGAGGCGAGCGGATCACCTGAGTTCAGGACTTCGAGACCAGCCTGGCCAACATGGCGAAACCTGTCTCTACTAAAAATGCAAAAATTAGCTGGCTTGGTGGCGCACACCTGTAATCCTAGCTACTCGAGAGGCTGAGGCAGTAGAATTGCTTGAACCCAGGAGGCGGAGGTTGCAGTGAGCTGAGGTTGCGCCACTGCACTCCAGCCTGGGCGACAGAGCAAGACTCCTTCTAAAAAAAAAAAGTGAAATAACAGTAATAACAGTTATGCTGTAATTCTA